>NC_000002.12:62614594-62917625 GCF_000001405.40 Homo sapiens
TGTCTTATATTTTTAGCGATTACAAATAAAGTTCCTTACATATATATCTTTACACATTTGTGCAAATATTTCTATAGGATGTAAATCTAAAACTACGAGTTGAAAATATTTTAATTTTGATAGTTATTGTCACATTGTAATAATAGTTATTTGCCAGTTATTTGTCACTCCAAATTGCTTGTCCCAATTCACTCTGTACCAGAAGTATATGAGTTCTGTTCCTGCATATTCTAGGCAAACCTGGACTTTTTTAATGTTTAATATTTGGTAATTTGACAGAGAAAGATGGAATCTCATTTTTAATTTGCATCTTCCTAATCGCCAGTGAAGATGAACATCTTTTCATATGCTTATTAGGTATTAGCATTTTATTCTTTTGTGAACTACTTCTTCATATTCTTTGCTTTTGTTCCTACTGGGTGTTTGCCATTTATTTATTTGTTTGTTTGTTTTGTTTATATTCATTGGAGTTGTTTTATACCAGGTGTAGTAATACTTCTGTTATAAACATCTATTACAGAAGTTTTATATCTTTATATAGTCATCTGTATGTTTTTTTCTTTGTGGTTTCTGAATTTTGTCTTATTTAGGAAGACCTTTCCACCCCAAGATTGTAAAAAATATTTCCTGTATTTTATTCTAGAACTTTTATAGTTTTGCCTTTTTACATTTAGCTATTTAATACCTTGAATTTAGTTTTTAAAATGTGTCATATGAAGAGAACTCTAATTTTTTTCTTGTAAATAAAAATCCATTCATCCCCAAACAATTTATTAGTCTATTCTTTCCACAAGGCTTGAAGTGACATATTTTTCATATACTAAATATTGAATTTATTTGGATCTGTTTCTGAATCCTCTATTATATTTAATTGCTCTGTTTCTGTACCAATACTACACTATTTTGACTACAACCTTATAGTAAGTTTTGATACCTGAGGAATTCAGTTTCTTTATTTTTATTCTTGTAACTTGCTTCTAATTGTTACTAATTTACTCATCCAAATGAACTTGAGAATTAGTTTGCCAAGTTTCATTTAAAAAATTCGAGACCAGCCTGGCCAACATGGAGCAACTCCATCTCTACTAAAAATATGAAAATTAGTCGGGCGTGGTGGCACGTGCCTTTAATCCCAGCTGCTCTGGGGGCTGAAGCAGGAGAATCAGTTAAACCCAGGAGGTGGAGGTTGCAGTGAGCCAAGATCTCGCCTCTGCACTCCAATCACTTAAACCCAGGAGGCGGAGGTTGCAGTGAGCCAAGGTCGCACCACTGCACTCCAGCCTGGGCTACAAGAATGAAACTCCCTCAAATAAATAAATAAATAAATAGGAGCTTTTGAATTTGAGGTGACTTAGCTTTACAAATTGAACCCTGCCATTTATAATCATGGCATGTTTTCCTCTTTATCTGGGTTTTTTTTCTGTTTTTGTTTTGTTTTGTTTTTGGGTTTTTTTTGAGACAGAGTCTCTCTCTGTCACCCAAACTGGAGGGCAGTGGCCTGATCACAGCTCATTGCAACTTCCGCCTCCTGGGTTCAGGAGTTCCTCCCATCTCAGCCTCCCTAGTAGCTGGGACTACAGGTGTGCACCACCACATATCTGGGTCTTTTAAAATACTTTCTAGAAAGTTTTATAGTTTATCTCTTGCATATTTTTGGGTAAGATTGTTCCATTGATAGTTTCATTGTTAATATAAATGTGGTCTCTTTATTTCTTATTGGTTACTATTAGTATCTATTAGTAATTTGTATATTGATATTACACATCTCCTTCTTACTGAAATCTCTTATTAGTTCTAATACTTTGTTGATAAATTCTTTGTATCTTTTTTATTATACTTTAAGTTCTAGGGTACATGTGCAGAATGTGCAGGTTTGTTACATAGGTATACACATGCCATGGTGGTTTGCTGTACCCATCAACCCATCACCTACATTAGGTATTTCTCCTAATGCTATCCCTCCATTAGCCCCCAACCCCTGACAGGCCCCCGTGTGTGACGTTCCTCTCCCTGTGTCCATGTATCCTCATTATTCAACTCCCACTTATGAGTGAGAACATGGGGTGTTTGGTTTTCTGTTCCTGTGTTAGTTTGCTCAGAAAAATGGTTTCCAGCTTCATCCATGTCCCTGCAAAGGACATGAACTCATCCTTTTTTATGGCTGCATAGTATTCCATGGTGTATATGTGCCACATTTTCTTCATCCATTCTATCATTGATGGGCATTTGGATTGGTTCCAAGGCTTTGCTATTGTGAACAGTGCTGCAATAAACATACATGTCCATGTGTCTTTATAGTGGAATGATTTATAATCCTTTGGGTAAATACCCAGTAATGGGATTGCTGGGTTAAATGGTATTTCTGGTTCTAGATCCTTGAGGAATCACCACACTGTCTTCCACAAGGTTGAAGTAATTTACACTCCCACCAACAGTGTAAAAGCATTCCTATTTCTCCACATCCTCTCCAGCATCTGTTGTTTCCTGACTTTTAATGATTGCCACTTGAACTGCCGTGAGATGGTAACTCATTGTGGTTTTGGTTTGCATTTCTCTAATGAGCAGTGATGATGAGCTTTTTTTCATATGTTTGTTGGCTGCATAAATATCTTCTTTTAAGAAGTGTCTGTTCATATTCTTTGCCCACTTTTTGGTGGGGTTGTTTGTTTTTTTCTTGTAAATTTGTTTAAGTTCTTTGTAGGTTCTGGATATTAGCCCTTTGTCAGATGGATAGATTGCAAAAATTTTCTCCCATTCTGAAGCTTGCCTGTTCACTCTCATGATAGTTTCTTTTGCTGTGCCGAAGCTCTTTAGTTTAATTAGATCCCATTTGTCAATTTTGGCTTTTGTTGCCATTGCTTTTGGTGTTTTAGTCATGAAGTTTCTGCCCATGCCTATCTCCTGAATTGTGTTGCCTAGGTTTTCTTCTAGGGTTTTTATGGTTTTAGGTCTTATGTTTCAGTCTTTAATCCATCTTGAGTTAATTTTCATGTAAGGTGTAAGGAAGGGGTCCAGTTTGTTTTCTGCATATGGCTAGCCAGTTTTCCCAACACCATTTATTCAATAGGGAGGCCTTTCCCTATTGCTTGTTTATGTCAGGTTTGTCAAAGATCAGATCGTTGTAGATGTGTGGTGTTATTTCTGAGGCCTGTATTCTGTTCCATTGGTCTATATCTCTGTTTTGGTACCAGTACCATGCTGTTTTGGTTACTGCAGCTTTGTAGTGTAGTTTGAAGTCAGGTAGCATGATGCCTCCAGCTTTGTTCTTTTTGCTTAGGATTGTCTTGGCTATGTGGGCTCTTTGTTGGTTCTATATGAAATTTAAAGTAGATTTTTCTAATTCTGTGAAGAAAGGCAATGGTAGCTTGATGGAGATAGCATTGAATCTATAAATTACTTTGGGCAGTATGGCCATTTTCACGATGTTGATTCTTCCTATCCATGAGCATGGCATGTTTTTCCATTTGTTTGTGTCCTTTCTTATGTCCTTGAGCAGTGGTTTGTAGTTCTCCTTGAAGAGATTCTTCACATCCCTTGTAAGTTGTATTCCTAGCTATTTTATTCTCTTCGTGGCAATTGTGAATGGGAGTTCACCAGGATTTGGCTCTCTGTTTGTCTATTATTGGTGTATTGGAATGCTTGTGATTTTTGCACATTGATTTTGTATCCTGAGGCTTTGCTGTAGTTGCTTATCAGCTTGAGGAGATTTTGGGCTCACACAATGGGGTTTTCTAAATATACGATCATGTCATCTGCAAACAGAGACAATTTGACTTCCTCGCTTCCTATTTGAATACCTTTATTTATTTCTCTTACCTGATTGCCCTGGCCAGAACTTCCAATACTATGTTGAGTAGAAGTGGTAAGAGAGGGCATCCTTGTCTTGTGCAGGTTTTCAATGGGAATGCTTCCAGTTTTTGCCCATTTAGTGTGATATTGGCTGTGTGTTTGTCATAAATAGCTCTTATTATTTTGAGATATGTTCTATCAATACCTAATTCATTGAGAGTTTTTGCATGAAGGGGTGTTGAATTTTTTTGAAGGCCTTTTCTGCATCTATTGAGGTAATCATGTGGTTTTTGTCATTGGTTGTGTTTATGTGATCGATTACGTTTATTAATTTGCGTATGTTGAACAAGCTGCGCATCCCAGGGATGAAACCAACTTGATTGTGGTAGATAAGCTTTTTGATGTGCTGCTGGATTCGGTTTGCCTGTATTTTATTAAGGATTTTTGCATCAATGTTCATCAGGTATATTGGCCTGAAATTTTCTTTTTTAGTTTTGTCTCTGCTAGGTTTTGGTATCAGGATGATGCTAGCCTCGTAAAATGAGTTAGGGACGAGTCCCTTTTTTTTCCAATGTTTGGAATAGTTTCAGAAGGAATGGTACCAGCTCCTCCTTGTACCTCTGGTAGAATTTGGCTGTGAATCCATCCAGTCCTGGAATTTTTTTGGTTGGTAGGCTATTAATTACTGCCTCAATTTCAGAACTTGATATTGGTCTATTCAGGCATTTGACTTCTTCCTGCTTTAAACTTGGGAGGGTGTATGTTTCCAAGAATGTATCCATTTCTTCTAGATTTTCTAGTTTATTTGCATAGAGGTGTTTATAGTATTCTCTGATGGTAGTTTGTATTTCTGTGGGATCAGTGGTGATATCCCCTTTATCATTTTTTATTGTATCTATTTGGTTCTTCTCTCTTTTCTTCTTTATTTGTCTGGCTAGCGGTCTATCTATTTTGTTGATCTATTCAAAAAACCAGCTCCTGGATTCACTGATTTTTTTGAAGGGTTTTTTGCGTCTCTCTCTCCTTCAATTCTGCTCTAATCTTAGTTATTTCTTGTCTTCTGCTAGCTTTTGAATGTGTTGGCTCTTGCTTCTCTAGTTCTTTTAATTGTGATGTTAGGGTGTCGATTTTAGATCTTTCCTGCTTTCTCTTGTGGGCATTTAGTGCTATAAATTTCCTTCTAAACACTGCTTTAGCTGTGTCCCAGAGATTCTAGTATGTTGTGTCTTTGTTCTCATTGGTTTCAAAGAAGTTATTTATTTCCGCCTTAATTTCGTTATTTACCCTGTAGTCATTCAGGAGCAGGTCATTCATTTTCCATGTAGTTGTGCGGTTTTGAGTGACTTTCTTAATCCTGAGTTCTAGTTTGATTGCACTGTGTTCTGAGAGACTGTTTGTTATGATTTCTGTTCTTTTGCTTTTGCTGAGGAGTGTTTTACTTCCAATTACGTGGTGGCTTTTAGAATAAATGCAATATGGTGCTGAGAAGAATGTATATTCTGTTGATTTGGGATGGAGAGTTCTATAGATGTCTATTAGGTCTGCTTGGTCCAGAGCTGAGTTCAAGTCCTGAATATCCCTGCTAATTTTTTGTCTCACTGATCTGTCTAATGTTGACAGTGGGGTGTTAAAGTCTCCCACCATTATTGTGTTGGAGTCTAAGTCTCTTCGTAGGTCTCTAAGAACTTGCTTTATGAATCTGGGTGCTCCTGTATTGGGTGCATATATATTTAGGATAGTTAGCTCTTCTTGTTGCATTGATCCCTTTACCATTATGTAATGCCCTTCATTGTCTCTTTTGATCTTTGTTGGTTTAAAGTCTGTTCTATCAGAGATTAGGATTACAATTCCTGCTGTTTTTTTGCTTTCCATTTGCTTGGTAAATATTCCTCCATCCTTTTATTTTGAGCCTATGTGTGTCTTTGCACATGAGATGGTCTCCTGAATACAGCATGGTAATGGGTCTTGACTCTTTATCCAATTTGCCAGTCTGTGTCTTTTAATTGGGGCATTTATCCCATTTACATTTAAGGTTAATATTGTTACGTGTGAATTTGACCCTGTTGTTATGATGCTAGCTAGTTATTTTGTCCATTAGTTGATGCAGTTACTTCATAGTGTTGATGATCTTTACAATTTGGTATGTTTTTGCAGTGACTGGGAATGGTTTTTCTTTTCCATATTTAGTGCTTCCTTCAGGAGCTCTTGTTAGGCAGGCCTGGTGGTGACAAAATCTCTTAGCATTTGCTTGTCTGTAAAGTATTTCATTTCTCCTTTGCTTATGAAGCTTAATTTGGCTGGATATAAAATTCTGGGTTGAAAATTTTTTTAAGAATGTGGAATATTGGCCCCCACTCTCTTCTGGCTTGTAGGGTTTCTGCTGAGAGATCTGCTTTTAGTCTGATGGCTTCCCTTTGTGGGTAACCCGACCTTTCTCTCTGGCTGCCATAAACATTTTTTCCTTTATTTCAACCTTGGTGAATCTGACGATTATGTGTCTCGGGGTTGCTCTTCTCGAGGAGTATCTTTGTGGTGTTCTCTGTATTTCCTGAATTTGAATGTTGGCCTATCTTGATTTGTTGGGGATGTTCTCCTGGATAATATCCTGAGGAGTGTTTTCCAACTTGTTTCCATTCTCCTTGTCACTTTCAGGTACACCAGTCAGATGTAGGTTTGGTCTTTTCACATAGTCCCATATTTCTTGGAGGCTTTGTTTGTTTCTTTTCATTCTTTTTTCTCTACTCTTGGTTTCACACTTTATTTCATTAAGTTGATCTTCCTAATCTCTGATATCCTTTCTTCCACTTGTGTATGCTTCACAAAGTTCTCATGCTGTGTTTTTCAGCTTCATCAGGTCATTTATGTTCTCCTCTAAACTGATTATTCTAGTTAGCAATCCTCTAACCTTTTATCAAGGTTCTTAGGTTCCTTGCATTGGGTTAAAACATGCTCCTTTAGCTTGGAGCAGTTTGTTATTACCCACCTTCTGAAGGCTACTTCTGTCAATTAATCAAACTCATTATCCATCCAGTTTTGTTCCCTTGCTGGCGAGGAGTTGTGATTCTTTAGAGTAGAAGAGGCATTCTGGTTTTTGGAATTTTCAGCCTTTTTGCGCTGGTTTCTCCCCACCTTCATGGATTTATCTACCTTTGGTCTTTGATGTTGGTGACCTTCGGATGGGGTTTCTGAGTGGACATCCTTTTTGTTGATGTTGATGCTATTCCTTTCTGTTTGTTAGTTTTCCTTCTAACAGTCAGGCCCCTCTTCTGCCGGTCTGCTGGAGCTTGCTGGGGGTCCACTCCAGACCCTGTTTGCCTGGGTATCACCAGCAGGGGCTACAGAACAGCAAAGATTGCTGCTGTTCCTTCCTCTGGAAGCTTCATCCCAGAGGGGCACCCGCCAGATGCCAGCCAGAGCTCTCCTGTATGAGGTGTCTGTCAGCCCCTGCTGGGAGGTGTCTCCCAGTCAGGAGACATGGGGGTCAGGGACCTGCTTGAGGTGGCGGTCTGATCCTTAGCAGAGCTCAAACACTGTGATGGGAGATAAGCTGCTCTCTGCAGAGCCGGCAGGCAGGGATGTTTAAGTCTGCTGAAGCTGCGCCCACAGCCGCCCCTTCCCACAGGTGCTCTGTCCCAAGGAGATGGGGGTTTTATCTATAAGCCCCTGACTGGGGCTGTTTCCACTGTGAGAAGAAAACGGCCTACTCAAGCCTCAGTAATGGTGGACAACCCTCCCACCACCAAGCTTGAGCATCCCAGGTGGACTTCAGACTGCTGTGCTGACAGCGAGAGTTTCAAGCCAGTGGATCTTAGCTTGCTGGGCCCCTGGGGGTAGGATCCACTGAGCTAGACCACTTGGCTACCTCACTTCAGCCCCCTTCCAGGGGAGTGAACAGTTCTTTAGTGCTGGCATTCCAGGCGCCACTGGGGTATGAAGAAAAAAAAGTAACTCCTGCAGCTAGCTCGGTGTCTGCCCAAATGGCCACCCAGTTTTGTTTTTGAAACCCAGGGCCCTGGTGGCATAGGCACCCAAGGGAATCTCCTGGTCTGTGGGTGGTAAAGACTGTGGGAAAAGCATAGTATCTGGGCCAGAGTCCATCATTCCTCATGGCACAGTCTCTCACGGCTTCCCTTGGCTGGTGGAGGGAGTTCCCTGACCCCTTGCGCTTCCCAGGTGAGGCAACATCCCACCCTGCTTTGGCTCACACTCCATGGGCCGCACCCACTGTCAAACCAGTCCCGATGAGATGAGCCGGGTACCTCAGTTGGAAATGCAGAAATCATCTGCCTTCTGTGTTGATCTCTCTGGAAGCTACAGACCAGAGCTGCTCCTATTCAGCCATCTTGCCAGTCTCTAAACATAACATCTGTATCTTTTTTTAGAATATAATCATGGCAGTTTGTTTCCTCTATTCTAATATTCCCTCTCCTTTTATGTATTAACTGTCTGCAGACAGAGAGAGAGAATTATTTTTCTTTGCTTCATTAGTTAGGGTTTCTAGGACACTGTTGAAAAATATTAAGATGATGCATTTTTGTGTTATACCTGACTCAAACAGGAATATCTCTCTAGTGCTTTAAGATTTAATGCAAAGTTTGCTATTGACATCAGATACATACTCTTTATCAAATTAAGCAAGTTTTATTCTCTTCATAGCTTATGAAAATTCAAGAATTGGTGTTGCCTTTTCTGAATCTATCAAAAGTAGTAAATGACCTGTAATATATTAATATATATATATTTTTAGACAGAGTTTCAGTCCTGTTGCCCAGGCTGGAGTGCAATGTCTGGATCTCAGTTCACTGCAACCTCCTCCTCCCAGGTTCAAGTGATTCTCCTGCCTAAGCCCCCTGAATAGCTGGGATTACAGGTGCGCACCACTATGCCCAGCTAATTTAATTGTATTTTTAGTAGAGATGGGATTTCACTATGTTGGCCAGACTGGTCTTGAACTCCTGACCTCAGGCGATCCACCCGCCTCAGCCTCCTAAAGTGCTGGGATTACAGGCATGAGCCACCACACCTGGCCTATATTAATACATTGAATTAAAGTAATAAATGTGCTGATGTTGAACCATTCTTCCATTTCTAATTTTATATTGAATTAAAGTAATAAATGTGCTGATGTTGAACCATTCTTCCATTTCTAAATTCTATTTGATGATGATGTATTGTTTTTCATATACTGCTATATTTAGATTTACTAATATTTAATTTACTAATATTTAATTTAGATTCTTTGTATCTATATTTATGAATGAGACAGGGCTACAATTTTTTCTTTGTTTTTTTCTTTTGTTTTATTTTTGCTTGTTTTTAGTCTAAATATTATGTTAACCTCATAGAAGGGATTTGACAGATTTCTATCTCTTTCTAGTCTCTAAACCAGTTTAAATAACATAAGAAGTTTCTCAAATCTTCAAGGTTTGAGAAAATTTACCCACAAAATCACCTAGACCTGGAACTTTGTGGGGAAGAATATGTTTGACTATCTTAAAAAAAAAAACCTAAGAATATTGATCTATTTTTTTTTTACCTTTTATTGCATATAATTTGACAGTTTTATATTTTCTTAAAAACTCTTCAAGCTGAGCATGGTGGCTCATGCCTGTAATCCCAGCACTTTGGGAGACTGAGGTGGGAGGATTGCTTGATTCCAGGAGTTCAAGACCACTCTAGGCAACAAAGAGAGACCTCATTTCTACAAAAAAATAACAAAAATTAGCAAGGTGTGGTAGCATGCACCTGTGGTCCCAGCTACATGGGAGGCTGAGGCAGGACGATCCCTTGAGCCTAGGAGGTTGAGGCTGCAGTGAGCTGTGATTGTACATACCACTGCCCGTCAGCCTGGGTGACACAGTAAAACCCTGTCTCCAAAAAACAAAAGACAAAAAACAAACAAACAAACAAACAAACAAAACCTTCTATTTCATCTAGTTTCTCAATATATTGTTATAAAGTTGCATATACTATTCTAATATTTTTCACATCTCCTGACTATAGTTATGCCACTATTCTATTATCAGTGCAGATATTGTGCTTTTTTTTAATTAGAATTAGTAGAGGTTTGTTTATTAAATTGCTCTTTTTAAAGAACCAGTTATTTGGTCCCTAGTTTTATTTATATCAAATTTCTGTTTCTATCTTTACTTTCTTCTTTCTAATTTTGTTTTTTTTTTTCCATTTTCTCATATTGAATGCTCTGTTCATCTATAGTCAGATTTTTTCCAATAAATGCATTTTAAAGACTATACATACTACTGAGTAACATTTTCGCCATATCCTACAGCTTTTTTCTTCTTATCCACCTTATGGAAGTATAATTTACATGGCATAAAACTCATTCTAAGTGGAAAATTCAGTTATTTACAGTAATTATTCTAATAAATTTATAGAGTTGTACAACCATCATCATAATCTAATTTTAGACCATTTGCATCATACTAAAAGGAAAACTTCTACCCTTTTGCAGTCACTAGTCATTCCCAAACACTTGATCATTTTTTAAAACACAAGTGTTCAAATTCCACTGCAATGTAAATCAGGATGTGTAAGGATATCGTTCTCACCTGTGTATGTTCTAAAAGATCCTCAGGTGATTCAACTTTGACCCAGGTTTGATAACCACCTTGATACAGGCAGAAAGAATTTAAACTGCTTGGTGAGAGAGGAATTAAGGAGAGCTACCAAGTTAAATAATTCATTGCGACACAGTTTAAGGAATCAGAAATTCTTGAAATTACCTTGGTAACACAGGATCCTTGAGTCCAGGGATTGAAGCAATTCATTTTTATATTTCTCACGAAGCCAAGTACAGTGATTTACATAAAGATGATGCTTCAAATATGTTTTAAATATAGAGTAGACTTTATTATATACAGATGTCAAAACTACACAGATTATTCCCTAAAAGTTATCTTTTGACTTAACATTAAAACTTATTTAGAAAACTGTTCTTCTATAAAGTTTTAAAGTTTATGAAGTCTAACATAACAAAATATCATAAGTACTGTACTTCCTAAACCAACACATTTCCTATTAGAAAAAGCCAAATTAGTTTATCATAATGAACGCTATATTGCAAACCCTGTACAATAATTAACGACAAATTAATTGCTATTAATATAAAAATGCTTTGGATTTAATTCACTTGCAAAAGTATTATCTGTATATTATAAAGTGAGTGACTGCTATTCTTTGTATAATTATTCTTCAGCAGGAAGTGTCTTTTTTAAAAAGTATTTTAATATATTATTACCTCAATAATATTAAAGCAGCACACTGACAATTTAGTTTCAATATTCCTTTTGAATTAAACATTTGACCTCTTTGAATTATCTGAAATTCTCAAATTAGAAATTGATTTGTAGTTTTGCCATTTATAGATTCAGTATAACAACTCTAAAGCTTTTTCATTGTGGTCAAAAACACAAAATTTACCATCTTAACCATTTTGAGTGTATGGTACATTAGTGTTAACTATATGTATGTTGTTATATAACAGATCTCCAGAATTTTTCATCTTGTAAAACTGA
Source organism: Homo sapiens (assembly GCF_000001405.40). NCBI lineage: Eukaryota > Metazoa > Chordata > Mammalia > Primates > Hominidae > Homo > Homo sapiens. The sequence goes on from NC_000002.12 coordinate 62,625,919, forward strand.
AAATCTACATCCTTTGAACAATAACTCCCCTTTTCTCCCTCCCCTGGACCCTAGCAATCACCATTCTACTTTCTGTTTTGTTTTCTTTTTCTTTTTTTTTGAGACAAGGTCTCACTCTGTCACCCAGGCTGGAGTCCAGTGGCACAAACACGACTCACTGCAGCCTCAACCTCCCAGCCTCAAGCAATCCTTATGCCTCAGTTTCCAGAGTAGCCGGGACTACAGGCACATGCCACTATCCCCAGCTAATTTTTAAATTTTTTGTAGAGTCAAGTCTGGCCGGGTTGTCCAGGTTAGTCTTGAACTCCTTAGGCTCAAATAGTCCTCCCACCTCAGCCTCCCAAAGTGCTGGGATTACAGGTATGAGCCACCATGCCTGACCTACTTTGTGTTTTTGAGAATTTGACTATTTTAGATATCTCATATAAGCAGAATCACTCAGTATTTGTCTTTTTGTGATTGATGTAGTTCAGTTAGCATAATGCCCTCAAGGTTCTTCCATGTTATTGCATTTGACAGGATTTCCTGCTTTTTATAGCTGAATAATATTCCATTGTATATATACCACATTTCCTTTATCCATTCATCTATTGATGGACATTTAAGTTGCTTCCACCTTTTAGCTACTGTGAATAATGCTGCAATGAACATCGGTGTGCAAGTATCTCTTTGAGATCCTGGTTTCAATAATTTTAAATATATGTACCCAGAAGTGGGATTGCTAGATCGTATGATAATTCCATTTTTCCACAGAAACACACAGAACTGTTTCCCATAGTGGACACATCATTTTACATTTCCACTAACAATGCCAATTTTTATATAACCTTGTCAACACTTGTTATTTTCTGTGTGTGCATGTGTTTATAGTGGGCATCCTAAAAGATGTGAGGTGATAGTTCATTGTGATTTTGGATTGCATTACCCTAATGATTAGTGACATTAAGCATTTTTTCACATGCTAATTGGCCATTTGTATATCTTCTTTGGAGAAATGACTTTTCAAGTTCTTTGCCATTTTTAAATTGAATTATTTGTTTTGTTGTTGTGTTGTTGAGTTGTAGGAGTTCTTTATGCATTCTGGATATTAACACCTTATCAGATATATGGATTGTGAATATTTTCTCCCATTTTATAGGTTGCCATTTTAACTCTGGTGATTGTTTCCTTTGCTGCACAGAATTTTTGAGTTTGATGTGGTTTCCTTTGTAGATTTTTGCTTTTGTTGTCTGTGCTTTTGGTATCATATTCAAGAAATCACTGCCAAATCCAATGCCATGAAGATTTCTCTATGTATTTTCTTCTAGGAGTTTTATAGTTTTGGGCCTTACATTTAACATTTTAATGCATTTTGAGTTAATGTTTTTATATGATGTAAGACAAAGGTCTAGCTTCCTTCTTTTGCATGTAGATATAGTTTTTTCCAGCACCATTTGTTGAAGGAACTATCCTTTCCCACCTTGGCACCTTTGTCAAAGATTATCTGACCATATATGTCAGTGTTTATTTTTAGGTTTTCTATTCTGTTCCATTGGTCTGTATGTGCCTCCTTGTGCATGTACCAGACTGTTATGGTTACTGTATGTAGAAGATTGGTGAGAGTGGTGGGAGAAGCTATAGGGAAAGGAGCAGGCTTTCTGAAAGGTCAGAAGGCTCCACATAGCTTCGGGGGAGAATAAGCTGAAGGCAGCTGTTCTCTTACCCTGAGGCAGAGGGCAAGGAGTAGGTACAAGAAAGTGTAGGAGAATTTATCGTAAACAGGCTTGTTTACCTATGTTGTCCAGAAACCAAACTTTGATAATCGGCTGTGACCTGTTCCCTAAAAGGGGAACAATAATGTTAATTACCTGCAGATTGTGTTTGCTCCAGGCTTTTGGCATTATGTTTGTACCGAATAAAAGCAAGCAGCTCCAGCTGTTCGAGGCTGCTCTCTTTTTCAGCCACTAGAGCTGGCAGCCCTAACTGCTCTTTCACTGCATACCTATGTCTGAGTACTCCTTTCATCTGTTGCTCGGCCAAGGTCTATGGGGCAGACCTGGCAACTATAGCTTTGTAATATGTTTTGAAATCATGACATGTGAGGCACCCAACTTTGTTTTTCTTATTCAAGATTATTTTGGCTTTTCAAGGTCCTTTGAGGTTCCATATGAATTTTAGGATTTTTCTATTTCTGCCAAAAAATAATGCCATTGGGATTTTAATAGGGATTGCATTTAATCTTGTGAATCTTGTGCGTTGTGGATCTCCCATGTTTGTGTAGTATGAACATTTTAACAATATTGTCTTCCGCTCCATGAACCAAATGTCTTTCCATTTATTTGTGTTTTCTTTAATTACTTTCAGCAATGTTTTGCAGTTTTTAGTGTATAAGTCTTTTGCCTACTTTGTTAAGTTTATTCCTATTTTATTCTTTTTGATGCTATTATAAATGGGATTGTTTTCTTAATCTCCTTTTCAAATTCGTCATTGTTAGTGTATAGAAATGCAACTGGTTTTTATGTATTTATTTTGTTTCCTGTAACTGCTGAATTCAGCTATTGGTTCTAACCGCTTTTTTTTTTGGTGACATCTTCAGGGTTTTTACATACAAGAACATGCCATATGTAACAGATAATTTTACTTCTTCCTTTCCCATTTGGATGCCTTTTATTTCTTTTTCTTGCTTGATTGCTTCAGCAAGGATTTCAGTACTATGTTGAATATAAGTGGTAAGAGTGAGCATCCTTGTCTTATGCCTTAGAGGAAAAACTTTCAGTTTTTCACCATTTACCTCTAAAGTTTTATCGTTTTGATATCTAATGGACATGTATAATCAAAGATTCCCAGTTTATTAGCACCAGTTCCATGAGAGTGAGGACTAGCCAAGATCTTAATCAAGGACATGAGAAAAAATACAAGAGCTGATACACTAGGCAACAGCTCAAATTCAACAAGCTTGTGTTTTACTCCAAGTCAGTCACTAATTTGCAATGTTCCTGTAGGCAAGCTTTTATTCTCCTCCAAGAATCTGTTTTATCTTCTATGAAAAGAAATAATATTGGAAGACAAATTTTACCTCCTAAAGGTACTATGATACTATACAAGCCTAAAATTTGTATGTAAATTACATTATGCTAATTGGTGATAAAAATAACTTTAGCAAAATGTGGGATTACAGCATAATCTTTTTATGGGAAAAGATTATTGAGAGCCTCATTTTTATTCTGAAAAGAAAATTAAACTTTATAAAGATGATAATTTTGGGATTTGCATTTATACTGATCTTTAAAAATCATAATGGCAACTACTAGCTATATATAAATAACATAACTGTATATTTAAGCACAGTGCTTTGAAAAAGTAAGCATGCAAGAAAGTCTGTTGAATATCTGTTAAATAAAAAGATAATTTTTAAATTGTAGGCTTTATTATATTTTCCTTATATATTATATTACCTTTTCTATTACTCATCATCTAAGTATCTAAATCAGGTATGAATGGATGAGGCTCTGGGTATAATCCTTGCTGGGGCACAATTTTTCTTCATCTGTGGACATGTGAAACTAGAAAACAAGTTATCTGCTCCCAGTACAATGGTGGGCACAGAATGACAATGAAAGATATTCCAGTTCAAAAAATAAGAAAATGGCTCTCCCTCTCCCTCTCCCTCTCCCTCTCCCCATGGTCTCCCTCTCCCTCTCCCTCTCCCCACGGTCTCCCTCTCCCTCTCCCCACGGTCTCCCTCTCCCTCTCCCCACGGTCTCCCTCTCCCTCTCCCCACGGTCTCCCTCTCCCTCTCCCCACGGTCTCCCTCTCCCTCTCTTTCCACGGTCTCCCTCTGATGCCGAGCGGAAGCTGGACTGTAGTGCCGCCATCTCTGCTCACTGCAACCTCCCTGCCTGATTCTCCTGCCTCAGCCTGCCGAGTGCCTGCGATTGCAGGTGCGCGCCGCCATGCCTGACTGGTTTTCGTATTTTTTTGGTGGAGACGGGGTTTTGCTGTGTTGGCCGGGCTGGTCTCCAGCTCCTAACCGCGAGTGATCTGCCAACCTCGGCCTCCCGAGGTGCCAGGATTGCAGATGGAGTCTCGTTCACTCAGTGCTCAATGTTGCCCAGGCTGGAGTGCAGTGGCGTGATCTCCGCTCGCTACAACCTCCACCTCCCAGCTGCCTGCCTTGGCCTCCCAAAGTGCCGAGATTGCAGCCTCTGCCCGGCTGCCACCCCGTCTGGGAAGTGAGGAGTGTCTCTGCCTGTCCGCCCATCGTCTGGGATGTGAGGAGCCCCTCTGCCCGGCTGCCCAGTCTGGGAAGTGAGGAGCGCCTCTTCCCGGCCACCATCCCATCTAGGAAGCGAGGAGCGTCTCTGCCTGGCCGCCCATCGTCTGAGCTGTGGGGAGTGCCTCTGCCCCGCCACCCCGTCTGGGATGTGAGGAGCGCCTCTGCCTGGCAGCCACCCCGTCTGGGAAGTGAGGAGCGTCTCCGCCCGGCAGCCGCCCCCTCCTGGAGGTGGGGGGCAGCCCCCACCCGGCCAGGTGCCCCATCCGGGAGGGAGGTGGGGGGCAGCCCCCGCCCGGCCAGCCGCCCCATCCGGGAGGGAGGTGGGGGGCAGCGCCCCCCCGGCCAGCCGCCCCGTCTGGGAGGGAGGTGGGGGCCAGCCCCCGGCCAGCCAGCCGCCCCGTCAGGGAGGGAGGTGGGGGGCAGCCCCCGCCCGGCCAGCCGCCCCGTCCGGGAGGTGGGCGGCACCTCTGCCCGGCCGCCCCTTCTGGGAAGTGAGGAGCCCCTCTGCCCAGCCGCCACCCCATCTGGGAGGTGTACCCAACAGCTCATTGAGAGCAGGCCATGATGACGATGGCGGTTTTGTCGAATAGAGAGGTCGGAAATGTGGGGAAGGGATAGAGAAATCAGATTGTTGCTGTGTCTGTGTGGAAGGAAGTAGACATGGGAGACTCCATTTTGTTCTGTGCTAAGAAAAATTCTTCTGCCTTGGGATGCTGTTGATCTATGACCTTACCCCCAACCTGGTGCTCTCTGAAACATGTGCTGTGTCCACTCAGGGTTAAATGGATTAAGGGCTGTGCAAGATGTGCTTTGTTAAACAGATGCTTGAAGGCAGCATGCTGGTTAAGAGTCATCACCACTCCCTAATCTCAAGTACCCAGGGACACAAACACTGCAGAAGGCCCCAGGGTCCTCTGCCTAGGAAAACCAGAGACCTTTGTTCACTTGTTTATCTGCTGACCTTCCCTCCACTATTGTCTTATGACCCTGCCAAATCCCCCTCTGCGAGAAACACCCAAGAATGATAAAAAAAAAAAAAAAAAAAAAACTCAAATAGCTCTAGCAGGAGCTGTGCCTCCTTGTTTGTGGTAGGAGATTCCAGATGCAGCAATTTGCCTTTCACTTTGAAGTGGTTATCTTGGCATGCCCTCCATCACTGGACCTCTCAAAATGTCATTGAAGCAGCCAGTCCCTGAGTCATCATAGCATTTACTTCCCACGAGCTTACCAAGACTTCTAGTATACGAGCCTCTCATCTGTCCTGTGCAATCAGCACAACGTCACTGATAGAATGGGTCAGTGTCATGTTCTGTTTGATGTCTGCGTGGTCCAGGTTCTCTTTGGACTATATCATGACAGAAGTTGGGAAACTTAATATAGTCCTGAAATAAACTGTAAATGAATAAAAAAAAAAAAAAAAAAGAAAATGAAGAAAAATAAGGGGTTACTGGTCCCAAGCAATTTTGAAATTCAGCTGGAGAAACTCCACTAAGTTTCAAGGTCTGGGAATTATCCTCAATGGTACAGAACATTTCTAAAAAACACTTTAAAAATATTTTTTAATGAAAGGAAGCACATGTTTACAGCTGTATAATCTTATCAGCCTGTTTCCTGCTTGTATAATTTTTGAAATCTGATCACCTGCTTTCTTTCATACTCTATTTCTTTTGGTCCAGGTTGACAGTGTTTCTGCAGATATAAAATTCTCAAGAACCCTGTGGATCTCCCATGTATGTCACAGGAAAGAGCCTCATCCACAGATTTCCTAGATAATCTCATCTCTATCTTTAGCTTTTGCTAAAAGATGTCTGAAAGACAAAGTCTTTAAGCTTCCTAGAAGCTCTCTAGTTTGAGATCTATGACTAATACCCTTAATCTTTTTTTTTTTTTTTTTGAGATGGAGTCTTGCTCTGTTGCCAGGCTGGAGTGCAGTGGCACGATCTCAGATCACTGCAACCTCCACCTCCTGGGTTCAAGCAATTCTCTTGCCTCAGCCTCCTGAGTAGCTGGGACTACAGACATGTGCCACCATGTCTTTAGTAATTTTTCTTTTTAGTAGAGATAGGGTTTTACCATGATGGCCAGGATGGTCTTGATCTCTTACCCTTGGGATCTGCCCACCTTGACCTCCCAAAGTGCTGGGATTACAGGCGTGAGCCACCATGCCTGGCCCTTAATCTTTTAAAATAACATTTTGTGTGATTGAATTCTCTGACCTTTTGATCTTTCTGAGATATTAATAAAAGATACTCTAGCCACACCCTTAGCTTTTTCTCTAGCATACACTTCCCTGACAGTGAATCTCTTAATTTTCATGTCTTTTATAATCTGGATCATCTGAGAATTTCCCAAATCATCAAATCCTGGATTCTATTTGTTTAATTATTCTTTCCTCAATTTATTTCTTTCCTCTTCATTTCACTATAAGCACAGTAAGAAGAAACCAAGTTGTACTTCAAAATACTTTACTTGGAAATCACCTCAGCTAAATGTCCACTTTCATTGTTTCTAAGTTCTGATTGCCACATAACTGCAGGACACAATTTCTTAAAGTCAATCTTTCTACTAACAGTCTGTTCAATGCATTATAGACTTTTTAAAAATCATGATCTTCAGTATTCTTCCAGCTTCCACCAACCAATTCCAAAGTCACTTCCACATATTTAGTTATTTGTTACAGCAGCATCCAATTTCAGCTCCCCCAATCTATACTAGTTTTCTATTTTTGCCCTAATAAAGCACCACAAATTTATTGGCTTAGACAACAAGCATTTGTACTTTTATAGTTCTCTGAGTTAGAAGTTCAACATGGGGTGGCTGGCGGGATGGCCGAATAGGAACAGCTCCGGTCTGCAGCTCCAAGTGAGATTAACGCAGAAGGCAGGTGATATCTGCATTTCCAACGGAGGTACCCGGCTCATCTCACTGGGACTGGTTAGACAGTGGGTGCAGCCAATGGAGGGTGAGCCAAAGCAGGGTGGGGCGTCATCTCACCCAGGAAGCACAAGGGGTTAGGGAACTCCCTCCCCTAGGCAAGGGAAGTCATGAGGGACTGTGCCATAAGGAACGGTGCACTCCAGCCAGATACTACACTTTTCCCATGGTCTTTGCCACCCACAGACCAGGAGATTCCCTTGGGTGCCTACTCCACCAGGGCCCTGGGTTTCAAGCACAAAACTGGGCAGCCATTTGGGCAGACACTGAGCTAGCTGCAGGAGTTTTTTTTCATACCCCAGTGGCACCTGGGATGCCAGCAAGATAGAACCGTTCACTCCCCTGGAAGGGGGCTGAAGCCAGGGAGCCAAGTGGTCTAGCTTAGTGGATCCCCACCCCATGGAGCCCAGCAAGCTAAGATCCACTGGCTTGAAATTCTCGCTGTCAGCACTGCAGTCTGAAGTTGACCAGGGACACTCGCGCTTGATGTAGGGAGGGGTGTCTGCCATTACTGAGGCTTGAATAGGCAGTTTTCTTCTCACAGTGGAAACAAAGCTGCAGGGAAATCCCAGCTGGGCAGAGCCCACTGCCTCTTGGCAAAGCCACTGTAGCCAGACTGCCTCTCTAGATTCCTACTCGCTGGGCAGGGCATCTCCGAAAGAAAGGCAGCAGCCCCAGTCAGGGGCTTATAGATTAAACTCCCTGGGACAGAGCACATTGGGGAAGGGGTGGCTGTGGGCGCAGCTTCAGCAGAATTAAACATTCCTGCCTGCCAGCTCTGAAGAGAGTGGAGGATCTCCCAGCACAGCACTTGAGCTCTGCTAAAGGACAGACTGCCACCTCAAGTGGGTCCCTGAACCCTGTGCCTCCTCACTGGGGGGCACCTCCCAGAGGGGTTGAGAGACACCTCATACAGGAGAGCTCTGGCTAGCATCTGGTGGGTGTCCCTCTGGGACAAACCTTCCAGAGGAAGAACAGGAAGCAATCTTTGCTGTTCTGCAGCCTCCGCTAGTGATACCCAGGAAAACAGGGTCTAGAGTAGCCCTCCAGCAAGCTCCAGCAGACCTGCAGAGGAGGGGCCTGTTAGAAGGAAAACTAACAAACAGAAAGGAATAGCATCAACATCAACAAAAAGAACGTTCACTCAGAAACCCCATCCAAAGGTCACCAACATCAAAGACCAAAGGTAGATAAATCTACGAAGATGGGGAGAAACCAGTGCAAAAAGTCTGAAAATTCCAAAAACCAGAATACCTATTCTCCTCCAAAGGATCACAACTCCTCACCAGCAAAGGGACAAAACTGGACGGATAATGAGTTTGACTAATTGACAGAAGTAGGCTTCAGAAGGTGGGTAATAAATTCCTCCAAGCTGAAGAAGCATGTTCTAACCCAATGCAAGGAAACTACGAACCTGAAAAAAGGTTAGAGGAATTGCTAACTGAATAACCAGTTTAGAGAAGAACATAAATGACCTGATGGAGCTGAAAAACACAGCATGAGAACTTTGTGAAGCATACACAAGTACCAGTAGCCAAATCGATCAAGTGGAAGAAAGGATATTGGAGTTTGAAGATCAACTTAATGAAATAAAGTGTGAAACCAAGAGTAGAGAAAAAAGAATGAAAAGAAACAAACAAAGCCTCCAAGAAATATGGGACTATGTGAAAAGACCAAACCTACGTCTGATTAGTATACTTGAAAGTGACGGGGAGAATAGAGTCAAGTTGGAAAATGCTCTTCAGGATATTATCCAGGAGAACTTCCCCAACGAAGCAAGGCAGACCAACATTCAAATTCAGGAAATACAGAGAACACCACAAAGATACTCCTCAAGAAGAGCAACCCTGAGACACATAATTGTCAGATTCATGAAGGTTGAAATAAAGGAAGAAAAGGTTTAGGGCAGCCAGAGAGAAAGGTCAGGTTACTCACAAAGGGAAGCACATCAGACTAACAGCAGATCTCTCAGCAGAAACCCTACAAGCCAGAAGGGAGTGGGGGCCAATATTCCACATTCTTAAAAAAATTTTCAACCCAGAATTTCATATCCAGCCAAACTAAGCTTCGTAAGCGAAGGAGAAATGAAATCCTTTACAGACAAGCAAATGCTAAGAGATTTTGTCACCACCAGGCCTGCCTTACAAGAGCTCCTGAAGGAAGCACTAAATATGGAAAAGAGAAACCGGTCCCAGCCACTGTAAAAACATGCCAAATTGTAAAGATCATCAACACTATGAAGTAACTGCATCAACTAGTGGGCAAAATAACCAGCTAGCATCGTAACGACAGAGTCAAATTCACACATAAAAATATTAACCTTAAATGTAAATGGGCTAAATGCTGCAATTAAAAGACACAGACTGGCAAATTGGATAAAGAGTCAAGACCCATTACCATGCTGTATTCAGTAGACCCATCTCACATGCAAAGACACACATAGGCTCAAAATAAAGGGACGGAGGAATATTTACCAAGCAAATCGAAAGAAAAAAAAAAGCAGGGATTGCAATCCTAATCTCTGATAGAACAGACTTTAAACCAACAAAGATCAAAAGAGACAAAGAAGGGCATTACATAATGGTAAAGGGATCAATGCAACAAGAAGAGCTAACTATCCTAAATATATATTCATCCAATACGGTGGCATCCAGATTCATAAAGCAAGTTCTTAGAGACCTACAAAGAGTCTTAGACTCTCGCACAATAATGATGGGAGACTTTAACACCTCACTGTCAATATTAGATCAATGAGACAGAAAATTAACAAGGATATTCAGGACTTGAACTCAGCTCTGGACCAAGCAGACCTAATCGACATCTATAGAACTCTCCATCCCAAATCAACAGAATATACATTCTTATCAGCACCACATAACACTTACTCTAAAATTGACCACACAACTGGAAGTAATACACTCCTCAGCAAATGCAAAAGAATGGAAATCATAACAAACAGTCTCTCGGACCACACTGCAATCAAATTAGAATTCAGGATTAAGAAGGTCACTCAAAACTGCACAACTACATGGAAACTGAACAACCTGCTCTTGAATGACTACCGGGTAAATAACAAAATTAAGGCATAAATAAATAAGTTATTTGAACCAATAGGAACAAAGACACAATGTACCAGAATCTCTGGGACACAGCCAAAGCAGTGTTTAGAGAGAAATTTGTAGCACTAAATGCCCACCAGAGAAAGCGGGAAAGATCTAAAATCAACACCCTAACATCACAATTAAAAGAACTAGAGAACCAAGAGCAAACAAATTCGAAAGATAGCAGAAGACAAGAAATAACAAAGATCAGAGCAGAACTGAAGGAGATAGAGACATGAACAACCCTTCAAAAAATCAATGAATCCAGGAGCTGGTTTTTTGAAGAGATCAACAAAATAGATGGACCACTAGCCAGACAAATAAAGAAGAAAAGAGAGAAGAATCAAATAGATACAATAAAAAATGAGAAAGGGGATATCACCACTGATCCCACAGAAATACAAACTACCATCAGAGAATGCTATGAATACCTCTACACAAATAAACCAAAAATCTAGAAGAAATTGATACATTCCTGGACACATACACCCTCCCAAGACTAAACCAGGAAGAAATTGAATGCCTGAATAGACCAATAACAAGTTCTGAAATTGAAGCAATAATTAATAGCCTACCAACCAAAAAAAGCCAAGGACCAGATGGATTCACAGCCAAATTCTACCAGACGTACAAAGAAGAGTTGATACCATTCCTTCTGAAACTATTCCAAACAATAGAAAAAGAGGGACTCCTCCCTAACTCATTTTATGAGGCCAACATCATCCCGATACCAAACCTGGAAGAGACACAACAAAAAAAGAAAATTTCAGGCCAATATCCCTGATGACCATCGATACGAAAATCATCAGTAAAATACTGGCAAACTGAATCCAGCAGCACATCAAAAAGCTTATCCAACAAGATCAAGTTGGCTTCATCCCGGGGATGCACGGCTCATTCAACATGTGCAAATTAATAAACGTAATCCATCACATAAGTAGAACCAATGACAATAACTTCATGATTATCTCAATAGATGCAGAAAAGGCCTTCAATAAAATTCAACACCCTGTTCATGCTAAAAACTCTCAATAAACTAGGTATTGATGGAACATATCTCAAAATAATAAGAACTATTAATGACAAACCCACAGCCAGTATCATATTGAATAGGCAAAAGCTGGAAGCATTCCCTTTGAAAACCTGCACAAGACAAGGATGACCTCTCTCAACACTCCTATTCAACATAGTATTGGAAGTTCTGGCCAAGACAATCAGGCAAGAGAAAGAAATAAAGGTATTCAAATAGGAAGCGAGGAAGTCATATTGTCTCTGTTTGCAGATGACATGATTGTATATTTGGAAGACCCTATCATCGGCTGGGCGTGGTGGCTCATGCCTGTAATTCCAGGACTTTGGGAGGCTGAGGCGGGCAGATCACAAGGTAAGGAATCGAGACCATCCTGGCTCCCTGTCTCTACTAAAAGTACAAAAAAAATTAGCTGGACATGGTGGCGGGCACCTGTAGTCCCAGCTACTCAGGAGGCTGAGGCAGAAGAACGGCGTGAACCTGGGAGGCGGAGCTTGCAGTGAGCCGAGATCGCACCATTGCACTCCAGCCTGGGCGACAGAGTGAGACTCTGTCTCAGAAAAAAACAAACAAACAAACAAACAAACAAAGAAAAAACATCATCTCGGCCCCAAATCTCCTTAAGCTGATAAGCAACTTCAGCAAAGTCTCAGGATACAAAATCAATGTGCAAAAGTCACAAGCATTCCTATACATCAATAATAGACAAACAGTCAAATCATGAGTGAACTCCCATTCACAATTGCTACAAAGAGAATAAAATAGCTAAGAATACAACTTACAAGGGATGTGAAGGACCTCTTCAAGGAGAACAAACCACTGCTCAAGGAAATAAGAGAGGACACAAACATATGAAAAAACATTCCATGCTCATGGATAGGAAGAATCAATATCATGAAAATGACCATACTGCCCAAAGTAACTGATAGATTCAATGCTCTCCCCATCAAACTCAATGACTTTCTTCACAGAATTAGAAAAAAAACTACTTTAAATTTCACATGGAACCAAAAAAGAGCTCATATAGCCAAGACAATCCTAAGCAAAAAGAACAAAGCTGGAGGCATCACACTACCTGACTTCAAACTATACTACAAAGTTGCAGTAACCAAAAGAGTATGGTGCTGGTACCAAAACAGAGATGTAGACCAATGGAACAGAACAGAGACCTTGGAAATAATGCCACACATCTACAACCATCTGATCTTTGACAAACCTGACATAAGCAATTGGGAAAGGATTCCCTAGTTAATAAATGGTGTTGGGAAAAATGGCTAGCCATATGCAGAAAACTGAAACTGGACTCCTTGAGTTAATACAGAAGTTAACTCAAGATGGATTAAAGACTGAAACATAAGACCTAAAACCATAAAAATGCTAGAAGAAAACCTAGGCAGTACCATTCAGGACCTAGTCATAGGCACAGACTTCATGACTAAAACACCAAAAGCAATGGCAACAAAAGCCAAAATTGACAAATGGGATCTAATTAAAGAGCTTCTGCACAGTAAAAGAAACTATCATGAGAGTGAACAGGCAAGCTTCAGAATGGGAGAAAATTTTTGCAATCTATCCATCTGACAAAGGGCTAATATCCAGAATCTACAAGGAACTTAAATTTACAAGAAAAAAAAACCCATCAAAAATGAGCTAAGGATATGAACAGAAACATCTCAAAAGAAGACATTTATGCAGCCAAGGAACATATGAAAAAAAAGCTCATCATCTCTGGTCATTAGAGAAATGCAAATCAATATCACAGTGAGATACCATCTCATGCCACTTAGAATGGCAATCATTAAAAAGTCAGGAAACAGCAGATGCTGGAGAGGAGGTGGAGAAGTAGGAATGTAGGAATGCTTTTACACTGTTGGTAGGAATGTTATTAGTTCAACCATTGTGGAAGACAGTGTGGTGATTCCTCAAGGATCTAGAACCAGAAATACCATTTAACCCAGCAATCCCATTACTGGGTACATACCCAAAGGATTATAAATCATTCTATTATAAAGACACATGGACATGTATGTTTATTGCAGCACTTTTCACAATAACAAAGACTTGGAACCAACCCAAATGCCCATCAGTGATAGACTGGATAAAGGAAATGTGGCACGTGTACACCATGGAATACTATGCAGCCATAAAAAAGGATGAGTTCATGTCCTTTGCAGGGACATGGATGAAGCTGGAAACCATCATTCTCAGCAAACTAACACAGGAACAGAAAACCAAACACTGCATGTTCTCACTCATAAGTGGGAGTTGAACAATGAGAACACATGGGCACAGGGAGGAGCACATCACACACCAGGCCCTGTCGGGGGTGGGGGCTAGTGGAGGCATAGCATTAGAAGAAATACCTAATGTAGATGACAGGTTGATGGGTGCTGCTAACCACCATGGCACGTGTATACCTATGTAACAAACCTGCATGTTCTGCACATGTATCCCAGAACTTAAAGTATAATAATTAAAAAAAAGTAATGCTTTTTATGGCAAAAACCACACAAAAAAAGAAGTTCAACATGGGTCTCACTGAGTTAAAATCAAAGCATCTGCAAGGATGTGTTCCTTTCTGGAGGCTCTAGGGGGGAATCCATTTTGTGCTCACCCAGGTTGTTGGTAGAATCCAGTTCCTTGCATTTGTATGACTAGGGTCTCCATTTTCTTGTTAGCTGTAAATTGAGGGTTTTTCCAAGCTTCTAGAGGCTGGTGCATTTCTTGGCTCATGGCCCTCTTGCTGTATCTTCAGAGCTTGCAATGGCAGATTTTCAGGTCACATTCCTCTGATTCTCTGATTTCTTATATGTAAAGATGCCATAGTCACTCATTTCCAATATTCAATGATCTCATCATTTTTCTTTCTTTTTAATCCATGGGGAAATTTGAAGCCTGTTTTTAAATTTTTCAAATGGTTGGACTTGGGAGCATGTGTGTGTATGTGTGCGTGTGTGTGTTTTAATTGCAATATGGTCAGAGAATGTATCACATGGTTTCAACTTTGAGAATTTTATTGAGATTGTCTTTGTAGCTTAATATATGATCAGTTTTTATAAAAGTTCCATAGATATTTGAAAAAACTATATACTTTCTGTTTATTGGCTATAAAGTTTTATATATATATGAGATTTAGTTTTTGAACTGTATTCAAATTCTCTATGTCTTCATTTATTTTCATTGGTTTAATCTGTCCATTTTTGAGAAAGCTGTAGTAAAGTGTGCCTTCTATTTTAATTGTGAATTATGCTACACTTTTCTGAGAAAGAAGAAACACTATATAGACCTAAACTGTGTTCTATTTAACCAATGTTTCTGAGTTGACATATAACTAGTGAAATCTGGAGAAATTTATTTACATAGGATCACAGAAGCATCCTATGAGGTTTCTGCCATTTTCTCTTTTGGCATGGAATGCAATCAGTTGCATCGACCCACTGACACCCAAGAACTAAGTTTGTTCTTCTTTATTTCTCATCAGTTTTCCTAATCATGGGGTACTTGTTGCTTCCAGAGGTCTACAGCCTAGAAATTTGGAAAGAATAATGGCAATTCAGGAAACTGGTTAATCATTCTGAGAGTAATGTGGGATTCTATCGCCAATTTAGTCCCCACATCCCAAGTGAGGAAAGGTTAGAGACAGAAAAGCTTCCAGGGGTTATGTCTCTATTGTGCTTGCAAACTTTAATATGGAATAGACTTTCTATTGACTTGTGTCTTGAGTTTGGACAGTAGTTCAGTACTGACCTGATGAATTAATTTTCTATATTTGTTGGCTGATTTTTGTTTTAACTTTAAATCTTTTAGCTTAGTCTAGTGACCACCACCACAAAGAACTATGGAATATAATTTTCTTAATGTAAATTAATATCTCAAGTGCCACCTTTAAAAAACTAAATTTAAAAAAATCACATAATCCTTTTCCTAAATGTTGAGCACTCTACCTTCCTATGTCAAGACATATTCTGAAGACCTAATGAGGGTACACCCACAAAGAATAGCTCCCTTTTTCTTTTAAAGAAAAAACATCCTATAAAATTTGTGGGTTTCCATTATAAAAGTATTTTTTCTTAACTTAATCTTAAGGACCTTAAGTGTCCTATACTTAAATATGCTTAGTTTGGAGAGTTAAGAAAATGTAAAACCTATTTTAAGAACCACACTTTGCTAACTGACTTTTTAGGGAAACAAATTCAGCAGGGTTTTATGTGATAATAGGCCAGTGAAGATTTACTGTCTTCGCTGTTTCAAGGACCAAACCTCTTGGTTTTCTGTGCCTTACTAAGCTAGTTACTGTGCTGAACTTTGAACTAAAATAAAAACCATCAGCAGCACAAAAGGAAAGCTGCTGCAATATCCTCTTATCAGAAAAAAGAGACAAGGCATAAAATCTTCAGCCTTAGGAACAAATAGTAAATCATTTATGCAAGAGAGATTTGGGAGAGGAAATGTGGCATCAGGACAAATAAATAAAATACTGACAGTGCAGTATTCAAATGAATTTAGCTGGCATTTAACCAAAGAGTGAAAATAGCCTGCTTTTAGCTTCAGGCTGTTTGAAGAGCACAAACTTCTTAGTCTGCATACACTGACCTGCAGACAGAATTTTTCTGTCAATTCACATTTCACAGGCTTTCCCGAGAAAAGCAATGTCAAATTTTAGATGCTTCAAGATTGTGGTTCAAGATTGTGGTGATACACATTTCTTCACAGGAAGATATAAAAAAGGTTGCAGTAAAAGTTCAATGTAAACAGTGAGATTTATCTGTCCATGTCCTTTCTTGTCAGCTGCTCATTAGTAGTCGAGCTGTAAAATATCTTGTCTTTCTTTTCCTTTTCTGAACTAGAACTCTGGAGACCCCACAAAAGCTCAAGTGCAAACCTTCAACTTTCCCTGACTAATTAATAAGCCTGAAAAGTGCCCCTGACCTTTCTAGCTGGAAGTGGTCTTTCTCTCCCGCTTTTGAATTTTTGTCCAATTAGTACCCATGCATTTACCCACGTAATCATGTGCTGGCTTGTGATTTTTCTTCTACCGTTTTTGAAAACAATTCTTTACTTCTGTTATGAACTTTTAATATCTATATTTAATCATTCATACTCATTTGTAAATTTCTTGAAGTCACAGTCCATGTATTATTTGATCAAGATGGGAAGGAAGGGGATTGAAAACATGTTTTACCTCTACCTGCATTAGGGCTCTCAGCTACTGCAAATCCATGATGCCAAAGAAATACATTCTTTTTAAAATGACAATGTATAGCCAGGCTGTATGGGACAGCATGGTCATTATCATGATTACTACTATCTTGGAGATAACCACCAGTGGTCTAGCAGTCATGTCCTGTCAAATACACCTTGTTCGGGAAGCTAAGGGACAGTAAATAAAAAAGGATAAGGGAAAGGTCAGTAAGGTAGAGTACAGGGGCTCAAAGCCTCAAGCAGAGTCCAGGGGATGGGAAGCAGGGCCAGAGAATAGCTAGTCAAGTGAACAAATAGGAAGTGAGCCTAGGGAACATCAAAGATAAGAATGAGGACAGGGTCTGTTCCCTGCACAGTGATGTGTAACTGGATCAACTTAGATGAAAGAACTAGGGACAAAGCAGACATATCCAACCAACAAAAGCAAGTTCAAGGCTTCAAAAAAAAAAACTGTTTCTTCCTATCTACAGAACTTCTATGCTTTAGTTGAGAATAAAATCTGTTCCAGAACATATGACTCTCTCAGTTCAGGTACCATTCAGGCTACTAAGAAAGGTCCCTTTTGCTCTTTCTATTCTTTCTGTACTTTCTGCCATCCTTGTACTTCCTCGTGTCCCTGGAATGGTCCAAACTTGTTCCCATCAACTTCATCTTTCACACCATGTCATTTATTTATATGCTCAGCCTTATTTGAATGCTTCTTCCTGTCTCCTCCACATTCAGGCTGCCAAAACGAATTCCCTACTGCAGAGAACTATATTCTCGGGCACTGGTGTGTTGCACTGTAAGGCTCCCAGCTTTTGGTTGCCTTAGCCTGTGTTTGCAATATCAGCGCCTAGAGTGGCTATAAAGCCCTATTCACAGAAGATGCCTTGTCAGACTCCTACACTGACTTCTTTTATTCCAATCCTTTGGGCTATGTTAAAGAGCTTTATCTGTTTCTCCCACTTTCCCTAGCGTTAGCCATGTGCCCATTTCTCCTGGCTATTTGTTTAAGTAGAGTGTACCTGTTTGGTCTGTCTGAACAGGAGTTACGAAGTCCTGTTGATGGTGGCTTACAGGGTTACTTGGGACCTGTACAGACTTACTATTTCTCAAATTATTTATACAGTTTATTTGTCTACATTCTCTTACCTCTGTATCTCTAAAATCCATCTTAATGCAATAAAGCCCTTAGTCCCAAACCAATTTTTTCTAATATATGTTTCCCCTAAAGCCCCAATACCTTCATTCCTTTATTCTGATTTATTGCTGCTGCCTAACCACAGCTACAAGGCAAATATTATAATAATAATAATAATAATTTAAAACCCTAGTAACAAACACATCGGGATTAACATACTAGGTCTACATTAAACCACCCAACAATGAACTAACTCATCTTTAATTTATTAGCTTGATTCTGATATAAATTCTGAATGAAAAGTAAAAGGTTGTGTAGATTAATAATATTAAAGTTGCAAAACAAACCCCTGAAAAATAGGAAACATTAAACAAAGAGAGCTGTGCCATCTTTAATTCATTGCCCTGTTTCTAGGTAATTCCTTGCATGCAGGAGGCAGACTCATGATTGTGTTTTAAAAAAGAACATGCAGTACCAAAACCATCCGTGAAAGGTATAAATCATCACAGCATACTACTCCAAACTTTAGGGCCTAACTCACATGTATTCTGTGTGATATTGGCCTAAAAAACATATCATTGTGACCTTTAATTAAGTATCACCTGCTTCTATAAGTTCTACACAGATAGGTCTATCATTCTAGAGACAAAAATTATAAGTCCTGAGACTTTGCTGAAGTTGCTTATCAGCTTAAGGAGATTTTGGGCTCAGACGATGGGGTTTTCTAGATATACAATCATGTCATCTGCAAACAGGGACAATTTGACTTCCTCTTTTCCTAATTGAATGCCCTTTATTTCCTTCTCCTGCCTGATTGCCCTGGCCAGAAATTCCAACACTATGTTGAATAGGAGTGGTGAGACAGGGCATCCCTGTCTTGTGCCAGTTTTCAAAGGGAATGCATCCAGTTTTTGTCAATTCAGTATGATATTGGTTGTGGGTTTGTCATAGATAGCTCTTATTATTTTGAGATACTTCCCATCAATACCTAATTTATTGAGAGTTTTTAGCATGAAGGGTTGTTGAATTTTGTCAAAGGCCTTTTCTGCATCTATTGAGATAATCATGTGGTTTTTGTCTTTTGCTCTGTTTATATGCTGGATTATGTTTATTGATTTTCCTATGTTGAACCAGCCTTGCATCCCAGGGATGAAGCCCACTTGATCATGGTGGATAAGCTTTTTGATGTGTTGCTGGATTCAGTTTGCCAGTATTTTACTGAGGATTTTTGCATCAATGTTCATCAAGGATATTGGTCTAAAATTCTCTTTTTTTTGTTGTGTCTCTGCCAGGCTTTGGTATCAGGATGATGCTGGCCTCATAAAATGAGTTAGGGAGGATTCCCTCTTTTTCTGTTGATTGGAATAGTTTCAGAAGGAATGGTACCAGCTCCTCCTTGTACCTCTGGTAGAATTCGGCTGTGAATCCATCTGGTCCTGGACTTCTTTTGGTTGGTAAGCTATTAATTATTGCCTCAATTTCAGAGCCTGTTATTGGTCTATTCAGAGATTCAACTTCTTCCTGGTTTAGTCTCGGAAGGGTGTATGTGTCCAGGAATTTATGCATTTCTTCTAGATTTTCTAGTTTATTTGCGTAGACGTGTTTATAGTATTCTCTGATGGTAGTTTGTATCTGTGGGAATCGGTGGTGATATCCCCTTTATCATTTGTTATTGCATCTATTTGATTCTTCTGTCTTTTCTTCTTTATTAGTCTTGCTAGCAGTCTATCAATTTTGTTGATCTTTTCAAAAAACCAGCTCCTGGATTCATTAATTTTTTGGAGGGTTTTCTCTGTCTCTATTTCCTTCAGTTATTCTCTGATCTTAGTTATTTCTTGCCTTCTGCTAGCTTTTGAATGTGTTTGCTCTTGCTTCTCTAGTTCTTTTAATTGTGATGTTAGGGTGTCAATTTTCGATCTTTCCTGCTTTCTCTTGTGGGCATTCAGTGCTATAAATTTCCCTCTACACACTGCTTTGAATGTGTCCCAGAGATTCTGGTATGTTGTGTGTTTGGTCTCATTGGTTTCAAAGAACACCTTTATTTCTGCCTTCATTTCGTTACGTACCCAGTAGTCATTCAGGAGCAGGTTGTTCAGTTTCCAGGTAGTTGAGCGGTTTTGAGTGAGTTTCTTTTTCTTTTTTCTTTTTTTTTAATTATTATTATTATACTTTAAGTTTTAGGGTACATGTGCACAATGTGCAGGTTAGCTACATATGTATACATGTGCCGTGCTGGTGCGCTGCACCCACTAACTCGTCATCTAGCATTAGGTATATCTCCCAATGCTATCCCTCCCCCATTCCCCCATCCCACAACAGTCCCCAGAGTATGATGTTCCCCTCCCTGTGTCCATGTGTTCTCATTGTTCAGTTCCCACCTATGAGTGAGAATATGCGGTGTTTGGTTTTTTGTTTTTATGATAGTGTACTGAGAATGATGATTTCCAATTTCATCCATGTCCCTACAAAGGACGTAAACTCATCATTTTTTATGGCTGCATAGTATTCCATGGTGTATATGTGCCACATTTTCTTAATCCAGTCTATCATTGTTGGACATTTGGCTTGGTTCCAAGTCTTTGCTATTGTGAATAATGCCACAATAAACATACGTGTGCATGTGTCTTTATAGCAGCATGATTTATAATCCTTTGGGTATATACCCAGTAATGGGATGGCTGGGTCAAATGGTATTTCTAGTTCTAGATCCCTGAGGAATGGCCACACTGACTTCCACAATGGTTGAACTAGTTTACAGTCCCACCAATGGTGTAAAAGTGTTCCTATTTCTCTACATCCTCTCCAGCACCTGTTGTTTCCTGACTTTTTAATGATCGCCATTCTAACTGGTGTGAGATGGTAGCTCATTGTGGTTTTGATTTGCATTTCTCTGATGGCCAGTGATGGTGAGCATTTTTTCATGTGTTTTTTGGCTGCATAAATGTCTTCTTTTGAGAAGTGTCTGTTCGTGTCCTTCGCCCACTTTTTCATGGGATTGTTTGTTTTTTTCTTGTAAATTTGTTTGAGTTGATTGTAGATTCTGGATATTAGCCCTTTGTCAGATGAGTAGGTTGCAAAAATTTTCTCCCATTCTGTAGGTTGCCTATTCACTCTCATGGTGGTTTCTTTTGCTGTGCAGAAGCTCTTTAATTTAATTAGACCCCATTTGTCAATTTTGGCTTTTGTTGCCATTGCTTTCAGTGTTTTAGACATGAAGTCCTTGTCCATGCCTATGTCCTGAATGGTAATGCCTAGGTTTTCTTCTAGGGTTTTTATGGTTTTAGGTCAAACGTTTAAGTCTTTAATCCATATTGAATTGATTTTTGTATAAAGTGTAAGGAAGGGATCCAGTTTCAGCTTTCTACATATGGCTAGCCAGTTTTCCAAGCACCATTTATTAAATAGGGAATCGTTTCCCCATTGCTTGTTTTTCTCAGGTTTGTCAAAGATCAGATAGTTGTAAATATGCGGCGTTATTTCTGAGGGCTCTGTTCTGTTCCATTGATCTATATCTCTGTTTTGGTACCAGTACCATGCTGTTTTGGTTACTGTAGCCTTGTAGTATAGTTTGAAGTCAGGTAGTGTGATGCCTCCAGCTTTGTTCTTTTGGCTTAGGATTGACTTGGCGATGCGGGCTCTTTTTTGGTTCCATATGAACTTTAAAGTAGTTTTTTCCAATTCTGTGAAGAAAGTCATTGGTAGCTTGATGGGGATGGCATTGAATCTGTAAATTACCTTGGGCAGTATGGCCATTTTCATGATACTGATTCTTCCTACCCATGAGCATGGAATGTTCTTCCGTTTGTTTGTATCCTCTTTTATTTCCTTGAGCAGTGGTTTGTAGTTCTCCTTGAAGAGGTCCTTCACATCCCTTGTAAGTTGGATTCCTAGGTATTTTATTCTCTTTGAAGCAATTGTGAACGGGAGTTCACTCATGATTTGGCTCTCTGTTTGTCTGTTGTTGGTGTATAAGAATGCTTGTGATTTTTGTACATTGATTTTGCATCCTGAGACTTTGCTGAAGTTGCTTATCAGCTTAAGGAGATTTTGGGCTGAGACAATGGGGTTTTCTAGATATACAATCATGTCGTCTGCAAACAGGGACAATTTGACTTCCTCTTTTCCTAATTGAATACCGTTTATTTCCTTCTCCTGCCTAATTGCCCTGGCCAGAACTTCCAACACTATGTTGAATAGGAGTGGTGAGAGAGGGCATCCCTGTCTTGTGCCAGTTTTCAAAGGGAATGCTTCCAGTTTTTGCCCATTCAGTATGATATTGGCTGTGGGTTTGTCATAGATAGCTCTTATTATTTTGAAATACGTCCCATCAATACCTAATTTATTGAGAGTTTTTAGCATGAAGCGTTGTTGAATTTTGTCAAAGGCCTTTTCTGCATCTATTGAGATAATCATGTGGTTTTTGTCTTTGGTTCTGTTTATATGCTGGATTACATTTATTGATTTGCATATATTGAACCAGCCTTGCATCCCAGGGATGAAGTCCACTTGATCATGGTGGACAAGCTTTTTGATGTGTTGCTGGATTCAGTTTGCCAGTATTTTATTGAGGATTTTTGCATCAATGTTCATCAAGGATATTGGTCTAAAATTCTCTTTTTTGGTTGTGTTTCTGCCAGGCTTTGGTATCAGGATGATGCTGGCCTCATAAAATGAGTTAGGGAGGATTCCCGCTTTTTCTATTGATTGGAATAGTTTCAGAAGGAATGGTACCAGTTCCTCCTTGTACCTGTGGTAGAATTTGGCTGTGAATCCATCTGGTCCTGGATTCTTTTTGGTTGGTAAGCTATTGATTATTGCCACAATTTCAGATCCTGTTATTGGTCTATTCAGAGATTCAACTTCTTCCTAGTTTAGTCTTGGGAGAGTGTATGTGTCGAGGAATTTATGCATTTCTTCTAGATTTTCTAGTTTATTTGCGTAGAGGTGTTTGTAGTATTCTCTGATGGTAGTTTGTATTTCTGTGGGAATCAGTGGTGATATCCCCTTTATCATTTTTTATTGCATCTATTTGATTCTTCTCTCTTTTTTTCTTTAGTAGTCTTGCTAGCGGTCTATCAATTTTGTTGATCTTTTCAAAAAACCAGCTCCTGGATTCATTAATTTTTTGGAGGGTTTTTTGTGTCTCTGTTTCCTTCAGTTCTGCTCTGATTTTAGTTATTTCTTGCCTTCTGTTAGCTTTTGCATGTGTTTGCTCTTGCTTCTCTAGTTCTTTTAATTGTCATGTTAGGGTGTCAACTTTAGATCTTTCCTGCTTTCTCTTGTGGGCATTTAGTGCTATAAATTTCCCTCTACACACTGCTTTGAATGTGTCCCAGAGATTCTGGTATGTTGTGTCTTTGTTCTCGTTGGTTTCAAAGAACATCTTTATTTCTGCCTTCATTTCGTTATGTATCCAGTAGTCATTCAGGAGCAGGTTGTTCAGTTTCCATGTAGTTGAGCGGTTTTGAGTGAGATTCTTAATCCTGAGTTCTAGTTTGATTGCACTGTGGTCTGAGAGATAGTTTGTTATAATTTCTGTAAAACATTTGCTGAGGATAGCTTTACTTCCAAGTATGTGGTCAATTTTGGAATAGGTGTGGTGTGGTGCTGAAAAAAATGTATATTCTGTTGATTTGGGGTGGAGAGTTCTATAGATGTCTATTAGGTCCGCTTGGTGCAGAGCTGAGTTCAATTCCTGGGTATCCTTGTTGACTTTCTGTCTCATTGATCTGTCTAATGTTGACAGTGGCGTGTTAAAGTCTCCCATTATTATTGTGTGGGAGTCTAAGTCTCTTTGTAGGTCACTCAGGACTTGCTTTATGAATCTGGGTGCTCCTGTATTGGGTGCATATATATTTAGGATAGTTAGCTCTTCTTGTTGAATTGATCCCTTTACCATTATGTAATGGCCTTCTTTGTCTCTTCTGATCTTTGTTGGTTTAAAGTCTGTTTTATCAGAGACTGGGATTGCAACCCCTGCCTTTTTTTGTTTTCCATTTGCTTGGTAGATCTTCCTCCATCCTTTTATTTTGAGCCTATGTGTGTCTCTGCATGTGAGATGGGTTTCCTGAATACAGCACACTGATGGGTCTTGACTCTTTATCCAATTTGCCAGTCTGTGTCTTTTAATTGGAGCATTTAGTCCATTTACATTTAAAGTTAATATTGTTATGTGTGAATTTGATCCTGTCATTATGATGTTAGCTGGTGATTTTGCTCGTTAGTTGATGCAGTTTCTTCCTAGTCTCGATGGTCTGTACATTTTGGCATGATTTTGCAGCGGCTGATATCGGTTGTTCCTTTCCATGTTTAGCGCTTCTTTCAGGAGCTCTTTTAGGGCAGGCCTGGTGGTGACAAAATCTCTCAGCATTTGCTTGTCTGTAAAGTATTTTATTTCTCCTTCACTTATGAAGCTTAGTTTGGCTGGATATGAAATTCTGGGTTGAAAATTCTTTTCTTTAAGAATGTTGAATATTGGCCCCCACTCTCTTCTGGCTTGTAGAGTTTCTGCTGAGAGATCCACTGTTAGTCTGATGGGCTTCCCTTTTTGGGTAACCCAACCTTTCTCTCTGGCTGCCCTTAACATTTTTTCCTTCATTTCAACTTTGGTGAATCTGGCAATTATGTGTCTTGCAGTTGCTCTTCTCAAGGAGTATCTTTGTGGCGTTCTCTGTATTTCCTGAATCCGAATGTTGGCCTGCCTTGCTAGATTGGGGAAGTTCTCCTGGATAATATCCTGCAGAGTGTTTTCCAACTTGGTTCCATTCTCCCCATCACTTTCAGGTACACCAATCAGACATACATTTGGTCTTTTCACATAGTCCTATATTTCTTGGAGGCTTTGCTCGTTTCTTTTTATTCTTTTTTCTCTAAGCTTCCCTTCTCACTTCATTTCATTCACTTCATCTTCCATCACTGATACCCTTTCTTCCAGTTGATCGCATCGGCTCCTGAGGCTTCTGCATTCTTCACGTAGTTCTCGAACCTTGGTTTTCAGCTCCATCAGCTCCTTTAAGCACTTCTCTGTATTGGTTATTCTAGTTATACATTCTTCTAAACTTTTTTCAAAGTTTTCAACTTCTCTGCCTTTCGTTTGAATTTCCTCCCATAGCTCGGAGTAATTTGATCGTCTGAAGCCTTCTTCTCTCAGCTTGTCAAAGTCATTCTCCGTCCAGCTTTGTTCCATTGCTGGTGAGGAACTGCGTTTCTTTGGAGGAGGAGAGGTGCTCTGCTCTTTAAAGTTTCCAGTTTTTCTGCTCTGTTTTTTCCCCATCTTTGTGGTTCTATCTACTTTTGGTCTTTGATGATGGTGATGTACAGTTGGGTTTTTGGTGTGGATGTCCTTTCTGTTTGTTAGTTTTCCTTCTAACAGACAGGACCCTCAGCTGCAGGTCTGTTGGAGTACCCGGCCGTGTGAGGTGTCAGTCTGCCCCTGCTGGGGGATGCCTCCCAGTTAGGCTGCTCGGGGGTCAGGGGTCAGGGACCCACTTGAGGAGGCAGTCTGCTCATTCTCAGATCTCCAGCTGCATGCCGGGAGAACCACTGCTCTCTTCAAAGCTGTCAGACAGGGACATTTAAGTCTGCAGAGGTTACTGCTGTCTTTTTGTTTGTCTGTGCCCTGCCCCCAGAGGTGGAGCCTACAGAGGCAGGCAGGCCTCCTTGAGCTGTGGTGGGCTGCACCCAGTTCGAGCTTCCCAGCTGCTTTGTTCACCTAAGCAAGCCTGGGCAATGGCGGGCGCCCCTCCCCCAGCCTCGCTGCCACCTTGCAGTTTGATCTCAGACTGCTGTGCTAGCAATCAGCGAGACTCCGTGGGCATAGAACCCTCCGAGCCAGGTGCAGGATATAATCTCCTGGTGCTCCGTTTTTTAAGCCAGTCGGAAAAGTGCAGTATTCGGGTGGGAGTGACCCGATTTTCCAGGTGCCGTCTGTCACCCCTTTCTTTGACTAGGAAAGGGAACTCCCTGACCCCTTGCACTTCCCGAGTGAGGCAATGCCTCGTCCTGCTTCGGCTCACGCACCCGCTGACCTGTGCCCACTGTCTGGCACTCCCTAGCGAGATGAACCCGGTATCTCAGATGGAAATGCAGAAATCACCCGTCCTCTGCATGGCTCATGCTGGGAGCTGTAGACCGGAGCTGTTCCTATTCAGCCATCTTGGCTCCAACCCACCCCAGGAATATTTTCTTGAGTGAGTTTCTTAATCCTGAGTTCTAGTTTGATTGCACTGTGGTCTGAGAGACAGTTTGTTATAATTTCTGTACACCAATAACAGACAAACAGAGAGCCAAATCATGAGTGAACTCCCATTCACAATTGCTTCAAAGAGAATAAAATACCTAGGAATCCAACTTACAAGGGATATGAAGGACCTCTTCAAGGAGAACTAGAAACCACTGCTCAAGGAAATAAAAGAGGATACAAACAAATGGAAGAACATTCCATGCTCATGAATAGGAAGAATCAATATCGTGAAAATGGCCATACAGCCCAAGGTAATTTATTGATTCAATGCCATCCCCATCAAGCTACCAATGACTTTCCTCACAGAATTGGAAAAAACTACTTTAAAGTTCATATGGAACCAGAAAAGAGCCTGCATCACCAAGTCAATCCTAAGCCAAAAGAACAAAGCTGGAGGCGTCACGCTACCTGACTTCAAACTATACTATAAGGCTACATTAACCAAAACAGCATGGTAATGGTACCAAAACAGAGATATAGATCAATGGAACAGAACAGAGCCCTCAGAAATAATGCTGCATATCTACAACTATCTGATCTTTGACAAACCTGAGAAAAACAAGCAATGGGGAAACAATTCCCTATTTAATAAATGGTGCTTGGAAAACTGGCTAGCCATATGTAGAAAGCTGAAACTGGATCCCTTCCTTACACCTTATACAAAAATTAATTCAAGATGGATTAAAGACTTAAACGTTTGACCTAAAACCATAAAAACCCTAGAAGAAAACCTAGGCAATACCATTCAGGACATAGGTATGGACAAGGCCTTCATGTCTAAAACACTGAAAGCAATGGCAACAAAAGCCAAAATTGACAAATGGGATCTAATTAAATTAAAGAGCTTCTGCACAGCAAAAGAAACCACCATGAGAGTGAATAGGCAACCTACAGAATGGGAGAAAATTTTTGCAACCTACTCATCTGACAAAGGGCTAATATCCAGAATCTACAATCAACTCAAACAAATTTACAAGAAAAAAACAAACAACCCCATCAAAAAGTGAGTGAAGGATATGAACAGACACTTCTCAAAAGAAGACATTTATGCAGCCAAAAAACACATGAAAAAATGCTCACCATCACTGGCCATCAGAGAAATGCAAATCAAAACCACAATGAGCTACCATCTCACACCAGTTAGAATGGCGATCATTAAAAAGTCAGGAAACAACAGGTGCTGGAGAGGATGTGGAGAAATAGGAACACTTTTACACCATTGGTGGGACTGTAAACTAGTTCAACCATTGTGGAAGTCAGTGTGGCCATTCCTCAGGGATCTAGAACTAGAAATACCATTTGACCCAGCCATCCCATTACTGGGTATATACCCAAAGGATTATAAATCATGCTACTATAAAGACACATGCACACGTATGTTTATTGTGGCACTATTCACAATAGCAAAGACTTGGAACCAAGCCAAATGTCCAACAATGATAGACTGGATTAAGAAAATGTGGCACATAAATACCATGGGATACTATGTGGCCATAAAAAAGGATGAGTTCATGTCCTTTGAAGGGACATGGATGAAGCTGGAAACCATCATTGTCAGCAAACTATCGCAAGGACAAAAAACCAAACACCGCATGTTCTCACTCATGGGTGGTAATTGAACAATGAGAACACATGGACACAGGAAGGGGAACATTACACACTGGGGACTGTTGTGGGGTGGGGGGAGCGGGGAGGGATAGCATTAGGAGGTTTACCTAATGCTAAATGATGAGTTAATGGGTGCAGCACACCAACATGGCACATGTATACATATGTAACAAACCTGCACATTGTGCACATGCATCCTAAAACTTAAAGTATAATGATAATAATTTAAAAATTATAAGTCAAGTACTAAATAAGTCCCCAGGTGGCCTAAGTAAGGCATTCCCTGGCATCCATAGTATTCAACCTGCAGCCAGGGATGGAGTTCTGTGGAGTTGAGGAATCTAAATCAATAATCTTAGAATGAAAAGGGCATCACTGTCAATTGACTTGGGCTTTCTCCAGTCTTTTAGTATTCAGCAAAACATTGTTTATTTAACTTGATTAGAAAGGTCAGCCCAAATCTACGAGGAGGGACCAAGACAAATGAACAAGTTCTTGATAATGGAAGTGATTTATTGGTTTCCAGTATGGACTCCAATTCAAGTTCTCAGTAATAGCAGATTGGGTTTCTGTTCCTCCTACTGAAACTGACAAGAAAGAGTGAAATTGGTAGGTTAATTCCACAAACACCAGAAAATTCTTATAAACAACTTAGGTAATAATTAGCTCAAACATTCTTCCTTCAATATTTACATCTGCAGGTCTCAACAGGACACACCGATATGTTGCAAGCAACTTCATACCAATCATAGTAGAAGTATCAAAGTTCGCAAGTGATTCACTTTTAACAATAAATCCGAGAACATTTAAGGTTATCACAATAATATCACAGTCACACGTTTGCATTTCCATGTGCTTCTTAAGAGAAAAGGCAGGGGTGGGTTACAGAGATGGAGTCAGGAAATGCACATGGGTCTGTGTTGCTCATGCCAACACTGTTCTTGTATTGTCACAGAAAAAAAAAAAACAGAGAAGGAGAGAACTGCCTTACATCATCAATTTTCTTAAAACCTTTTATCATATGAAGGTAAAACTAAACCTTGCTCGCTCAACTTCCTAATTTTAGGCAATGATTGGAATTCAGTTTAACTTACTGTCTAACCCTCATATAGCAAGGAATGTGGACCTTGAAGACTTATTCACCGCTAAGGTTTTATGAGTATTGTGGTGAAATGAGGCATGGCATGGAAGAATAGTATAATCTGGACAAACTGTGGCATTCCTGGTAAACCCCAAAGGGTGGCACCACCTTGGTGAGGTCACCTCAGGCCAGTCTTGCAGACTGAGAAACTCACCATTGCTAGGGCTCTGACTCTTTTCAGACTGAGACAACTGACTTGAGCTGCTGTCGAAACTTTCAAGAAGTTGCTGTATAATGTTATTCACTTACAGATGTTATTCACTTAAAATGGAGGATACTTCTTTCCAATTACTAAAGCTGCTTCTTTCCTGATCTCATAATACCCGGAGAATTGAATTTATGATTGTAAGTTTGGGTGGGAAACACGGAGTCAGAGAAAAAAGTGGAGAATGATCTTAAGAATATCGTCCAGGCCATGATGAGGTATGTAGAATTATCCTTGACCCACAAGAGACTTCTTCAGTTACCAGACTGAGTGAGTTCCCAGAAGCTGAGCACACTCTCCTCTGAAAAGTGCTGGACAAACTTTGCCAATTTCTTACTCTTAGGGTCTCCTTTTTTTGTGCTCTGAGCTTCCTGAGTCCCTTCCATTCAAACAATTGGTTCAGTTTCAGGAAATTACTGTAACAGTTAGGGTTCTGTGGTTATGTATAATAGAAAGTGACTTCAGCTAACTTGAGCACAAAAGTGGAATTTATTGGAAGAAGCTGAGAACTATTACAAAATTGAATGAAAAGCTGAAGTCCCAGATCTTTAAAAGAATCCATGGAGCTGCTCTGAGGATGCTTGCTACTTGGTAGGGGGAAGCAGACACTTAAATAAAAAGAAGTGCCAGGTAGGTGAGTGCAGTGGCTCACGCCTATAATCCCAACACTCCCGGAGGCTGCTGTGGGAGAGTCAGTTGAGACCAGGAGTTTGAGACAAGCGTGGGCAACGTATTGAAACCTCATCTCTAGAAAATTTTTAAAAATTAGCTAGGTGTGGTGGTGGAGCTATGATTGTACCACTGGACTCCAGCACTCTAGCCTGGGTGACAGAACAAGATCTCATCTCTTAAAAAAAAAAAAAAAGCAATTAAATGTGGCAGTATCACTATAGAAATATGCTAAAAATAAAAGGAATTACAAAGGAGGGATTGGTCAATTGTCCCTGGTAAGGGGTAGGGATAAGTTTCAAGGTAAAGAAAGGCTTCATAGTGGAGGTAATATTTGAGTCAACTCTTAAAAGTAGATTACTTTTAAGTAATCTTATTAGTAGAGTTGATGTTTGCTTGATGGCCAAAGAAAGAAAAGGTATTCAAGGCGCAAAGACACAGAGTTGTGAAAGAGTATGGCATATTCAAAAACATGAATGTCATTCCATATACCTTCAGCGTGGCTTGGTGATGTGGAGTTTCATGAGAAAAATGAGACTGGAGAGGGAGCAGAAGACTGACTGATCACAAAGAACCATGTAGCAATAAACTGTGGTCGTAGAAGAGCAGTATCAGATCCAAAAAATAAGTTTTATGTATAAAACTTCTACAAACAAGAAACTTAAAAAAAAAAAGGACTCATAGAGATTATTTTTCCCTTCTTCCTTCTTCCTTCTTCCTTCCTTCCTTCTTCTTCTTCACTCTGACAACTGATTCCCTCCCCACCAACCTTCCTGTTCCCCATACACACAAATCTACAATCATCCATGATATTTCATGCCCACAGTTGTTTTTAAAATCTTAGAATAAGGCCATCCGTACAAAGTAATCTCATCAAGACTGATCAGACTTCATCTCCTTGAGAACAATTCTCTGAAAATCTTACCCTGGTAGCAGAAGATTGTGACAGTAATAATTTGAGCAATTTCCAGTAGCTAATTTCCCTTGGTAAGAAAAAATATTAAACCTGCTTCTCTAATCCATACTTGGCCTCCAGATGTGTTCAAACTAGTTCTTCCAGCTGGAGCTACAGAGGGTAATTCATAGAGCCAAAACTAAGTCTCAGACTATTCTGGACTCTTTTTCCATCATCCTCATGGATATGGTAATGTAACATGTGGCACATCCAGACATAAATAAAACTTGGGAAGGAAGAATTCTGAAGGATTTTGTCCATTCTGGGCACAAGAATCTTGACCATAATAGTGAGTGTGCATTCAGCTCAGGTACCTATGAAATTTTAGAGTCTTTTAATTTTGGAATTTATGAAGACAACCAATGGATTTGTTGAGAACAACTAAGTCTTCTTTCCGAAATGAGAGTTTAATACTTACATATTTTCTCATATACAGTTAAATGTAGTAAAGGGTGTTTTGTATTTAATATATTATTTATTGTGTATTCCGCAGTCTTTGTCCTTTCCTTACTAAGGAACTAGAGAAAGCCCCTAATTAGTATGGCCTAAGAACTGTTCTTGTTCTTGTAGGTTTTAGAAATCCTCTTGTCCCAGCTCTCTGTGCTAGTATTCCACTTCTCTTTTTGAGGCCTTCACTTCTTTTTATTTTTTCTCTTTTATAAAAAGAGACAGGGTCTTGCTGTATTGCCCAGGCTGGTCTCGAACTCTTGGCCTGAAGGGATCCTCCTGCCTCAGCCTCCCAAAGTGTGGGGATTACAGGGATGAGCCACTGTGCCCAGCCCAGGACTTTAGTTCCAATGGCAGGTTTATAGGTTTTGTTTATGGGTTCTTCAAAGTGCAGTCTTTAAGTTTTTGCTGGTTGCTTTCTACAGAAGGCTTTGCTTTCTTTCAAAATGCTCTGCAAAATGCCAGCTGCCTGCTTTATTGATTGGCAGGAATGGTTACATGTTGCAGCAGCTTTCTTTCTATCTGTCTCTCTAACCTGAATGTTCTGGGGTCACATTGTGTCTGTACCAGTTGTGTTCTCTGATATAGAAAATAGGGAGTAGGAGGACTGACTGTCTTTCAACACCGTTGATGTCCCTATTTCCCTTTTTCACATTGCCTCCCTTCCCCCAATAAATAGCAGCTCATAACATTTTGCCCAATAGGATATAACATTAATATCTCTGCTAATAGAGAAAATAAATAAAACCAAACACTACTTTTAATTTTGTACATGATTATAATTAAAATCTCTAATAAGGACGGGATTTTTAAGAAGACCCTATGATTGTTTGTAAATTTTGATTCTCCACACTATTTCAGATCCTTATTACCATAGTGCTTTTCAACTGTGGCAGATGGCATTTTCCAAGCATGGCTGCAACAATATCTCCCATCCCACATGTTCTTCTGTAATGTGGCACTGCTACCTTCCATCAAGAGGTGGCTATTTCTCCACCCCCTTGAACCTGGAAGGCCCCATGCTTTCTTTGACAACAGAATACAATGGAAGTTGTGGTGTACAGGTTCTGTGCATAGCCATGAATTGGCCTGGCAGTTTCAATTCCTGTCTCTTAGAAGACAGCTGCTGTGTAAGAAATGTGACTACCCAGAGATCACCATGCTGTGAGAATCACAAACCACACTAAAAGGCCCTGGAGGATGAGATGCCACATGGAGACAGAAAGAATCCAAGGATACCTGAAGTGCTGGACAAGGGAATGAAGAGGCCATCTTGGACATCCAGCCCAACAAAGCCTTCAGATGGCATCATGACTGTTACTGCATGAAAGACCCCAAGCAGGAACTTCCTGGCTAGGCCTAGTCAACCAACAGGACCAAGAGAGATAATAAAGTGTTGCTTTTAGCCGCTAAGTTCTGGGGTGGTGTGTTAAGCAGCAGTTAATGGCTGGAACGCAACCAATGTTGTCTACAGTGGAGTCTAAGGGGAATCTTCTTCCCAAAGTTTAAATGGAGTAGCTCTGTTTTTAATCTATTTCACATTTTGGGGTTCTTCATAAGAAATTATTTATAAAAAAGTAGCTCCATGTCTCAAAAAGTTTGACTATCACTCCATAGATAATTGAGAGTTGGCTAAATAAATATGGGCCACCCTTGCAGACCATAAAAAGCATATTGTGACAGCAAATATTTCCTGACTAGATTGCTTCAGACAAATATATTTAGGCCATTCTGAGTGGATGTGTATTTTTATGTGATTTCTAAAGCCCTATCAAAGGATTCCAATTCCGGTTTCTAACACTCCTCACCATTAGGAAATCCTTTTTCAGAGACTCATAGACTCTCGACTATGCTCTACTCCAACCCCTGCCCTTGTTTGAGTTAAAAAAAAAAAAAAAAAAAAAAAAAAAAAGAAACTCATGGCATCTCTCTTAGTGATCTGGACTGTAGCTCTTGGAAGAGAGCAAAAACTACTTTCTTTGGTGTCAATGTCTTGTGTTAGGCATAAGATGATGAGAAAATGTGTCTTAATATTATTTTAATTGGAAATAATTTCTTGTAAAATTGTACACCTATGGCCCTGAGCTTTGCCTAAAGCATTTGAAGTGCCCTTGCCAATCAACACCATTTTTACTTCAACACTTAACAATGCTATTTGTAGAAAGATTTCCTTAAAGGCTTTCAGCGTGCTCAGCTAAGAGCGGTGTTTTTAGTCTTGCTACACTAGTGTACTGGTTCCTTTTATCATTCAGACCATCTGTGATGAAGTCTATTTTGTTAACTCAGAAAACCTCAATTTCTGTGAGACTTTAAAATGAGGCATTAACATATTTTTATGGATTGTGCTACCATTATGGTTTTGGAGACTTCTCATCTCTGTTATTAAAAAGAAAAATCCTGCCATCTAAGCTTCTCATAAGAAACTATTTTTACATTCATAATCTTTAAAGATGCTTATGGAAAGAAGTGCTTTGAACTCTTTCAGTAAGATTTTAGTTCAGCCTAAAGCTTAACAATAATGTAATTTGAGTGAGGGTGGCTGATCCCCACCTGTCAGTGATGCTTCAGGAAGATACATAAATCACAGCCAGCATCTCAACTGAAACCAGTTTAAAAATTCATGCGGCTAACAGTCATTCCTGTGTGATCTGGTTTCTTAATACCTTATTACACCCTGCATACTGGGATTTTAGGCCTGGAATGTACCTTTAAAATTATCTTATTACACCCCTTTCTTCTATAGATGAGTAAACTGAGGTCACAGATTGTGACTGGAAAGCATACTTTCTTTCCACTATCCCTTTGCTGGTCAAAGTGTGCTTGGACCGGTAGCACCACCTAGGAGCTTGTGAGAAATGCAGGGTCTTGGGCATCCCACCAGACCAATTGCATCAGAATCTCCATTTTTATAAGGTCTCTACATGATTCCTATAAGTACATTCATGTCTGAGAAACCCTGCTTGATACCACATCTGTTTCCCAAAAGCAGTGCAAGGCTCTGTAATCCAATCAATCCAGATTCAAAATCCAGATTTTCCACTTTCCAACTAAGTGAACAAATTACACAACCTCTCTGGTCCTGCTTCCTCGGTAGTTAAATGTGGGTATTAATACCTACTCTGAAAGGTCATCATGGGTTTAAATGAAACAGTCTTTATATAGTTCCTATTCAAGTGTCTGAGGATAGACTGCTCAATAAATGGAAACTGCTGCTATTGCTGCTACTATGGCTACAACTATCGCTGCTTTGCTACTATTGCTGCTGCTGCTGCTGCTCCTGCTGCTATTACTACTTCTACTGCTACTACTGCTATTGCTACTAGTACTACTGCTGCTACTACCACGGCTCTTTGTATCATTGCTGCTACCACTGCTGCTTCTGCTTCTATCACTAATTCTACTGCTATTACTGCTAATAGCTGCTGCTGCCACCACCATGGTTATTAATATCTCAAAAAGGGAAAGTAACCTTTCAGACATTGACAAGTGTCCAAAGTGAAACTGAAGCCCAGGTACACTTCCTAATTTCCCGTCTGCTTTAAGTATAGCTAAATACTAGAGCCAACATTCTTGTTTAAGGCCTTTTCAATCCTTGGAGTAAAATGTAGAAAAAGGAGACAGCTTTTTAAAGATTTCTATTTAAACCTCCTGGAACAGTAAAGTCAATTTGCTCAATTCTGTGTCTTCTCAAACCATTATAGCTTCAGTGGGTCTGAGTTTCTTCTAGGTGGCAGCTTCTGTTTCCTTTAACTATGGAATACTGCCTTTCTCTAATTTTGCTTCTGGCTTCCAAAATATTTTCCACAGAAAGTTTTACTGGATCTGATAGTACATTTGTTTTCTTAGAAAACAGGATATATGTTAAACTCTGAGGTGACCTACTAATTTCAGTCTTTGTCCTTTCAGCACTCAGCCCTATGCTTAGATGTACTCACTTTTCCTTGCTTACGTGACCCCATTTTGAATAATTGTAAAGGGGGAAACACCCTCATTACATACAAATAGAATTTTGCCATTTTGCAAACTGAGATAGATGTTGATTTTCTTTGAGGTCCCAGAATGACTTCTAATCCTTGTTCTTAGAACTGAACATATGTGACTCAATTTGAAAACAATGGCTAAAATGTTAACCTCTTAGCTCCAGCTAGACTGGATTCCAAAAAGTTATAGATCCTCTGGGTAGTGGAATAGCATATTTGTTTGGAATGCACCCAAATATCCTAACAAGATTTGTGAAAGCATTTTGCAACCATTGACACCTAACCACAAAATGTCTTCACATACTCAACTAGTGACGTGTAAACAGAAGAACAGGATTGTGTAGCAGAGCCAGTTTCAGGCAGCCCCACAACAGAAGATAATGCATTTCCACACTTTGTAAGAAATGGCATGGCCTAATATGAATGGATACCATGAAAATTGTGCATCTGAGCACATGAGTGGGCTCTTCAGTACCAGTGGAAATCTAGGATGAAATGGAAAGCCCTTGAACAAGCCATGCTAGAAATGATACAACCCAACCTGTTACGGAGGTGAAAAAGTGCTGGGCTTTCCATCCCTCGGAGGCTGAGACTGCTTGGCTACTGCTAGGAGAGTACAGCGATGGGTATCTCAGCATGGGGTGGCATCTTGTGCTTGCTCAGTTTAGCAAGCACTGTGCCTTGTGCTTGTAATGAACACTTAAGCATTTGAAGGATCTAAATGAATCAGAAGATCTAGTATATATTTCTCAAAGCCCTCCCCCTTGCTCACTTACAAATTGGCTAAATTCACAAACAAGCTGCTTTATCAATTCAAGGAGCCTTGCATGACTCCAAGTGAGTTACAAGTCTTAGATGTAAATAAGAAGTTTAACATTTTCTGAGTGGGAATATAGATATAGAAATATACTGTGCTGTCCTGAATTCCAAAGGTGGCATTTCCCACTATCAAAAAAGGTTTAAATTATTTAAAAAATAATTTTAAATTATTTATGTATTTACTTATTTATTTTTAAGCACTTACATGATACTAACCAAACACTATTTTAAGCACTTTACAAATATAAATTCACTTAATACTCACAGTCATCTTCACTAGGAAGGTATTACTCTTGTCATCATTCTATAGAGGGGAAATAAAGTCATAGACAGTTTAAGTAACTTGCCCAAAATTACACAGCTAATAAATGCCAGGATTGGAACTCAAGCAGTTTGGCTCTAAAGTCTATGCTATCACTTACTATGCTACATTATGAGGTTATTATTTTGGAATTTTCTTTATACTTAACTAGTAGATAAAATTTTTAGCTTGCAATACTAATGAAACCGTGATGGTGAATTCAACAGTTGAATGTGCTAATTATTGGAGCTCTGCATATATAATATATAAGCTATAGGCTATATTTTTAATATCAAAGTCTTTATTCGCTAACTTTTTCAGTTTACAAGATTATGATAGCTTTTCCTTTTAGGATCATGTGTTATTATAAACTAAAAATATAAAAAGCAAGCTAAGCACTATTTTAAAAAACATCCTAAAGGTACAATGCAAGGGACCAGTTACAAATGCCCAGAACCTGCTAGAGATTTGTAAGAAATCATTTAAAAGAGACTGGAAATACATTATTTGCCTGTTGAACACCTCAGTTCTTCCTTTCCATGCTGCTATTTGCATGAAAATTTGCTGCTTAGGTCAGGGCTTATGATAGGTTAGAAAAGTTTCCAATAGCCGAACACAAACCCAGGAATCAAAGTCCCCCAAATATACACAAAGGAAAAAACACACACACAACCTACCTAATCTGTAGCTAGAGTGCTTCTGGGCCATGGAACCACCCCATTGTGCCTTGGCCACTCCAGCTCAGAAACCAGAGTGTTGCCATGGTGGCAGGGACCCAACCGTGAGGGCTGGTTTCAATACCCAGCAGCTGTTCACTTCAGAAAAAGCAGGATGGCAGCCCACTTCTGAATGCGCATTTTTCTCTAGGCTTTGACCTGACCTGAATATTGTTTCTCATTGAATTTCCTTTTATTTATTTCTTTTTAGATATCAACTTTCCTTGAACTTTTCCTGTCATTTGTGTTGCAGTTGGCAGAACTACAGAACTTCTCCCTTCTGCAAAAAATGTGTTTTTTTTCTTTAACCATTTCTAAGTTTTTCCCTGTGTTGTCTTTATCTCCCCCACTTCTATATTTTACACACACACCTGTGCCTCATTATATGACGACCCAGGACAAATTCATCAGGTTTGTTTATTCCAAGAAGTGTGAAGGCCTCAGGTAGCCCCCTAAAAAATCCCTCCATGACTCACCTGACAGCAGAAATTTGTCCTATGAAACTTTGGAGCTGGATTAGAAAATATGACCCTTTACTCTCTTCATTCTGGCCATGGTCATAGAATCTGTGTTTAATCCTAAACACATTCTCAATTCACACTTGATTCATAACCTGCTTTTTTCTTCTCTTTGTTTACATGTTGGCAAAACATAAGGAATGTAAAAATATAAAAACTATTATGAATTATGAGCCCTGCTCACAAGGATTGTAGAAAAACTGTTCTTGATGCAAAAAGGAGCTGCACTATATTTAAGGTGAATTTATCCCTCTCCAGCTCTAAAGGAGTTTGGAATAATTTATAAATGAGGTTGTACTGCTGTTGAATATTTTTTTTAACTAGAAACAGTTTGTTTACAAGTTGTTACTAAAGACTGTCAGAAAAAAATGCTTGTGGACATGGTATCCAAAAGGCTGACAGAACCCAGAACTTGCTTGGTATTCATTTGAGAGCTCATCCAACATTATCCTGCACAGTGTATAATTACTTGCATGTTGGGAGCCAAAAAAGGGAATGTAACCCTGTGAGTGTGTGTTTATACTGAAAAGTTGGAGAAGCAAAACAATTCAGCAGCATTCTTCATCCCAACATCTGGGAATAATTAATTTGCTAGCTATGATGTATAACATGAAGTTGATAAAGTTGCCTGAAGCTCTGCATTTAGACCATTTGCCTTATTTAAAGCTTTCTGCTTTAGGGTTTAACACTGTGGCTAATTTTAGTAAATCTTTTTCTTTTTATTCCTGAAATGCTGTGATGAGGAGGAACCTTCTGCTTATAGTTTCTTGATCATTTTCTTTTTGCTCTTATTGTCAAAGTGTTCAGGAAGCTGACACTCACAAACTTTGCCTCCTTCTTCCTCTGCAGTGCAATGCTGCAAGAAAAAGTTCTAGAAACTGAGGCCCTGGAAAATGTCATTGGGTTTTTACATCTCTCTCTCTTCTCTCTTCTCTCTCTCTCTCTCTCTCTCTCTGTCTCTCTTTCTCTCTTTCTCTCTTCTCTCTCTCTCTCTCTCTCTCTCTCTCCTAAACACATATTTGAGCTCTGAAGAGTTTCTCTGGAATAGAGAATGTGTTTTTGTTCCATTTTACAAATCTTAGGCTAGGATACTGGAGACTGTCATGTGAGACTCTCAGTATATTACATATGGAAGGTATTGTGACAAGTTCTGATGGTTTATGTTAGGTGCTACATTCCCTTGATTGTGACTTTTAGAAAGAAAGCACAATATAAATACAATGTCATCTTATTGAATCTAACAGTTCAAGGTGGTACAGGGGGCTTTTCAGTCCCAGGGCTGTCTCCTCCAGTTTCTCACTGAGGCATGCTAGAGTGAAACACAGTTGTTACTCTGACCTTAGTTTGTTTAATTTGGGATTTCAGAATAAGAGCAAGTATCTTATTTTTATTGGCTGAGTGCTCCCAGCTTTGAACAGTGCTAAAAGTTTTCTATAGCACTTTTGAAAGCTCATATTTCACAACATCCAGCTATTTTCTTTGGAATCCTGGTGAGAAACAAACTGAGGAACTCCCAATATAGTCAGGCTGAGACTATCTCATTCCCCTCTGTCTTTTCTTAAGACTTATCTCCACACTTTGACAACTGTTTCACATCACTTGTGCCCTGTATTTTGGGATTCTTTGGACTAAATTATATGTTGTTGTCCTTCATGGTGAAAAATGATAACTTCTAGAAAAATGATAATTTTCTATTTATATAGATAGGGGTTGTACTCACAAAGAGTAATGGCCTGAGGGCTTGTCCTCAGCCCAGCACACGCTCACTGGCCCGAGGGAGAAGATGCTTGGGCAGGGTTGCTGCTTTTGCTCATCTGCCTCTACACTCACAGTCTCTGCATGTTGTGACAGCTTCCTGCTTCCTCCTTCAGAGCTTAGAAGCAGGGACTGGACCTTCTTATCAGTGTCTAAGTAGTCATGCCATAGCTTCCAGATGCCTGTGCATGGGCCAGTGACTGGGTTGACACTGGTTGGTTATGAGGTTTCCATGACCTGTTTTCTGATACAAAAGAAAGAAAGAAAGAAAGAAAGAGAGAGAGAGAGAGAGAGAGAGAGAGAGAGAGAGAGAGAGAGAGAGAGAGAGAGAAAGAAAGAAAGAAAGAAAGAAAGAAAGAAAGAAAGAAAGAAAGAAAGAAAGAAAGAAAGCAAGCTCCCTGAATACAGGGACCTTCCCTGTCATGTTTACCACCTAGAAAAATTTCTGGTGCCTATCACTTAATAAATATTTGGCTAATGAATGAAAAAACAGATAAGTGGAAGAGTAAGGTGAGTTTTTCCTGATACTGAATGTATTCATTTTCAGAATATAAACTTCTGATACTGTGTCCTTCCTACCTTTTTGCTTTTACAATTTATTTATTTTTGTTAACAAAATGATATAAGTCTAAAGAGTTACTAGGAAGATTTTGGGCAAAAAGGAAGTATTAAGCAACCTGATGTCAGTTTCCAAAATTCTTGCACTGGCCTATAAAATTCAAAATTTGGAAATCACTGCCCCATGCATGCTTTTTCTTGCTATTGCCTTGTCTTTCACAATGTACGTTTTCTTCATAACATTTGCCTATGAAGGGGAAATAAAAGGTTAATGCCTATGAACCAAAATGAAAAACATAATTCTAAATCCATATCACTAACATTGAGCATCCACTTTGTGCCAGGCCCTGAGGTATGCACATTCACACGCTGTCCCACAAAAGTCCTGAGAGGCATGTGTTATTACTTCCCTTTTACAGATGAAGTGACAAGTGAGCCAGATTTTGGATGATCCAAGGAAGTTATGGGTGGCGGAGGAGATCCAGGAGAGGTTAATGGAAGATGTGGGACTGAATTGAGTCTTGCTAGTCAAAGATAATTTGGCTGAAGAAGAGGATGGCATTCTGGCAAGAATAAAGATGAGGAGAAGGAATGCGCACCACATAATTTGGAACAGAGTCCAGACTGACCTGAATGGAAAGCAAGCTGCAGATAGGAAGACTGTGTGCACATAGATAATTGGACAAGATCCTCATTTTGCAGGTATTTGGTTGGTGTCTTAGTCCGTTCAGGCTGCTATAAGAGAATACTATTGATTGGGTGGCTTATAAACAATGAAATTGTATTTTTCACAGCTCTGGAGGCTAGGAAGCCCAAGATCAAGGCACCACCAGATTCAGTGTCTGGTTCATAGACAGCTTTGTTGTGTTCTTACATAGCAGAAGGTGGTGAGGGTGCTCTCTGGAGCCTCTGTTATAAGAGCGCTAATCTCATTTATGACAGCTCCAGTGTCATGACCTAATAACCTCCCAAAGGCCTTATCTCTAAATGCCATCACACTGGGCATTAGGATTTAACATATGAATTTTGAGGGGACAAAAACATTTAGTCTATTTGTCTAAAACTTGCTGACAATTTGGCTTCCCATTCAACGAGTCAGTGTCCTTAAAGACATATTTGTCTCTTTGAATTTGTTTACTTGACTGTTTTGGGCTCCAGTGATGCTGCCTGGGAATATTCAGAAGCTGGGTGATTGTGCTCTTAACTGCCAAGCATGTTTTCCTATAAGGAAGATTCTCTTCAGACCTTAGTACACAATCTGAGGGTCTTTAAGCATAATCAGTCAATAGCTCTGTTGCTGAGTGTGCAATGTGTTCTTAGTTTTCTACAAGAGCTCAGAACTTTCCCAAAGGAGCAGAAGCCTAGCCTATTACAAGTTTCAACCCCACTAATGCATGCATAAGCTTAATATAAATATTGTATGAGGCCGGGTGCAGTGGCTCACCCCTGTAATCCCAGCACTAGTACTTTGGGAGGCCAAGGCGGGCAAATCACCTGAGGTCAGGAGATCAAGACGAGACTGGCCAACATGGCAAAACCCTGTCTCTACTAAAAATACAAAAATTAGATGGACATGGCTGCAGGCACCTGTAATCTAACTATTCAGGAGGCTGAGGCACAAGAATCGCTTGAACCCAGGAGGCGGAGGTTGCAGTGAGCTGAGATTGTGCCATTGCACTCCAGCCTGGGCGACAGAGCCAGACTCCATCTCAATAAATAAATAAATAAATATTGTGTGACACTAATCTTACTAGAAAGTCCTATTTTTTTCAATGGTGATAGCCTATGCATTTAAGGATATGCTCACCATATTAACTCTATGTCATCTCACTCATTGAAGAATGAAAAGTTGGTAAACTTGGCAAGATATGTATTTGTAAAGCACCTAGCTCAAAGCCACGTGGTAGGTGTTGAAGCTACAATAGATTCCTATTATTCATGGATTTCATATTTAGGGATTTGCCTACACACTAAAAGTTATTTGTGGGCCAGGCGTGGTGGCTCACGCCTGTAATCCCAGCACTGTGGGAGGCCGAGTAGGGGGTGGATCACGAGGTCAGGAGATCGAGACCATCCAGGCTAAGAAGGTGAAACCCCATCTCTACTAAAAACACACAAAAAATATTAGCTGGGCATGGTGGTGGGCACCTGTAGTCCTAGCTGCTCAGGAGGCTGAGGCAGGAGAATGGTGTGAACCCGGGAGGCGAAGGTTGCAGTGAGCGGAGATCGTGCGCCACTGCACTCCAGCCTGGATGACAGAGCGAGACTCTGTCTCAGAAAAAAAAAAAAAGTTATTTGTAACCCCAAAATGAACACTCATGGTGCTTTCATTGTCATTCATGGACATGCACAGAGCAGTGAAAAATTTTAGTCATCTGACATACACATCCCCAGCTGAGGTTAAACAAGGTGATGCTGTGCATTCTTGTTCCAGCTCTCATACTGTAAACAAGTGTCCTTTTTGCAGTCTATTTAATGCCATGTTTTTCACATTTGTGTTTTTCTTGATAGTTTTGATTCTTTTTTTTTGAAATGGACTCTTGCTCTGTTTCCCAGACTGGAGTGCAGTGGCACAGTCTTGGCTCACTACAACCTCTGCCTCCCAGGTTCAAGTGATTCTCCTGCCTCAGCCTCCCGAGTAG
Organism: Homo sapiens; assembly: GCF_000001405.40. Classification (NCBI taxonomy): domain Eukaryota; kingdom Metazoa; phylum Chordata; class Mammalia; order Primates; family Hominidae; genus Homo; species Homo sapiens. The sequence continues at coordinate 62,668,120 of NC_000002.12, forward strand.
CTGAGATTACAAGTGTGTGCCACCACGCCTGGCTAATTTTTGTATTTTCAGTAGAGATGGGGTTTCACCATGTTGGCCAGGCTGGTTTCGAACTCCTGACCTCAAGTGATCCACCCACCTCGGCCTCCCGAAGTGCTGGGATTACAGGCGTAAGCCACTGAGCCCAGCCGATTTTGCTTTTTAAGATGGACCCCAAGTGTAGTGCTAAAGTGCTATCTAGTGTTCCTAAGCACAAAAATCACCTTACAGAGAAAATATGTGTTAGATAAGCTTTGTTCAGGCATGAGTTACAGTGTTGTTGGCCATGAGTTCAATGTTAATCAACAATATATATTAAAGTAAACAAGGCATCTTTAAACAGAAACACACATAAAACATAATTATGTATTGATTGGTTAACAAAAATGTGACAAGAGGCTTGCAGGAATCTACTCCTCTATATTCCCTAGGGGTGTTGGCTCACTATTTGCTAATCAGTGTTGTCAGTGACTTTATAGAACATAACTATTATGAATAGTAAGAATCTACTGCATTTATTATTATAGTAGTTCAAGAAAGCCAAACTGTGTGATTGCTCCCTAAGCCTAATCTAGAAAGCGTGTTGATGATATTGTAAGGTTATGGCCAGGTGTGGTGGCTCATGCCTATAATCCTAGCACTTTGGGAGGCTGAGGTGGGCAGATCACTTGAGGTCAGGAGTTCGAGACCAGCCTGGCCCACATGGTGAAACCCCGTCTCTACTGAAAATATAAAAATTAGCCAGGCATGGTGGCAGGCACCTGTATTCCCAGCTACTCAGGTGGCTGAGGCAGGAGAATCACTTGAACCTGGGAGGCAGAGGTTGCAGTGAGCCAAGATTGTGCCACTGCACTCCAGCCTGGGTGACAGAGCAAGACTCCATCTCAAAAAAAAAAAAAAAAATTATATCAGGTCCTACCGTCTTTCTTCTGCTTCTGCCTTACCTGTTTCTCAAAGTAATGTCTCTTCACAGTTCCCATTCAATGTAATATTTCTTCAGTTCTTGAGCTAATCTTGACTAGGGCAGAAAGTTAATAATTCCTTGGGCCTACCGTTCGTTAAGCTTGTCATGAAGTCAGAACCTCCAGCCCCACTCTTGTCAGACCTAGAGGCCCACCTCAGTGATGAAGCTGTCAGGCCAGAACTTTCAGGTGTACATCACAGTCCATCATACTGGGGATCTGTGTCCAAAGATGATCCCTGAATGTCCACATCATCATTGAATCTCATTACCTCAGCATTTCCTACAACTGAGCACCCACTGTCTAACCGGTATCAACCTAGTCAAGTTTGTACTCTCACAGGGGAGACAGACCAATAATCAGATGCACTATAATGTGTTCATTCATGTGCAGATGATGCCGTGAGAGTATGAAGGAGCGGTATTAAATCCAGCAGGAAACCTCAGTAAAGGTGGTTTTAGAACATAGTCTGGAAGAATAGGAGTTGGCCAGGCAAAGAAGAGAGTGAAGGGTATATAAAGACGTCTCAGATAAATGGAACAGCATGAACAAAGGCATGGAAGCGTGAAACAACATGGATTATTCTGGAAATCACAAACATGTGAGTATTACTGGTTATAAAATGGAAGGAGATGAGAGATGGGAGATGAGGCTGGCTGGGGAGAAGCCCTGTCATGTGGCACTATTCATCATGCCACTGTCAGGAAGCCAACAAAGCAGGGTAACCCAAGATACATGATTAGATTTGAATTATACAAGGACCATTCTAGTGTGTCTGGAGAATGAGTTCGAGGAATGTCAAACTGGAGATGAGGAGACTGTTTTAAAACTTTTCCACTAGTCCTGGTGGGAGATGTTGAGGTCCTGAGCTACAGCAGCAGAGATACTGTAGAGGAGAAGTTGATTCAAATAATATGAGGTAGTAAAATCAACAGGATTTCGTGATTGTACTAGTCAGGATGAACTGGATTATGCTATGGTAGTAAATGATCCCATCTGAGTGGCTTAACACAAAAGTTTATTTCTTAATCATGCAGCATCTGCTGCAGGTCTAAGCATCTCTCCAAGGCAGCCACCCTCCATGACTGCTATCCAGGCTTCTTTGATTCGGTGATTCTACCACCTCAACATAACATCTCTGCATTCAACACAACAGTAGAAGAGAAAAGTCTCAGATAAAGAGAATCAAGAAAGAGCTTTTCACTGCCTTAGACCAGTAATAATAAATGAATTTCCATTCACATTTCATTGGCCCAAACTAGTCTTATGGCTCTGCCTAACTGGAAGTGGGTCAGGAAGTAGAGTCTCTTGTGTGCCCAGGAAGAAACGAAGAATTGGATATAGGTAGGCACTGGTGATGTCTACCACAGCCCAAGAGCATCGTGGAATAGAGATGGGCTAATCACCAGAGTGATAATGCACATGGTGGATAGAGAGGTACGATGAGACTATGATAACCCTCAGCTCTCTAGCTTCAGTGTCAGTCAGTAAAACAGGGAAGACTGGAGGAGCAGTAGATTTGAGGGGGAAATGATGGGTTTAGGGCACATGAAACATCCTAGAGTAAACGTTATATCCAGAGATGAGAAGCAAAAGTAGAGTGGGGTGGAGGGTAGTTGTCAGGCAAAGCTGAAGGCAGGTACAGGGTTTGAATATTTTAGGAGGGGCAGCAAACAAATCATGGTCATGAGTGGCAGGCAAAGCAGACAAATAATCAGGAGAGGGTGTATGGGAAGAAATGTAGACTGATGCTCAAGCTACTCTCAGCATCAGGTATACATTTGCCTGATGCTGTATTTTAAAATGTGTTGTTGAATGCCTGACCCTGCTCACAACTTTAGCTAGTAATGGGAGCCCTAGTGTTCTGTCTCTCTTCACCTATTCAGCCTGGATCCTGCTCCCATAAACAATCCTTCTGTCTGGAGCCTGGCCACATGTAGGCAACCTGCATTCATCCCTTATCCCCAATCTAATCATACCTTGGAATATCTTCTGCCTTTCACTAGCAAAGACCACACCATAAGACAACTGGCTGCATCCTTTAGACTCTGCTTTAGACCCTTGTCCCAGGTCCAGATTCTCATACAGGAAAGTTCCTCCAAACTCCATCCTGAGCCCCTACACACATGACTGGGCCTGGCCCTCACTCACTAGCCTCCCTGCCAACTCAAGAGAGCTGTGGTCCCAGCTTGTCATGCCGTTAGAAATTCAAGAAGGTCAATAAAAGCAATGGTTTCATGTGTTTTCCCCCCGAAAAACAATGTGTCCTTACTACCAATAAAGGATGAAATTTCTCTTAGACTTACAGAGTGGGAGGTAAATGGCATATAGGAACCACCCTAGAAGCATTAAGGCAGTCAGTGTAGGATTAAGTTTGCTCCCAGCTAGACATGAGGCTCCGTGTCCAGAGTCCGTGGCTGATATTACAGAGGGACCTAGAGTGGGGAAGAAAGAGTTTCCAGGAAACTCATAGTGGCTTTAGGCAGTAGGTCAGAACTGCATCCTCATCCCCACTAGGAGGAAGCTGAAAATCCAAGATCAAGTCTATAGAAAGACTCAATAGGTCCCATCAGGGTCCAGGGAGGTGAAGCAGTGCCATGACCCCAGGAATGCCAAGCGTCATGGTCACACTGACGAACAACACTGTTCCAGGAGTTCTTGTCTGAACAAGAAAGTGTTAAGATAGATAGAGTCCTGCCTCCCCAACCCTTTTTCCGGGAAGATTGGCAGAAGCAAAGCAGCAGGCAAGGAAAACCCTGTTAGGGGCATGGTGCAGGGCAGATCTTCTCCAACGCATGTGAAACTTTGAGACCCAGGCTTGAGGGGATCAGATAGGCAGGCTGGCTGTTCCAGAGGCTGCCTAAGGGCAACCCTACCTGACAGAACCCCTGAAGTCTTTGAGCCTCTCTCTGACCTCTAAGAACAACTTATTCCAAGCTCCCACTATTGTCTGGGTGAGAGTGGCTACACTGGTTCAATGCCAGTGTGCTTGAGAAAAGCAGCCTGCCTGTGACTGGCAGCTCCCTGAAAAAACCGTGACAGGGGCAAGGTGTGGGTAAGAGCTAAGATGAGGCCCTGTGATAACTGCCAAAGCTGACATCTAATTATTTGTTCCAAAAGAGTAACATATCTACAAACCATCCCAAGAGTGTTCAAGTTTATACCATTGCTTAATGCAATTAAAAAAAGGTAACAAATATGAAAACACATTGTATACTATAACACTTTGAATAAATGCAGGGTATCAAGACTCTTTAAAAGTTAGTCATGTAAAAGTAGGCTTTATAGCCCAACATTATGGAGAGGCACTGCGAGAAGTATTTTATGTACATTATTTTATTCAATTTGCCCACAACCATAGGAAGTAGGTACTGTTATTAGCACAGAGTATCCAACCCTAGTCATGCAGCTAATTGGCAGATGGCAGAGCCCATGTTCAAGCCCATATATGTGTTGATCTAAAAAATCCTCTGCAATAAAAAAAATCCTCTGCCATGTACCATGACCATGTACTTTCCCCAAAGACTAAAAACACTGCCGTTCTTTGTTTCAAACATCCAGCTGAGCTGTCTCTTCACTTACTGGCTGCAGAGGTTATTCCTGCATCACCAGCTCTGGCCTCCACTCTCAGCCTAAGAGCAGCCTCTTGGGGGTGTTGAGGAGGGCCTGATTCTAGAGGAGGGCTCTTTCCAGTACTAAGTCCACAGTCCCCTGCTCTGACTGCTTCAAGTGCTGGGGCTTATCTGGCAGCCCTCACATTCCTTCTAAGTTCCCTAGGCAGGACACATTCCTGACTGGGTGGAAGGAAGAATTCCTAGCATTCTTCAGCCACTGTCCTCTTGGAGCTCTGAAACTCAAGTGGGATGAAGGAAAAGAAAAAAGAAAAAACCAACCTTCATTTCTAATGTTTGGAATTAATCTGAATTAAGTCCTGCTCTCCAAGCCATGAGAAGGAAAAAAAGAAAGGGATTCAGGATCACTGAGACATGTACTTGCGGAATCAGGAATTCTCAACTCTTTCTCAGTAGTTTGTAGGGCCTGTGCGGTCTTTGAATTTGACCTTCATGGTTGACAGTTCGGATTGTTTGTCATTATTATAAACGATTGCAACCCTAATTTCAGGCATACTTTGTAAACAGAACAGTCAAGATGCTTGTGTGAACATTTCCTCTCTGCGACAATAACATAATACTTTTATAAATGGATTTATTTATTTATCACTTACATTATCTCATTTGATCTTCACAAGAAATCTATGAGGTTGGTATTGTTATAGTCATGCTTTGCTTATCATTGTGGATAAGTCCTGAGAAATACATCATTAGGCCATTTGTCATTTTATAAACATCATAGAGGGTACTCACACAAACCTACTACCCACCTTGGCTATGTGGTATAGTCCATGGCTACACACCTATGCAGCATGTTTGTATACTGAATACTGTAGGCAAATGTAATACAATGGCAAATATTTGTGTATCTAAACATAGAAGAGATACAGTGAAAATACAGTATTATAATCTTATGGGATCACTGTATTATGCAGTCCATGACTGACCAAAATGTTGCTATCAGTGCATGACTATATTTTCATTTTTCAGAGGATAAATGTGAGCTGACAATTGAGGTGATTTGCCTGCTGTCAAACAGGTGGCAAGGCAGAGGTGGTCTGTGACCAGGTCTTCTGACTTCCCTCCACCATGTATCACTGAAGGCCTCCCATTATGTCATCACAGATACTCCAGGGTGTTAACTGGGAGGCTCCCCAGTTTGTGGGTAACATCTGACTCTCCCTCCCCAAAGAGAGACTCCAGCGAGAGACTGGGGATTTGGAGGTCCAAGTCATGGCAGAACTGGGTTGCTTGCTAGGACACAAGGTTAGCATGCCCCTGTAGCAGCAATGTGAGAATCAGAAAAGGTGACTGTGCATCTCAAGAAGCCGAATCAAAAAGCCAAGCCAACCACCTAACCAGTGATTTTCAAGGTATGAACTGGTAGGCCACAAGCATCCTCCTAATGTTCTAGAAGCATCCCCAAATATGTCTTTTCTTTGGATCTTACTAGCAAATGGTCCTTGATAACCTAGATTTTCATGTGTGTGTATGTGTGTGTGTGTAAAAGCTACTTAATAACTGCTGAGTTGTTAATGGTAGTATTTCATATTCATAAATAAAAATTTAGCACGTAACTAGAGTTTACTGGGGGCTTACCTGAGCATTCACCTGGCTGCTAGGCAATACTTGGCAATATTTGAAGAGCTCCCACTAAAAACATGCATGAGCAGATTGTTGAAATATCCTCAATTTTGGGGAAGTTTGCTTTATATTAGCATCAGTGCTGTATCGAGTTGGTTGTGCTTTTTGGTGGTTTCTATTCCTGCTTTTTAATTATAAATTACATTTCATTTACCTTCATCACCCTCTATGTTGTTTGAAGTGGGTTGTTTGGTTAACCCTACAGTAGGATAGTGATGCCTGTATAAGTTGACACAATTTATGACCTATAAGTTTTCTATGATAAAACTTTAAACCAAATGTGGATTGTAGTGCACATAGGAATCATCTAAACCAATATTGCTAAAGCAGATATTCACATAATCCTCACAAAGTGTGTTTGTGCAGCAACAGTTTATTGTTATCAGAGAATTTTTTGAGAAAAAAGCAGGAAGGGCTGGAGTATATGAGTCTTAGAGCTTTTCTTTAATTTTTATTTTTAGAGACAGGGTCTCGCTATGTTTTCCAGGCTGATGTTAAATTCCTGGCCTCAAATGATTCTCCTGTCTCGGTCTCCCAAAGCACTGGGATGCCAGGTGTGAGCCACCATACCCAGCCAAGTCTTAAGAGCCTTCTGCTGACCTAGGTTAACCTTGGTCAAAAAAGTTTGAGAATTAGTGGTCAGAGAGGGAGAACTTGAGTTCATTTCAGTGAGATTTCAGTGGGATGGAGAGAACTAGAGAGAACAGAAGAGAGTGAACATTTGAAGGAAATCTGGGAGGCAGAAACTGGAGAGATTTCTGGTGCTGAAGAAATGATGCCCACAGTCTCTTTTCAGATAACTGTGGCCTCAGGCATGCTTAGAAAGGAGCCATTAAAAGTGAGCATGTCTCCAGAGTAGCCTGTAGGGTAGTCTGTGCCCTGTGAAAAAGTGTCCCTCCAGATAAGGGTTAAAGCCCAGCTGTCCTTCACTGACCATGAACCCTAGTGCCAGGGAAGAGGAACCTGTTTGTAATTCATCTGCCTCTACAGAATGCATTTTACTAAGTGACTTTAAAGTGTCTATATGTGCAAGTCATGGCCCTTGAGGTACTCTAGAAAGTCCTAGAGTACTGCTTTTTTGTGAATATACTGAAGGTGACAACCTCCTGCTCCCAACCACAGAAAATGGCTGAATATGCAAAGGATAATGAAAAGGCATTGAAATAGTCTTGAAACTTTGAGGAGAGCCAAATAGTGTGTTTCCATTTTTGGCAAAGTTAGAACATGGGGAAAAAAGGAAGCCTAGGGACAAAATAAGGCCTTTCTTCTGTTTCTTGAAATACTCCCAAGAAAAAAATTTTCAATGCTGCAAAAAAAGGCCACATAGAAGGAAGAACCCATGGAGAGGTATCTTCCTGTCCTGGGAGTCTTTGAGTTTGAATTCATGCAGAAGGAAATTGTCTGGTTATTATTATTGTTGTTATTATTTTGAGATGGGTCCTGACGGGAGTGCTGTGGTGCAATCTTGGTTTACTGCAGCCTCCACCTCCTGGCCTCAAGCGGTCCTCCCACTTAAGCTTCCCAAGTATCTGGAACCACAGGTGCGTACCACCATGGCCCACAAGTTTTTTTTTATTTTTTGGTAGAGAAGGGGTTTCACCATATTGCCCAGGCTGGGCTTGAACTCTTGAGCTCAAGTAGCCGGCCAGCCTTGGCCTCCCAAAGTGCTGGGATTACAGGCGTGAGCCACTGCACCCGACCTCGTGGTTATTAAGAATTAAAAGTTTCTTAATTAAGCAAGCCAAAATAGAGCTGCCCTCTTCAAAAAGCATGGTTATGAATCTATCCTTAATTAAGCAGGCCAAAATAGAGCTGCCCTCTTCAAAAAGCATGGTTATGAATACTTTCTTATAAGCATTACACCGTAGTTAATCATTGTGCATGTCCCATTTCATGAAGTGATAATTGTCTTAAAGTAAACCTTAATGACTAGTAAGATATCACTGAAGATACAGATGTAAAATATTTCATTTGGCTTTTAAAAGTTACTCATTTAAGTTTCTTGCCTAGTAACTGCTGAGGGAGATGAATTGACATTGTGCTTTATTTCACAAACACATTTTTGCTGACTGAATTGTCATATTCCTTTCAGAATTTACATTTAAAAAATGGCCAGTGATGGTCACCTAATTTGATTCACTCTGGGGGACTGTTTATTTGGTGTGAATAAAGCCACGGGTTAGCCTGTGTCTTTGACACACCAGCCATGATCCTGCGGGACTGTGTAGCTGGGAAATTCCCACATGGGGGTTGTCAAATTGTATAAGCTTCATTATTTTCGTTTTCTAGGGATTTATCAAGCCACAAAAGACCAAGCCATTGTTTTGCTGGAAAAGCAGGCAGAAACCATATTCCTTTTTTTTTTTAAAGGGCCTTCGCCGGTCAGTGGAATTTAAATTCCCAAGGGCTATAGCCAAGTGCCATAACTTGCTTCCTTAAGTTATGGATGAGCAAGTCTACAGCAATCGTTGTTTTTCTCAGTTCTTAACATGAGCATAAGGGGATAAAGATCTCTAATACAGAAGCCTTTGAAGGATAGCCAGGTGTGATGCATCATGCCTATAATGCCAGCACTTTGGGAGGCCAAGGCAGGAGCCCAGGAGTTCAAGACTAACCTGGGCAGCATAGTGAAACCTTGTCTCTACAAAAAATTTAAAACTTAGCTGGGCATGGTGGCACATTCTCGCAGTCCCAGATACTCGCAGTGGTCGGGGAGGGACAGGTAGAGCTGGGGGGCAAGGGGAAAGAGAAAGATCACTTGAACTGGGGAGGTTGAGGCTACACTGAGCTGTGATTGTGCCACTGCACTCTAGCCAGGTTGACAGAGCAAGCCTGTCTCAAAACAAACAAACAAAAAACCTTTGACGAATAAAGCCAAAACAGTAGATGAATACAGCATTTCAAAGACCCAGGTGAAGTAAGAAAATGGAAATACAGTAAAAGTAATATTCATTGCCATTTCCCCCCCAAGCATGTTGGTTTTAAATTTTTTTAATTTTAATTTTTAGTTTTTGTGGGTATACAACAGGTGTAAATATGTGTGGGTTACATGAGATATTTTGATACAGGAATGCAGTGCATAATAATCACGTTGGGTAAATGTGTCCACCGCCTCAAGCATTTATCCTTTGTGTTACAAACAATCCAATTATACTCTTCTAGTTATTTTTAAATGTACAGTTATTTTTTACTATAGTCACACTGTTATGTTAACAAATACTAGATCTTATTCATTCTTTCTATTTTTTTGTACCCATTAACCATCCCCACTTCCCCCCACCTACCCCACTACCCGTTGCAGCCTCTGGTAACCATCCTTATACTATCTATGAGTTTAATTATTTTAATTTTTACCTCCCACAAATAAGTGAGAACATGCAAAGTTTGTGTTTCTGTTCCTGGCTTATTTCATTTAACATAATGACCTCCAGTTCCAACCATGTTGTTGCAAATAACAGGATCTCATTCTTTCTTTTGGCTGAATAGTACTCCACTGTGATTAACTACCACATTTTCTTTATTCATCTGTTGATGGACACTTAGGTTGCTTCCAAATCTTGGCTATTGTGAACACTGCTGCAATAAAGTTGGGAGTACAGATAACTCTTTGATATACTAATTTCCTTCCTTTGGGGTATATACCTAGCAGTGGGATTCCTGGATCATATAGTAGCTCTATTTAAGTTTTTTTGAGGAACCTCCAAATGTTGTCCACAGTGGTTGTACTCATTTATGTTCCCACCAACAGCGTACCCGTTCCCTTTTCTCCACATCCTCACCAGCATTTGTTATTGCCTGACTTTTGGATAAAAGCCATTTTAACTGGTGTAAGATTATGATATCTCACTGCAGTTTTGATTTTCATTTCTCTGATGATCAATGATGTTGAAAATTTTTTCATATACCTGTTTGCAATTTGTATATCTTCTTTTGAGAAATGTCTATTCAAATATTTTGTCCATTTTTGATAGGATTATTAGACTTTTTCCTATAGAGTTGTCTGAGTTCTTTATATATTCTGGTTATTAATCCCTTGTCAGATGAGTAGTTTGCAAATCTTTTCTCTCATTCTGTGGGTTGTTTCTTCACTTTGTTAATGTTTCCTTTGCTGTGCAGAAGCTTTTTACAGGTTGTGTTTTATTTCCCCTTTTGATTTATAACCTAGGGCCAGCATTAGAGAATAATAACAGTAATTAGTACTTTAGAGTTTATAAACTGTATTCATATACATTAGCTTATTTGAGTTCCAAAATAGCTGTTATTATTCAACTCATTTTTTTTCAGGATCTGGTCTTTATTATTAAAAGTTATAATTTTAAAAATTTCTCAACATCATTAATACATGGTCAAAAGAAAAATTCAGAAAATCCACAAAAGTTAAAACAGAAATAAATATCCCTGTACCCAAATATCTATTGACCTTTGTCCTACCTTTTATATATTTAGTGCTCTACATTTTTATTACATGTATATTTACTAAAAACAAATACTTTGTCTTTTTTATAACCCATTTCTTACTCAGAATTTTTTCATATCCTTAATTATTATTTTAAATTATTTTAAAGCCATGTTAATTTTAATTTATTTTGTTTTATTTTTAACTACTCTTACTATCATTCCCAAATATTAAAGTAATTTTAATACAGAGAACCCTGAGTCTTAGAGAGGCCAAATGACTCACTCAAGGCAGCTCAGCTAGTGAGATACGGCCTGGACTCCAAGCCCCAAAAACTTGGACTCTATAGCCTATGCTTTGTATTTTATCAGCATAATCTAAAACAAATAGTGTCTTTTTTAAATTTGACCTCCCACAACAATTTAAACTGGTTTATTGATCCCCAAATAATGGAAAATTGACTAAACTTTAACATCAATATCACACCTATAGTCAGTTCAGGAATCCAGAAATCTCTTGGATAGTTCTGCTATTTTTATAACTCACATAAATACCATAAGCTTGACAATACCATAGCCTCTCCAGAAAGCCAAGAGGACATTAACCTAAAATCCGGTCGATTAGTTTTTCCTTATCCCCTGCAAATATGACATCACTGGTATGTGTACCTGATTAATTTTAGCACTTTTTTGTTCCTGTAATAGTCAGTTTAGCATTTATATTTTCTTTTAGATTATTTTTGTTTGCCACCTATCTTTTATCTCTCCCTACCCCCATAATTGGCTCTCCTAATATTCCAGTTTCTTGTTCTAAGGTCCTAGTAGGCATCTAGTACCCGAAGCAAGGATCTTAGAAAATTTCATGCCTCTTTACTATTGGGGAAAAAATAGTTGCAAATTTCTCAACGGTAATAAAAGACTTAAGACAGACTCTTAGTATAAAGTCTAAAAGTTGGCAAAAAACATTTTTAAAAAAATAAAATGGCATTGGCTATTAGTCTAGACAAAGATTTGGATCATTTAATTAAGTAACCACTTGACTTCAAGGTTAAATCCCAAACCATCACCAACAAGGTGTGTTGTGCCAAGTGTTTAGAGGCCTGGAGGAAAACCACAGCTAAGCTGAGTCTTGGGCTATATTTTGGGCTTGGCAGACCTAAGGTGAAAGGGCAAGACATGCTTCATCTGAGCGTTTATCTAGAGCGTACTTAGCATGTTAATCCCCAACTCTTCCATTCAAATTCAGGTAAAGAAACTTAAGGAAACTTTTCTCCCAAATGTGAGGGATTTGTCCTTCCCTTATAATTGTTTATCAATCCAGGAAGAAGAACCTAAAAGGAAAACATTATCCAACCTCATGTCTTCTACATGAACGCTTTCACTGAGTTAAGGGGAGATCACCATATAGGAAAGGAAAGTTCTATTTTTAGCTGGAGAGCTACTCCTATACAAAGACTGGCTGGAACAACATGTCTCCCATTTGAATGCAGAGTTCCTCCCCTCTCATTTTCAGTGCCCCTTGGCTTCATCCTCATCCCTCACACTGTTCTACCCTCCCCTGTTCCTCAAGTTATTGAATCTAAAGATAAGTGAATTACCAGAGGCAAAGGAGAAAGTGAGTAGGAGTCCTACAGGTAATGAGTTTTAATTTTCTTTTTAATCATTACTCACTGTCAGCTTATGACTTAAAACTTATCTTGCCCTTTCTTGCAATGTTTGATAAATTGAACTTCTGATTCCCATCAGCAGATTGAAGGGGGGAGGGGGGAAAAGGGAAGGTGGGCACTTAAAAATTATTGTTGCATTGCAGTGTTTGCTCATTTCAAAATCAGTTTTGCATAAAACAGGAGGGAGGAGAATAAAGCCTTGGAATCTAATGAGATCACTGGACTCTAATAGTCAGAAATATGGGTTCTTCTAGGAGTGAAGAGAACTCCCTTTAAGAGAGCTACTCAAGCAGTAGTGCTGTCTAGAGGGAATATGAGGCTATTTAGTGACAAAGGACAGTAGCTATACAGAAAACAAGACAGCAATCTGAGAGTCAAGATTCGTGGGATATAAGTCCTATCTCTACTACCAACTCGTTAGAACCTAACTTTGGAGGAGTCATTGAGCATCATCTGCAAAGTGAAGAAAATAACATGTTGCCCTGCTTTCCTTCCAGCATGGTAGCTTTCCTACCCTATCATACTGGGAGGAAAGGAGAGTAATCTTACATGTATTCATTTTTTGAATATCAAACAAGATAGGAATGAAAATACTTTATAAATATACAAAAAATGGCCGGGCGTGATGGCTCATGCCTGTAATCCCTGCACTTTGGGAGGCTGAGGCAGGTGGATCACCTGAGGTCAGGAGTTTGAGACCAGCCTGGCCAACATGGTGAAACCCCGTCTCTACTAAAAATACAAAGATTAGCCAGGCATGGTGGTGGCCACCTGTAATCCCAGCTACTCGGAGGCAGGAGAATCGCTTGAACCTGGGAGGTGGAGGTTGCAGTGTGCTGAGATCATGCCACTGCACTCCAGCCTGGGTGATGGAGCAAAGCTCCATCTCAAATATATATATATATTTGTATGTATGTGTGTGTGTATATATATATATATATATAATGTGTATATATGTATAAATATATAATGTGTATATATGTATATATATATATACACATACAAAAAACTGAATACATGTAAGATAGCATGACTGAAATGACTAAGCAGTGGTCTAAGTTAAACTGCTAAAGAGGCTTGCAATAGCACAATTCCATACTATTGAGAGGCTTGATGATCTGAAGCCTGACAAATTTATTTGCAGAAAATCTGGCTTTGCCAGAAACATTGACAGGCCATTTATAGCCAACCCTGTTTTGTTCAGGAGGCTAAAACTATTATGGGTATAAAATACTGAAAAATGTTTTCCCCCCTGTTTTTTAGTTTTGCACCTGGAAGGAAATAATGTAGCTTCTGCATGAATACTAGTGGGATATCATGGGAGACTGTATCATATCATAAGGGGGAATTAGAAGTCCAGAAGTTAGGGAACTTGGGCCAGGGTAAGGAAGGAGTGAAGCACCTGAGTGTATTTATCCCAGAGAAAAAGTGTGATGGAAAGAACACAAATGCTGTCATAAAATATTGGAAAGAGCCATTACAGAGGAAATGATTAGATAGATACTCTGTTCTGGAAGGCACATCACTGGGCACAAAATGAAGTTATTGGATTGAATGATCTCTAAGTTCCCCTAAGTAAACTTCTGGTGCTCTAAAGTTAGAGGAGAGAGGCTGTGGCTCAGCACAAGGGAATACTTTCTGTAAAAATGAGTTTGCCTTCAATGGACAGAGACCTCAATCCCTGGAGACATTTTGACATTCAGAAGGAGGCTGGATAGCCATTTAGGAAGGATGTGGAGGACATGCCTACATTGTCAGGGAAATCAAACTCTATGACAGCAGAGGACTTTCCAATTTAAGATATCAAATAAAAGATATTTAATTGTTTACTAGGGTGTGTTATAAAAAGTGATAAATAAGGGATCTTATAAATCGGGGGTCTGTCTGTGTGTCCTTCATTGTCAGTGGGAATAGCTACGATTTAAGTGGTGATCGTTGTCATTGTCTTCTTTTCTCTTGCTTGGAAAGTGCTAGGAAGGAGCTTTTCTAGTACCTTTGGATTAATAGTCATATTTTCCAATTTATTGTCCTTTTTGTTCTTTATAACCATCTGTGAACAGTTTTTATAGCAGCTACACAACCAAAGTTGCATACTAGCTTGCACCAAGAAAATCCTATACTCAGCCTGGAATGAGGATATCATTGGGTTCTATTTTGCAGATAGCATGTGATAAACTGATTGACAAAGTCTAGAAATAAACCAGGATCATGTTGACATTTAAGAACCTGACAGACAGATGGTACCAGCACAATATTGAGCTCTTAACGAGGTCATAAGCCTATAACAAGTTCTGATGATTTCTGACCTTCTGAGAAGCTATACTGCCTGACTCTAGGACAAAACATTGCTGGATTTTGGAGAATATTTTCATTATCAACCAACTGTAAATTCTCCAAGTCAAAGAATAAGATTAGTAACAGTAAGCCCACTGCACCCTCCACTCACTGACATTGAAGTGAAGTTCATCCCAACACAGTTATGAAATGGCTAAACATGTAAATTTAATACACACAAATTAAAATAACTATTATACGTTAAGCAAGAGGTAGAAGACAGAAAGAAAGGCCAGAAGAAAAAAATGGCTATATTAGGATGCTTTCAGTTGCAAGCAGCAGAAAATTTATCTCAAAATGGCCTAAGCAAAGGGAATTTATTGGCTTATATACTGAAAATTTTAGGCTTAGCTGGCTCCAAGGAGGCAGCTACTGTCAGAACAACGGTCCCACCCCCTCCTATCCCACCTTGATCTCTGTATCTCTCAGCTTGGCTTCGTTCTCAGATTTCCTCTGCCTGGCATCCCCCAGAAGCTCCAGGTTTACATTCTCCCAATTTCAAGTCAAACAGAGACAATACTCTTGCCCAGCAATTTTATCACAAGTTCCTAAGTTGAATTTCATTGTCTTGGCTTGGGTCATGTGCCCTTTCTTTCACTAATGGTAGAGACCTAAAGATGAGTAAGCAGGCCAGGCGCGGTGTCTCCGCCTGTAATCCCCGCACTTTGGGAGGCCGAGGTGGGTGGATCACGAGGTCAGGAGATCGAGACCATCCTGGCTAACACGGTGAAACCCCACCTGTACTGAAAATACAAAAAATTAGCTGGGCATGGTGGCGGGCGCCTGTAGTCTCAGCTACTTGGGAGGCTGGGGCAGGAGAATGGTGTGAATCCGGGAGACGGAGGTTGCAGTGAGCTGAGATCGCGCCACTGCACTCCAGCCTGGGCGAAAGAGCGAGACTCCATCTCAAAAAAAAAAAAAAAAAAAAAAAAGATGAGTAAGTAAGGTCAGCACCTAAACTACACAGAAAGTGGAAAAACTAGGAAAGAAGGGGGAATTAATGTCAGGTGGGCAAAACCACAGATGTCTACTTGCCTAGAACAGCTCAAGAAATGTGGTGACACCATGGATGGCTGTGGAACTGCTAGAGCCCACAGACCCAGGCAGCTGCAGGACCAGAGTTTGCTGTTTTATGAACCGAAGCTTCAGGCTCACCCACCATGGATGAGGATGCAGCAGCTCTAAGAATATCAAGCAATTCTGGGGTCTGGATAGTCTTTAGTCCAAGAAGAGGTGTCAGGCACACTTGGCAAAAGAAGATCCCATGTTCTCAGAGTGGCCTGATCAAGTGTAAGTGCACACACGTTGGAGTTTATTATATTATAGTATTGTCATCTTAGGAAACAAAGGACAACTCTGTGAGAGTATATGGGTGTGCACAGATGTTCATATGCAAGTGCCAGTGACCTTGGTGCTGTATCATTGAGAAAGAAGCCCTTAGAACAGCAAATATAACGCCAAGCAATGGTCCTGGAAATACATCCTTCACATAGCAATGGGGAGAAAAGAGATGCGACAATAAGTATCAAAGAGAGGTAGACTCCTTTCTGAGTGGAGGGATGGGGGTAGAGTGGGGGAGGTAAAATTACTCCTTGGGAAAGAAGGAGAGATACTAGAACACTGCTTCTGCTCCATTTTGGAGATGAGTGAATAGGTCTGGGCAAAGTAAAGCTTTTCAGCAAGTTGAAAAGTCGGTTCTTCAAGGAAGGGAAAAAGCCAAAGTGGGAAAAACAAGGGTAAAATTAGGTTTCTTTAAAGGCCTGAAATGAGCCATTGAGTTTTAGGAGCCATGGATTTGATTTTAAGCACATGAAGCGGGCACTGGCGTGTGTGTTCCTTGGGGCAACCCCTTTTGCCCATTATTACCAGCATTTGTCAAAATAAGGTGTGGATGTGCTTTAAAACAAGCATTTGTATTTTTTCATGCTAAAAAATATTAAAGCCCATCAATGGCTTAGAAGGAAAATTATGTTCCTATCTTCCAGCTCCTTTTCTATGAAGTCCACCAGAAAAAGAAGGAAGAAAGGAAGGGAAGGAGGGAGACAGGGAGGGAGGGAGAGAGGAAAAGAAAGAGAGAACGTTTATGTATTAGTTTGCAAGGGCAGCCATAACAAAGTACCAAAAACTGGGTGACTTACACAGTGAAATTTGTTGTCTCACAGCTCTGGAGGTTAGAAGTCTGAGATGGACTCACTTATATGTGGAATCCAACACAGTTGAACTCACAGAAGCAGAGAGCAGAACAGTGGTTACCAGAGGCTGGGGGTGCTAGGGGGAATGGGGAGATGAGAGTCAAAGGGTAAAGAACTGTTAGATAGAAGGAATAAGTTTGATTTTTTACAAGGTATATTGGACAGTCTCCCAAATATAGCTAATAATTGAGTACAGTACATTATAATATCACTAAGAGAATAAATTTCAAATGTTCTGTCATCACAAAAAAGATAAATATTTGAGGTAATGGATATATTAAGTAGCTTGATTTAATCATTCCACATTGTATTTATAAATTGTAACATCACTTTGTACCCCATAAATATATACAACTATAATTTGTCAATATATAATAAAAATAGAAAAAAAGAAGTCTGAGATGGAGGTGTCAGCATTGTTGGTTCCTTCTGAGGGTTATGAGGGAGAGTCTGTTTCATGCCCCTCCCCCAGCTTCTGTTGGTTTGATGGCTGATAGAAACAACACCCAAGTCTGTGCCTTCATCTTCACATGGTGTTCTCTCTCTGTGGTTGTCTGTGTCCCAGTGTCCCCTTTTGATAAGGACGTCAGTCATATTGGACTAGGGTCCACCTGCCGACCTCATCTTAACAAATTACATCTGCAACAACCCTATTTTCAAATAAAGTCATACTCTGAGGTACTAGGGATTAGGACTTTGATATATGAATTTGATGGGTGGAGCACAATTCAACCCACATCAGTCCATAATATCTGTTCATAGTCCAGAGCTTATAAGCGGCAGCACCTTTTGCTCCAGTGTTAGAATGCTAGAGCTAAATATATGCTTATTACAGTGATTGGGGGTTGGGGAGGAGGGGGTAGGTTTCAGAATTCCCTTCTTCTCATCACTGAGATCATCATCCTGATTACTAATGGATATAAAACCAGAATCTTCAGCTTGAATGATTTATATAATCTTTTAGAGCAACAAATTGAAGAAAAATCAAAATTCTTTTTGTATAAAAGGGACTGATTCTTTAACTTTCCAATGGGAGAGAAAACCATTTGTCACTTTACTTTCAATAAGGACAAAAAAAATAGTATTCTCTCCATTTCTCTTTTCTGAGGGAGATGTATGGGAAGGGAGTGGGTTAATTCCTAGTTTGACTTTTGAGAGCAACTTCTCCTGTTGCTCATACAAACCAAGTGATGACATGCCATTGGAAATGCCCACTTGCCCAGTGTGAGTGAGGCTTTGTGCTGAACAAAAGGAAGACAGCTCTACATTAAACCACAGGTCCTTTGTGGGGCAGACAAGAATAACATGCATGATTGCAACCCATAAATAATATACTGCATATCATCTGCATTTTGTCTACTCTTTAGGACAGAAGCAGCTATTGCTCGACAAGTTAGTGTTAATGCTTTACTCCTAATTCCAGGGCCAAGTCTTGCAGAGAGTGGTGTTTCCCTGCACTTCTTCCTCTCCCTATATTTTCAGTCCAGCCAAGCATAAATAAGTGGGCAATTTCTATCCTGATCGCTGAAGCTCTAAAGATAGGGCACTGAACCCACTAAATGATGAATACATGCCATATGGAGCTAACGGCAAGTTCCAATGCAAATTATCACCGTATTGCTCTCTGCAATGCAGATAAAAAGTCCCTTGTGTCATCTCTTTGTACTGAGCTGTGTGTATCTGGAAACAGCTAAAACCACTGAGAAAAGTGGAACATTTTATTTCATCTGAAAAGGACTGGGTATCGCTTGCATTAATGGTAAGCGAATGTTTTAAAAACATTATTTAATATTGCACACCATTTATTTCATTTGGAATCTCTTATTTTAAACACATGTTTGAATCCTTTCGGCCAGCTGTATTAACAGTGCAGTGCAGTGTACAAAAGTTGTCAAAAGACCCTGGTTTGGGTTCCTTTAAAGACATAAATATTTGTCAAGCACTTACTATGTACCAACAAGTGTTCTAGGTACTTTACATAAGTTACATCATTTACTCCTCATAACAACTCTAAAGACAAGCCCTATTATCCCCACTTTATATATAAAGAAACCATTCAACTGGTAACTAAAAGAGCTGTATTCAAATCCACACTGCCAACCCAAAGTCTACGCTCTTTCCACCACTTAATGCTACCTCCTGTCTTCAGCTGTTTTGACTTGAAGCAGACATAAATCCTCTCCAGGTCTCTTTTTCTTTATTCTTAAACAGGAGGATTGAATTAAATATTCTCTAAGATCCCTGCCAGTTCTAAACACTGTCTTTCTATGATCATTTCCCCTTTAATTTATAAGATGAAAGTAAACTTTTTATTTAAATACTGTCTTTCTTCTTCAAACCCAAAGGCATTTTTCCTATTGATGGAAGGAGGTAGAAAACCTTCGTTTTGAATATTGGAAATAATAAAGTTCAGAAACTGTTTTGCCTTGAGCTCATCTCCCTTGTTCACCTATGTGAAGTCTTCTAGTAGTACAAAAGAGATGTAGGAAAATCCCAGTTGTACTAGCAGAAGTCTGAAGTTCCCAGATAATCTATAGGTGGGTCGTAATAGATGGGTTTCCCATCTGTGTAGAAGTATAAACTGTTTAGGAATTCCAAGTAGCCACTTATTATTTGCCTAATTTTCTAGGTATTTCTATCTAGGTTCAATACAAATGCATTGTGATTTGACATATCAATTTCTCAGTGAACTCTCCCAATTTTTTTTGTGGATTGATGTGCCAATCTAAGTACGAGAGTCCAGCTATGTTCTATGAAATGGTTTGTAAGGGTTCCAATACAAAGAAAAAAGATATTCCTTTAAAGATACTGCTAAAGACTCCAGAATCTGCACAGACCCGCTATGAAAAGATCAAGGAGACAAGAGTTAGTGTGTCCTTATAAAGTATGAGGTTGAATAGATTGAAAGAAAGATAGTAAGAGTGAGTCAGTCCCAAAGTAGTTACTGTCAAAGTTTTCAAGTGAAATGAGCTGATAGGTGGCTTCTTTACCATACTGGATAAGTACATTAACTATCAGATGTGCCTACTTTTGAAAGAAGAGAGGGACTTTCATAGACAAGTAGACTCTGGAAATTATTCCTCAGCTTTCTTTCTCACTGGAACTTAACTTTCACAAAAGCAGCAAAGTGATATATCCAGTAGTATATTTTTAAAAATGAATTATCTCTCTTGGGCTCTGATTTTTGGTTTGAGAGAGAATTACTGAATAAAGTAATTTAATATTGGATGTAAAAATTGGATATTTCCAATAGCATGAGAGAGTAATGCCATCTCCTTCCTTACAGTTTGTAAATTTAATCAGCAATGTTATATACTCTACGCTCCCCTCAGAAGCAACAGAAAGGGAGGGAATCAGTATTTACTGAGTATCTTCTATGTGTTGGACATTTATTTTATTTTATTAAAAATTTTTTTCATTGACACATAATTATACATCTTTATGGGGTACATAGTGATGTTTTGTATATGTATAACATATAGTGATCAGATCAGGGTAATTCACTATTATCTCAAACATTTATCATTGCTTTGTATTGGGAACATTCAATATCCTCCTTCTATTTAAAACTACATGTTATTATTAAATGCAGTCATCCTGCAGTGTTATAGAACACTAAAACTTATTCCTTCTATTTAGTTGTAATGTTGTATCCTTTAATAAATCTCCCCCTATTCCCCTCTTTCTCTTATGCTTCCCAGCCTCTAGTATCTTCTGTTCTACTTTTCACTTCTATGAGATCAACTTTTTTTTTTTAGCTTCCACAGATGAGAACAGGCAATGTTTAACTTTCATTCATCACTTTGCCTTTCCTCCTACCCAGGCTAATCACAGAAAAAGCATAAGAAACCAAACACTTCTGAAATGGGCAAATCAAAATGAGATCATTTTTTTCATCTTCTTCACAAACTGGAAATTGTACATTAATCCCCCTTTTTGGTCGAGGAGTGATGCAGGACTACATGCAAGTTTTGGAATGACTCTTCTGGCTTTGCTTCATGAAGGGTCCTGGTATGCATACTGAGAAGGTCATTTTAATAAAACCCCAAGTAAGAATGTGTGCATCCCATTACTCAGGAGTCCCAGAATTGCATGCATATGTTTGAATCATTTGAAGCCTGTTATTTTTTAATAGTCACTAAGCCAGCACAAATATTTTAAAAATTAGAAAGAACTTTCAAAGCCTATAGTTATTTTTATCAAAGTGCCTTTAAATGCAATAACTCAAGTCAGTTGGTCTGATTGAAACACAGAAACTTCAGTGCCTCCTCAGTGAGCTGTGGAAACAAGAAATATCAGTATGTATAACCTAAATAGAGAAAAAATCAAATATGACAGAAATAAAAGGAGGCTGGTTCAGAATCTATTATGATATATCTTCATGAAACAAAAATAGCTATTACTGAAATAATTTTTTAGGCTTGGTGTGGTGGCTCACGCCTGTAATTCCAGCACTTTGGGAGGCCGAAGTGGGCAGATCGCTTGAGGCCAGGAGTTCAAGACCTGCCTGGGCAACACAGTGAAACCCTGTCTCTACTAAAATTACAAAAATTAGCCGGGCATTGGTGGCACACACCTGTAATTCCAGCTACCCGGGAGGCTGAGGCAGGAGAATTGCTTGAACCCAGGAGGTGGAGGTTGCCGAGAGGTAACCGAGGTCTCGGAGATAACCGAGATTGTGCCACTGCACTCTAGCCTAGGCAACAGAGCAAGACTCTGTCTCAAAATAATAATAATAATAATTTTAAAAATTGTGTCTATTTTCATTAACAAGAATCCAAATCTTATGGCTATATTATGATTACATTATTATCAAATTCTGACTTTTTCCTGATGAAACCATTTGATTGCATGTTTATTTGTTCTTGTGTTTAAAGTGACGTTTTAGTCCTTAATGGATGAATGATAAAGTATACACAGAAAGCATTAATAGTTACTACTAAAAAGCAGTAGTGTTTATAACTTTAGGAAGTGAAAAAGAGTTATCAGGCTTTGTTAGTCTTTCATATTTCTTCTTATGACAGAATCTGCATGAATGTTTTTAAAGTTTCTTGGTTCATAAGAGAACTGTGCTAAGTCCACTTTTTAATCACATTTGGTATTGTCTATAATAGTTGAAGTTTCAGGCAGACCTGCTGAAGAGTAGAAGGACTGGGCCATCTTTCAATAATCTGGGAGGCTGTGAAAGCAGTCTAGTTAACAGTCACCTGCAGCATAGCACTTAGCAGACAAAGCCTCTGGGTGCCTCCTTGGGGGTAGCAGAAAAAGCCCAACTGGGGATGATGGAGTATATGTGTCTTTAAAAATAGGGGTTTTGAAGTGAAAAAAATAATTGTTGTGGCTGGGCACGGTGGCTCACGCTTGTAATCCCTGCACTTTGAGAGGCCGAGGGAGGTGGATCATGAGGTCAGGAGTTCAAGATGGACCTGGCCAAGATGGTGAAACCCTGTCTCTACTAAAAATACAAAAATTAGCTGGGTGTGGTGGTGGGCACCTGGAATCCCAGCTACTTGGGAGGCTGAGACAGGGAGAATTGCTTGAACCCAGGAGGTGGAGGTTGCAGTGAGCCGAGATCATGCCACTGCACTCCAGCCTGGGCGACAGAGCAAGACTCCATCTCAAATAAATAAATTAATTAAATAAAAAAAATTGTTATACAAGATTGAGTAAGACTGTGAACAAATACCACTTACAAAGCCACATAAGGCTCTCATAACCAAGAATGGATGGTTTTTAAACTTTGTCTCCTACCAGGGAGACAAAGTCCTTTGCGCCCCTCAAGAAACACTTAACTAACCATATGGATTTAGTCAAGGTCAGGAAACTGAGACAGAATGAAAAAGAAATAAGAATCCCACTGGACACCTATTTCAAAGGAAGGATTTTGCCCTCTCCCCATACACCAATCAAATTTGAAACCTGCAGTGTTTAGAATTTTGTCACTGATCTTAGCTGATATGAAAATGCCAGGGAGAGGAGACAGGTGCTGTGATGACAAATGCATTTGTACAGTTCTAGATGTTTGCTATTATTGGCAATCTTTTGGAAGATCAAATCAAGAGCCCTTGCGTGCCCTCAGGTTAACTTAGAAAGTTGTTCCATCTAGAAAGAGGGCTTTAATTTTTTGAAAGAGTGAACTTGCCTCCAAGCCAATTAAAAATGCCCCTTTCTTTTTATCCTTCATAAGCTGACTGTGTTAGTTAGAATTAAATATCTTTATATGTGACAGAAAAAAATCCCACCAAAATAACTTTGTCTTATATGATTACTTCTGTCTCATATGAAAGAAGTCTGGTGATAGGCAGTTCAGGGCAAATGTAGTGCCTCTACAAATTTGTGAGAGACCCAGGCTTCTTCCAGCTTGATACTTTGCCATCCCTTATCCTCATGGTCCAAGATAGTCGCTAAAGCTCTAGCCAACCCATCTGTATCCCGTCAACAGAAAGGAAAGGCACACTCCCTCCCTTGGAGGAGACTTTCTAGAAGTTATACACAAGACTTAGCCAAACTTAGGCACATAGCCATATCTGGTTGTAAAGGAGGCTGGCAGGTCATTAGCTGAGTGAAAATGGCTCACTTAGAAATTGGGGTTTTTATTTCTAGAGAAGAAAAAAGGAGAATGGGTATTGACAGGCAACTAACAATATTTGCTTCTGAACTCCTCCAGACCTCCTAAATTTTCCCCTCAACTGAAAATCCTCTAATCCACTACCTTAATTTTACTGATAAATGAACAGAATGGTGTTAAACCTAAGTGACTTGTCCCAGGCTGCAGGTTGGAGGCCAGGAAAAACTAGAACCCACATCTCAAAACTTTAAGAGTAGGGAACATTCATATTTTAAATTTCTGTATTAGAATATTATATTTTGCTGAGCTCTAGCATATTCAGTTTTCTTGTGACTTTTAGTAAAATGTGGCTGCAGTGGTTTCTTTCTATATCGTTTTATTTTTCTTAATGGCTTTATTGAGATATAAATCAAATACAGTATCTCCTAGTAATAGTGTACAATTTAGTGGTTTTTAGTATGTTCAGAGTTGTGCAACCATCATCACTATGTAATTTTAGGTCATTTTTATCGCTTCAAAAAGAAGCCAATATTTATTAGCAGTAACTCCTTCATGTGCCTGAACTTTCTGTCTCTGTGGATTTGTCTTTTACGGACATTTCATATAAAAGTAATCATACAATATGTGTCTTTTGCAACTGGCTTCTTTCACTTAACATAGTTTTCAAGGTTCATCCATGTTATAGCGTGAATCAATGCTTCATTCATTTTTATTGCTGAAAAATATTCCATTGTATGATAATGCCACATTTTGTTTATCCATTCATGAGCTGATAGAATTTGGGTTTCTTCCACTATTTGATTATTATGAATAAAGCCACTGTGAACACTTATGCACAAGTTTTTGTGTGGACATATGCATCCACTTCTCTTTGGTATTTACCTAGGAGTGGTATCACTGAGTCATAGTAGCTCTACATTTACCATTTTGAGGAATTGCCAAACTGGTTTTCAAAAGTGGCTGTTCCTTTTTACAATCTTGCCAGCAAGGTATGAGGGCTCCAATTTTATTGCATCCTCATCAACCCTTGTTATTGTCTGTCTTTGATCTTAAACCATTTTAATTGGTGTAAAGTAGTATCTTACTGTGGTTTGGATTCCCATTTCTCTGATGGCAAATTATATTGAACATCTTTTCAAGTGCTTGTTGGTCATTTATATGTATATCATCTTCAGATAAATGTCAATTTAAATTCTTGGCCAATTTTCATTATATTTTGTATTATAATTTTTTTTTAATTTTTGTGGGCACATAGTAGGTGTATATATTTATGGGGTACCTGAGATACTTTGATATAGTCATATAATGTGTAATAATCACATCAGGGTACAAGCATTTATCCTTTGTGTCACAAACAATACAATTATATTCTTTTAGCTATTTTAATGGGTGTAAAAAATTATCGTTGACTGTAATCACCTCTTGTGCTATCAAATACTAGATCTTATTCATTTTGACTATATTTTTATACCCATTAATTATCCTCATGACCCCTACCCCTTTCCCCTACTACCCTTCCCAGCCTCTGGTAACCATCCTCTATCTCCATGAGTTCAATTGTTTTAATTTTTAGCTCCCATAGATAAGTGAAAACATGTGCAGTTTGTCTTTCTATACCTGGTTTATTTCACTTAACATAATGACCTCCAGTACCATCTATGCTGTTGCAAATAACAGTATCTCATTCTTTTTTATGGCTGAATAGTACTCCATTGTGTATAACTACCACATTTTCTTAATCCATTCATCTGTTGACGGACACTTAGGTTGCTTCCAAATCTTGGCATTGTGAATAGTGATTCAATACACATGGGAGTGCAGAGATCTCTCCAATATACTGATTTCCTGCCAATTTTTAAAGTGTATCATTTGTCTGTCTTTGAGCTTGTAATAATTCTTCATATATTCTAGATACAAGTACCTTATCAGATATATGGTTTGCATATATTTTCTCCCATCTGTTGGTTATTTTTTCACTTAAAATGGATACGTAATAATTGTATTTATTTATAGGATACATGTGTGTTTTTGACAAGTGCATACAATGTGTAGAGGTCAAATCAGGGCAATTGGGATATCTGTCACCTCAAATATTTATCATTTCTTTGTGTTGGCAACATTCTAAATCTTCTGTTCTAGCTACTTTGAAATATACTATAAATTCTTAACTATAGTCACCCTACTGTGCTATCAAACAATAGAACATATTCCTTCTAGTGAATTTTATTTTTGTATCCATTAACCAACCTCTCTTCTCCCCTCCCGACTACACTTCCCAACCTTGGGCTACTACCATTCTACCATCTACCTCCAGAAAAATCAACTTTTTAGCTCCCACATATGAGTGAGAACATGTAATATTTGTCTATCTTCATTTTCTTGATGGTGTCTTTGAGGTATAAGATTTTAAAATTTTGATGAAGTCCAGTTTATCTGTTTTTTTCTTTTGTTGCTCTTGCTTTTGTTACTGTATCTAAAAAACCATTGCCAAACCCAAAGCTATGAAGATTTATTTGTTTTCTTCTAACAGTTTTATAGTTTTAGCTGTTAACATTTAGGTTAATGATACATTTTGTGGTAATTTTTGTATTTGGTTGTTTCTGTACTGTTAATTTTCAAAGAACATTAAAGAAATTATTGCAAGTCATGGGTATCACTCCTTAAGGGCGTTCTTTTTCATTCATACTGGAAAAGATTAAACTCTTTGGGCTAGATTGCCATTGAAGTTATCAACAATATACTCTAGAAAGTGCAATATGTTCTATTAATGCTTTTTAAATTGATCTATAATTACTCTCCTTTTTAGCACTTGGTATAAACAATTGAATTAGGAACTGGTATATTTAGGAATGATATCTTATATCTTACTAAAAGACATCATTCTGCCTTCATGTTTTCTATGGGAATTGTGACTATAAGTTTTCAATTTTTAGTTGATCAGAAAAATTAAGGCTAGACAAAAATCACCAAAAATAGCACTCCCTCCCATGACAAAAAAAAAAAAACTTCTTAAGACAGCAAAAACTAGATAATAATGGAAACAACTGTGGAGAAACTCTTACTGCCTTTTAAAATGTCACAAACATATCCTTGTATTAAGGGTAGACATTTAAAAAAATGACCAAATTAGAGCTGGAAGGGGTCTTAAGAGCTTATTTCTTCCAGCACCTCACCTCCAGTAGCCAACTATCATTTTCCCATTCCCATTTTACAGATGAGGCAAATGAAGCAACTCTCTCTGCTTCATCTCCTGGCTTCCTCTGTTTTGGCTTTTTTCTTCGACTTGCTCCAGTGGAGGTCCCTGGCAGCAGGATACCTATCTTTATAGCAATCAGTCCCAGAGGAAAGAGCTTGTCTTTCCTAATAATTCTACCAATATTCCCAGAATTTTGTATGTTTATGTCACACATATATGTATATGTAAGTATATGTATATGTCATATATAAGAGGGGAAATAAGAGAGGAGCTAAACATGAGCCAGAATTAGAGGATATGAGGAAAACGCCCAGCAGAATCATGAAATTCACAGTCCTAAAGCAATTCAAGTACAAAATAAAATGTCAGTGAAGACTGGGTGCAGTGGCTCATGCCTATAATCCCAGCACTTTGGGAGGCCAAGGCAGGGAGGGCGGCTTGAGCCCAGGAGTTTGAGACCTGGCAACATTGGCAAAACTCCATTTCTACCAAAAAAATACAAAAATTAGGTGGGCATGGTGATGTGTGCCTGTGGTCCCAACTACTCGGGAGGCTGAGGTGGGAGAATCACTTGAGACCAGGAGGTCGAGGCTGCAGTGAGCCGTGATCACACCACTGCACTCTACTCCGGATGACAGAGCGAGACTCTGTCTCAAAAAGAGAAAAAAAAAGTCAATGAAAGGTCAATGAAAACTCATCCTTCTGTTTATGTTACAAAATTCAGAAGACATTCTAGAAATAAAACGTTTTGTGAAAGAAGATTCTTTAATCTCTCAACTGGAGTGTATCAATGGGCAGAATAGATCCAGAATCAGAACACATTAGATGAACCAGTAATTGATTTATTTGGGGGAGAGTTTCCATTTTTGTCAATTGGATATGATTTATAATCAGAAACTATAGATGGAAAGCTTTTAGATAGCGAGAGAACATTTTAAAGATTATGGAATGATGGCTTATACAATATCTTCGATCTAAAACTACAATTATACACGTTTAATCCTTATTATTTTTATTTATTTTTGAAACAGAGTCTCACTCTGTCTCCCAGGCTGGAGTGCAGTGGTGCAGTCACCACTTGCTGCAGCCTCAACCTCCCAGGCTCGAGTGATTCTCCCACCCCAGCCTTCCAAGTAGCTGGGACCACAGGCGTGTGCCACCGCACCCAGCTAATTTTTGTATTTTTTGTAGAGACAGGGTTTTGACACGTTGCTCAGGCTGGTCTCAAACTCCTGAGCTTAAGTGATCCTCCTGCCTCAGCCTCCCAAAGTGCTGGGATTACAGGCATGAGCCACCATGACCAGCCTAATCATTATTTTTTATTGTAAAAAAAATACAAAGGAAATTAAAAAAGAAAACGTATCACATAATTTTTACATTAACATAAAGCTGTTTGTGTAATCTCTTTGAAGTTTCCCTCCCTCCCTCCCTTCCTTTCTCTCTCTCTCTCTCTCTCTCTCTTTCTTTCTTTCTTTGCTTTTTGAGACAGAGTCTCACTCTGTCACCCAGGCTTGAGTACAGTGGCACGGTCTTGGCTCACTGCAGCCTCTTCCTCCCAGGTTCAAGCAATTCTCCTGTCTCAGCCTCCCAAGTAGCTGGGATTGCAGGCGCTCACCACCACACCTGGCTAATTTTTGTATTTTTAATAGAGACAGGGTTTCACTGTGTTGGCCAGGCTGGTCTACCCACCTTGGCCTCCCAAAATGCTAGGATAACAGGGGTGAGCTACCATGCCCAGCTTTTTTTTTTCTTTTCCTTTTTCTTCTCTTTTTTCTTTTTCTTTTCTTTTCTTTTTTTTCTTCTTTTTTTTTTTTTTTTTTTTTTTGAGACGGAGTCTCACTGTGTTGCCCAGGCTGGAGTGCAGTGGCGCTATCTCTGCTCACTGCAAGCTCCACCTCCCGGGTTCATGCCATTCTCCTGCCTCAGCCTGCCAAGTAGCTGGGACTACAGGCGCCAGCCACCAGGCCCGGCTAATTTTTTTTTTGTATTTTTAGTAGAGACGGGGTTTCACTGTGTTAGCCAGGATGGTCTTCATCTCTTGACCTCGTCTTCCACCCTCCTTGGCCTGCCAAAGTGCTGGGATTACAGGCGTGAGCCACCACGCCTGACCTTTTTTTCTTTTTTAACATTTAAAAAATCACAGAACACATACAAGACAAAAAACAACCTTTAATTATTCTATCTCTAAGGATATCTAGGAAGAAGCTAAAATATTTCTGAGGAAAAGACAGTGAAAATAGGCCTTTGTTTTCTTTTTTAAATTTTTTGATAATTTAAGGAGTGAAAAGGGAAATTAAATAGGATGGGTGTGTTTGTTAAAACTCTGTCACATTCTTAATGACCATTACACTCTTGAAAGTTGCATGTGAGCTCAAGGGAATATGTTAATCAGATTGTTTTGGCTGATGTTTAACAGGTTGCAGATCATTTCTCTCAGACAATGTAATTTCAATTTTGGCATGTGTTAGTTTTGCATATTTGTAGTTACAATCATGTTGCCTTATAGACATAACTTAAAAAAATCAATGTCTCTATTCAGTAAATCATAAAAATAATAATGTAAATACTACAATTCAAATTTTAAAAACATAAATTGTAAACAGGACTCCAGTGCAAATATAGATTATAAATTTGTATGTGTTCTGACAAGTCTCTATGTGACTTTGCACAAGCAGCCACAACAAAAGGAAAGAGCTGGAAGTACAATAATACACATCTGATAATTGGATTTTATTGAGTGGGTGATCCTTTTATGTTAGTCCCCAGCACATTGTCTTTTATAACACTTTTCTCAGGTTTTTTGTCATTGTTAAACAAAGCACGGTCACCTCTCATCAACTGAAATTTTCTAAGGGAAATACTAAACAATGACTTCTAATAGAAGAGAAATATGAGCTCCAGGAGGACAGGGATTTTGTCTTTTTTATGTGCTGCATTCCCAATACCTACCAGAATGCTTTGACCTTAATAATTATTCACTGAATATTTCTTAATAAATTAACAGATTTTTCACTAAAAATATCATCAAAGAAAATCAAAATGAAAAAGCTATCATTCAAAGTTGTACTCTTGAACCTGTTGCCTTAGAACTTGCAAAGTCAACTGAAAGTTAATAAGATATTATTAAGGGAAATTAATAAGAGAAAACAGAATGAACTATTGGCAAAACTGATCCAGTAACATTCTTGGGCATACATCCATAGCATACAATGTTGAAGACCAGGTCCCATTATACACGCTGTGCAGCAATTTCATGTTACAGCTCTATATGTGTTAGAGAGAAGTACTCAACAAGTTGGTCTTTTTATCACTGACAAGTCACTGCAGGATTTTGGTAATTGTTATCTTGTTCAGCTGTAGGCTGGACAAGACACATGGCAAACAAACTGATTGGCACAAGGTAGTTTTGTGAATAGCTAGAAAGAGTGTTATTACAAGAATAAGAGAAGTTGAACAGTTAACAATATGCCTCCTATTCTTGCTTTAATTGTTCAAGAAAAGAGTGAATATTTCAAATATAATCAAGTTGTGACCTTTAAATATGCTCTTTTTAGCATGTGTTATGTGAAGAAACATGCACAAGTATAACACTCTCCTTTTCCACACTGAAGTATGCTGGTTAGCAGGTGCTCACACATTTTTGAAATGAGAAATGGGACACTGATAATGCAAGACAGTTGTTTCAAGGGGCTCTCTCAATATAGGTAACTCAGTACTATGTTCAATATCTAAAACAGACTCAACTTATTTCAGGGATAAAATATTGTGATTTTTAAAATTTTAAAGATAGCAGGATTTCTTCGGAAGATTGAACTATGGCACAAAAACCTGACTTGCTCAACACTTGAATTTCTTTTCTTGGAGAAAGAGATCAATGATGCATTATTGGGAATATTTTAAAATAGCATCCAAAAGTTGTGACAG
Source organism: Homo sapiens (assembly GCF_000001405.40). Classification (NCBI taxonomy): domain Eukaryota; kingdom Metazoa; phylum Chordata; class Mammalia; order Primates; family Hominidae; genus Homo; species Homo sapiens. The sequence continues at coordinate 62,698,631 of NC_000002.12, forward strand.
AATATGAAGAAATATCCAGCGGCTCTCACAAAGTCATCTTTGCTTCCCAGGCTACGTTCTGATCACTGTAAGCCCAGTCACTAATTGGGTGACTTGCTGTGAAAAGAGAGGCCTGGAACAATATTGCAGCTCTCTCTGGCTCTCATGTTATTGCCCTTGCCCTGGAATTTTTCTCTATCTTGCCCTGCCCAGAAGATTGCCCAAACTGTGCATGAGTTAATCCTGCCCTTTGAAAGCTGGGTTTATTTTCCAGCTCTACTCATCTGGGACAAGCTTCAGCAACAGGGCTACTTTCCCTTGGCTCATGCCCAGTGCCCTGGTAAGTGGAGTTTTGCCTGCTTTCAGCTTGCTTTGAAATTTTGCTTTTTGTGTGTGTGTTCTTTGTACTGTATGGGATGGAAGTGCTTTGGTTTTACACCACAAGGGTTGTAGTCAATGCCCTCCAAGATTATGAATTTCTACCAGCTTTTCTTTGCCTTTCCTGTCTAGCCTTATTATTTCAGAATGATATTAATTATATTATCTTGCTCATACAAATATAATCATCTATGAATTATTCAGAGGAAAACACTGGCTGGATGCTGTATCTGGTTACCTGGATTTTTTTTCCAGTTTTTGAAAACACAGAAGAAGTGAAGCAAAGGTCAGTCTACCCCTTATAATTTGCCAAAGGCTCTTAACATTTCATGGGAAATGACCAGTAAGTCTTGGTCAAGAATCCCTGCTGATTTTATAGGAGATGAATTTATTGAATTTAGCAATGACTTTCTCAGCTGAGGTCTTAATTCCAACTCAAATCTTTGCTGCTATAATCCCAGTAATGGCCCACTTATTTGCAATATGTAAATTATCTCAGCTAGCTGCTTTTACCTTGACATACACATTTGTGGACTGGGACTTCACCATTATGAAAGTATCTTAAGTAGTTAGAAGGCTTAGATTGAGAGGATGCTATAGACCAGCAAGGGCACTCTAGAGTTAGGGCTGGTATTTAGTTAGTCCACAAAGGGACAACTAGGCCAACGTTTACAGTTGTCATCCATTCTAACTGATCAATGCCTATGCCATGTTGTTAACACACTGAATGTCCACACTTTGAATATCATTGTTGCCTGCAATATAAAGATTTCTAAGCTTCTAGTCATTCACTGTGTTGCTCCAGATTAACAACAGAAGTTAGTCCTGCCGAATCACCAGTGGATAGAATCTGTAGATTTGCTTCAGTCTCTACCTGAGTTTCAAGGAAGTCAAGAATGCTCCTCTGCCTCTAGCAACCAAGCCCATGTTGGTCTTTTCTAGATGCTGTGGAGCTGGACAAAATTGTATTTTTAGTATACAACTGAGGTCCTAGAATTAGTGCAATCTTAGGTTCAATGTGCAAAGCTTCATTATGACTAACTTCAAATATTCGTTCATGGGTAACTGCAACAGAAACAATTTCACCAAAGAATACTGTTCCTAATTGAAAGATGGTTTTCTAATGCAGCTTTTCTAAGCTTTTATGTCAACCAAAGAACTTGGGTCCTATAATGATAGAGTAAAAAAAAAAGGCCACCTTTTAAGAGAATAAACATAGGTTTTAAATTATTTTATTAAGAGTTATTATTTAAGGTTATATAACAGGCATAAATCTCAATCTAAAGAAATTCAGGTTGGCAAGAAACACAGTTTTATTTTCCCATTACTCAACCTAATTTCTATTTCAAGCTTTGATTTCACAAGGGGTGGCAAACACTTAATCATAGTCAATTTGGCAGGAACTGCATCTCAATTGAGGGGGCTTACATAGCATCACTATGTTGGGGGAAGGGGATGGGGCATTTAATCCTTGCTTCTCATCTACTATGCTGGCTCCTCTTAGAGTTCTAATATTCATCTTCATTAGCAGCCAGCTCCATGGATTGTTGCTGGGTTGATTTTGGATCATCAGCAAGGACTCTTTTGGTCTGGTGGCTGTGCAGTGCCTCTGTACCCCTCTGGGTGTCTGGAAATTGTGTTGGGCATCCAGAACCTCCACAGTACTATGTAAGTTTGCACTGTCCATTATGGTAGCTACCAGCCACATGTAGCCAATAAATAAATTAAAATTAAATAATATTAAAACTCAACTTCTTCAGTGACACTAGCCACATTTTGCATGTCCAGTAGTTCCAAGTGGCTCATGGCTACTCCATTGGACAGCCATGTAGATATTCATCATAGAAAGTTCTACTGGACTGTGCCACTCCAAAATCTTGGCTGGCCTAGATAACAACCCAGTTTTTTCTTCTCTTAAGGGTCTTGCCACCTCCCCAGGACTCTAATAAGGAGAAAAATATTTCTATTAGCTCTCAGATACCATAGATAGATCCTATCATTTCAGCTGCCCTTCTCCCAAGTTTGTGCCAGAATAGGGTGGGATTAGGTCCTGCTCTCAGAAATCCACTAGCATCCAGCTCTCATTACATCCCCTCCAAGTTCTGTCTTTCCCTTCCAGCCCAGGAAACTCATTTCTCATCTTTGGGAAAGGAAGCTTTACTATTGTCTGTAACAGCACTGTCCAATAGGAATATAATGTGAGGCATATATATAATTTACATTTTTCCAGTAGCTGCATTAAAAAAGAGTAAAGGAACAGGTAAAATTAATTTTACTGTCTTTAATAAACCCAATATAGCCAAAATATTATTTCAATATGTAATCAATATAAATATTATTAATGTATTAATCTTTTTTGCATACTAAGTCTGAAATCAGTATATATTTTATACTTATAGCACATCTCAATTGGGACTAGCCACATTTCAAGTATTCAATAGTCACATGTGGTTAGAGGCGAACAGTGCAGGTCTCTAACAGGATTCCATTTCATTATTCCTCAACAGGTTAGGCTTTTGAAACTCAAAAACCAATAAAAAATTTTTTGTTTTTCTACATTCTGTTATATTCCTTTGCTGTAACAATGAGCAAAGACCGGCCTAAATGAGGGTGAGTGCAATGCTGAGGATCTTGGGGTGGGGTATAAGAGGAGAAAAGCCATAGCAAGAAAGGAAATATTTAACACTTGGAAAAACAACTACTACAGAAACCATCAGTTAAAATTTTAAAAGTATTGGCCTGCCACAGTGAGATTTTAAGGACATAAAAATTGCTATAGGATTGTTGGAAGTAAATTTGTCTGCTGTGGGTTTAAAACAATTTCATTAGCAGTTAAAAATTGCAGTAATATTGTTGTGTATAGTATAACCACTATGGTAACTGGAAAAAAAAAATACAAAAACCTACAGTGTTATTATTGGGAGCAAATCTTATTACTAGGAATACGGCACAGATAAATTCCATTAGTGGATAAATCCTGCAATAATACCTCTGACAATTTTTACTGCAATAACTGTAAAACCCAAAGATAAGAATTTTATCACCAGGAAAGATAATAGTAATTCAAGCCTATGGTTGCATTTCATAGTCTTGAATCTCCATTTGGGGAGTTTCTGAGGCAGTGACTAAAAAAGCTGTTTCACTGAAAATAATTTCTGTCATTTTCAAAATTGTCATGGCAGAGAAGATTTAAAGTTTTTGGATGCCATTTTCCACTTATTTCTTTGTATTCTATCTTCATTTTAAGCTTGATGATATTTAAAGGCAAATTTTAAATTATTTTAAATGTTGCATCTTCTGTTAAGTAAAACATTTTGCAGTCAACAACCTGGGTCAAATGGACAGGATAATTAATGTAACTTGCATTAAACCTGGGACAGAGGGAGACGATAAATCAAGATCCGAGTAAATAGGGAATTAGAAGGGGGCAGACACAGTGGGCAATCCTGGAAGTGGGAGGGTGAGTAGGAGGTACCTGTTGGTTGGTAGGGGAAATGGGACCTTAAGAAAAGGGTAACTTCTAGCATGCCAAAAGTTCTCAGCTAATATATGACATAAGGAGTTGTCATGAGGATTGAGGATAAGTGCATTCTTAGTAATTATTATAAAATCCTGAGTCCACCTAAATTATTGCTGTTCCAGTCTTGGTACCAATTGAATTAATGGGAGATAAATAATATTGAATGTACTCTTTAAGACTCTTTAGTCCTTGAGGTAGCGATGTTTGGCACTAAGTATTGCCCAAGTATTCTTGAAGGTCTGTTTTGTTCTTTTCTGTCTTGTTTATGTTTGCTACCAAACACAATAGCATATGCTACTAGTTACCATTTGACTGTTTACTATGTGCCAGATACTTTATGTACATATCTTCCATTTTCTCAACATCCCAGAAAGGTAGGCATGATTATGTTTTACAGGATCATGCTTTAAGAAGCTGGGACTCAGAGAGGTTAAGTAACTCGTGTTACTTTCTTGTGTACACACCGAACATGTTCCTGAAAGTCTTTAAGAACAGGGACTGTAACTTTTATGTACTATTGGTAATATTTAATATGATCAGGCTGGAAGCAGTGGCTCATGCCTGCAATCCCAGCACTTTGGAAGGCTGAGGCAGGCAGATCACTTGACCTCAGGAGTTCAGCCTGGGCAACGTGGTGAAACCCTGTCTCTACAAAAAGTATGAAAAATTAGCCTATCAGTTAATAGACTTGCTCCTTAAAAAAAAAAAAATTAGCCAGTCGTGGTAGCATGCGACTGTAGTCCCAGCTACTCGGGAGGTTGAGGTGGGAGGACTGCTTGAGCCTGGGAGGGTGAGGCTGCACTCCAGCCTGAGTGACAGAGAGAAACCCCGTCTCAAGAAAAAAAAAAGATTAATACTCGGTATTCAATAACTATCAGCAAAGCAGGCCAAAAGAGCTGAACATATTCTATATTTAATATTCTTCAATAAATTTAGTTAGTATACAGGTTGTTTTTTAAAATGTTATAGGGGGAAGAAGTAGCTGCTCTGTAGGGCCTCCAGGAGACAGCCTATGAACATGAGGTCAGTGGCAGAACAGGGTCAAGAGCTGTTCTTAATTCCTTCACTCATTTAGTAAACGATTCTAACTTTGATCTCTTCTTAGCTACCTTGGTGTCTAGAAGGAAAAATAAGAGTTTACATCCAAGACAAATATTTCCCCTAAAAAGAAGAGCTGTCATAAGAAACTATCAGTCTCTTGAAATTTTCCACAACTTGAGGAAGATTCCCTAGGGATCCTACTCCTTTATTTTTTTTTAAGACACCATTTAAAACTTATTACTTTTAAGGGAATTTCTTTACAATAAAGTCAGTCTCTCTATTTTTTCTCTCTTCCCCCTCTCCCTTTGGAGTAAGGGAAGCATGTTAAAAGAAACCAGAATGACCACATAAGAAAGTTTGAGAACTTCCAGAGAACAGTAATAAATAGGGTGCAAAAACCTTCTGATCATCATGTGGATTGTTTCTGAAGGGTAACTTGGATGAAAATAATTTATGACCATTTCTACAAATAAGCCATTAAAAAACTCCACACACTTAAAGCCTACTAAAGATGCAGAATATATTATTATATGAGATCATAATGGCTGTAGGTTGTAGTGACTTCGTAAACCACTCAGGAAGGACATCAGAGAACTCTTAATAGAAAATAAGAATCAATATGATTATTACGATTATCTTAACATTTTAGAATTGACTAGCAAAATAAGCGATAACTATGCTGTTTTCTGTAAAATGCACACTGTGCTCTTGTATTATTAGATCATTTTCTTTATTGAAAGTGGAAATTGAATTAGATACTGGATTCAAGCCTTATATCTGTCTCCCCATCTCTCTTGATTCTTCAACATGTCTCTCCACTTTGTCTTGGCCCCCAATGTCTACAGATGGACTCAATTCTCACCCATCACTGCTCTCTCTTCCTGTCCCTGAAAGAATCCTCCCTAGACCCTAACACCTTTCAAGCTACTTTGTCCATGCACCCTGCTTTCCAACCTTCGTAAGATTGAATGATCCTTGTTTCCAGAACCCATCCCGCTTGCTTTCTTTTTATGTTAGCTTGCCTCTCTTTTTTTTCCAAACTGTCTGCCCATAGCTTGCTGATGCGCCTACTTCTCTGATTATTCCTTCTCGGTCTCTTTCCCATTTTACTCTGTTTATTCCTTAGATGCTAGGATTCCCCTGAAGTTTCATTCTTTGTCCTCTTTCTCCACACCAGGGGTCTGTGAACCACCTAAAACTGAAAACAATTTTTTGTGTTTTGAGACAGAACACTTTTTCCCCCTTGAGAAAGTATCTGTAGCTTTCATATTCTCAAAAGGGCCCTTGGCTCTTTTAACAAGATTGAGTGTCCCTGCCCTCACTCTGCCTCCTCCTTTTTGCCTTTGACCACCCTTTTTATATGCTAGCTGTTCCCAAATCCATCTACAGTTCTCACTAGGGGCAAAAGAGTCCGACAGCGAAGAGGAAACCAAGATTCAAAGAAATGTTGAAGACTCCGAACAATAAGAAATTGTACTGTACACATTTTGTGTCTAGCTCAGCTGATTCAATCCCACTGAAGACCAGTTGACTCTATGTTGGGCGGGGAGCGGCCGGGGTGTCGGGGGGTGCCTGACAGGGTCATTACTTCAGGTTGTCAGGTAAGATCCCAGGAGGAACTGGTGAAATAAAGGCTATGCGCAAAAACCCTAGTTGCCAGTGGCGGAGGAGAGGGCGCGCCCAGGTCCTGGCGGAGATGAGAACAGGAGAGAAACCCACAGGCAGCTGCACTGCCCACAGCTGCAGCGAAGCCAATCTCTAGGTCTGCAATCACCCTTAGGGGCCAGAAACCCAGCCCCGCACCAGCGGCGCCTTTGACGGACAGCCACCTTCTGCAATCACCTTGCAGTTCACTATAAACACTCCCTATTCCTCCCGCCTATCGCTTCCCTCTCCAAGCCAATCAGAAGAACGGGCGGGATCGTCCTTAGTCGGTTCCTTCTTTTTTTTTTTAAAAAAAAGGTAGCCTGTGCGTCGCATTCCGGCTTCGGGGAAAAACCACCTCCCGAGCAAGGGCAAGGCGGAGCCCCTGTGATGGGCAGGCAGTTCTACCAATGAGGTGCCCCAGCCGCTGTAAGACCCGGCCGCCGAGGTGGGCGGGGCACGCGCGGGGCCTGGCCAATGGCGGCGGGGCGGTGGAGGTTGAGCTGCCGTGGGTAGGGTTAGTGTGAGAGGTGCGGCGGGGGAGGTAATGATGATGGTGGCGGAGGAGAAAGGCGGGGGAGGGGGTGCTGGGCGCTGAGCGGTGGCTCTGGCAGGGCTTGGTAGGGTGGGGGACGGTCGCGGGGCGATCTGTCAGGGAGGGGGTGGGCGTGAGGGGCGCCGTCCGCCTGAGGGGCTGCAGATCCCGGCTACCGCGAGCGCCGTGGCTGGCTTGGCTGTTCCATGTGGCTCCGGCGGGGATGGAGGACTCGGTGGCGGCGGCGGCTGCTGCTGCGGCGGCGACGGAGGAGCGGCTATGAGAAGGGAACGGGGCCAGACTCAGCCCGACAGCGGGATTAGAGGTGTGAGGAGGGGGCGGGAGTGGACGAGCGGCGGGGCCGGGGCTCGGGGTCCGGGCTGGGGTCTTCTGGTATCGCCTGGGTGACAGGGACCGCGGACGAGCCACCGCCTGTCTCCGCTGGGGGGCAGGGGTCTGGGCTCCGTGCGTGAGGAGACTGGGCTCCGGCGGACTGTTTCCCTGAGGATGGGGGAGGGAGGCACCGCACCCTGCACAGTCCACTTGCCCCGCTGGTCATTGCTTCACCCCCAGGCAGGAGTTTCCATTTCCCTCCGGTTGGCAGCGAAGGAGCCCAAGTGGCCTGGAGCCGGGACATTGCCCTCTCTCTGCCTGGAGATTTCCCTCCACTCCTCGTTCCCCATCCATTTCCTCCCTCCGACTGAAAAATAGCATTCCTCCTGGCTCCCTAATTTGTTCCAAGCACATATTGTCGGACTTGAGGCTATTAATTATCGACTGAAAAACAAAGTTTATTAAAAAATACTCCACTTCTCCCTCTTTCTGGCGGTGGACATTAAACAGCATCCCTAGACTTTCCCGCTCTGCTCGCCCTTCAGTGATGCTAACAGGGGGAGGTAGGGCCCCGAGTTACCGTCTCTCTGGATTGTTGTTGGTGCTGACTACCTGATGTGTCGCTCCACGTCTTCGGTGTGAATTGTAATTTCTTCCTTGGTGTCTTGCATCCTTGATGTTACTGGCTTTTGAGGTCAGTGTTTTGTTTCATTGTTTAAAAGACATGCAGAGAACTGGGATGGTCTTTTGCAGCGTTATTTAACATGGGTGGTTAGTCATTTCTCATGATTCTCTCCTCATATTCTTTCTCTTTTTGTCTTTGTTTTGCTTTTCAGCCCTCCAGAATACCCATCATATAGCCCCTGAGGTGGCATGGTGATGTCTCCATGAGGGAACCCCTTCCCACTCATCCTGTCACGTATATCATAGTGTTCTTGACTGGGCCATTCATCTAAGATGGGATTTACCCTGTGAAACAGGGAGAAGACTTATGGACCCCAAGCATCATTTCGAGTTGTAGTTGAGTTTTTAAAAGACATACATGCAAAGTTCCTTTGCTTTGGACCCTCTGCATTATTAAAGCTGCTGTATTGCTAACCCAGAACTGCTCCAGTGTCTTGACTGATCATCATGGCTTCAGTTTGGAAGAGACTGCAGCGTGTGGGAAAACATGCATCCAAGTTCCAGTTTGTGGCCTCCTACCAGGAGCTCATGGTTGAGTGTACGAAGAAATGGTAAGATGTACCTGGAGGTAGATTTTGCTGTGCTGTGGCCTAAGCATACTGTGGCCTAAACTCTGGGTCTTCTGATAGTATATTTACCTTTCTATAGTGCACTAGTGTGTAGAAGCTGGGTGGGGCGCAGATAACTCTAACAAGTACTGTGCTGTGCACTGTTGCTGCTAGTACCATCCCTGTGGATTTTAATTACTGCGCTTCAGTATGGCTCAGAGGACTGTAACTGTGAGAGCACACTAAATACAATAGATTTGGTTTTGAGGTTATTCATCATTAGTGTTAAAATAACTTTGATTTTTGTAATTTTAAGGAGACAAAGAATGGCTACTGAAATATTGTGAGCATTAATCCGTATATTTTAATATAACAGGCATATGATTTAATAGAGTTTTAATATAGAAGTCTATATTCTTGTGGGGTGATGGTAATCTATTTTATTTTTGTTTTTTCATTTTTCCTTGCTTAGGATAAAGAATTTTTCATTATTTGATTAATGGAATGCCATCCACAAAACCTTAGAAATTCTTTTGTTAAATGCTTACTCAGGCAACTGTATTTTATTTTAATTGCCTAATGGGATACATTTCTTGGCCAGATTTAAGGAAGCAATTAGTAGTGCTGGTCTGTGATTGGCTTTTTTCCACTTGAGAAGAGTAAATATAGGGCTTTCTTTCCATTGCCCTGAATGATAAACAACAAAAATTTTTTATTTAGTGAGAGAAAAAAGTTAATTTTAAGCAAATGGTCGTTTGGGTCTTGATTTACTGCAGTGATTAAGCAGTAATGGACTTATTGCAAAATAAGTCCATTTCTTTGTCCAGAAGGACTGTAATTCAGGTCTGTAATAATTTTTCTTTTTAACATCCATTTTATTAGATTAAAAAAATAGCTTGCTTTATTCTAGAACTCTTATATTTGAATATTTATTTGGAACTAGTTTCTGAATGCTTTTCTCTTCAACTTATTAGGAATATTATTTTAAAATCAGTTTGAGAAATGCATGCACTCATTACCTACTTTATACCAGGTACTGTGGATTTAGAGTAGAATACAACATAATCCCTGTCCTCAAGGAGTGTGCAGTCCAGTATAAGGAGAGTCACATGAATAAATTCACCGTGAGAGATGCAATAATATAAATATGTATGACATAAGGATTTTAATCTGTCTCGATACAGTTGAGTATCTTTGAGGACGGGTTATTTAACTTCTCCGTGATTCAAGTTTCCATATCCATAAAGGTCATAATGGTGCCACTTCATGGGGAGGGTAATTGTGAAGATTAAATGAGTTAATACATTTAAAATGCTTGGAACAGTGTCAGGGACATAGTGCCTAATAGATGCCATTATTATGTACAGAGGTCGCAGAGGGAAAAACAATTCTTTAAGGGTAGAGGATGAGTTGTTGGGATGGCTTCCTGGGATCTGAGCTGGGTTTTGAAAGATTCATAGTTGTTGTCCAGGAAGCCAAGGGAGAAGACGTAAAAGACATTCTAGACTGAAGCAACAACCTATGCAGAAACATGGGAGGCTTACCTAGCATGGGATGTGCTGGAAATTCAAGTAGTATAGTTTGATATTAATGGGGTTTAAAGTGTAGGATTGGGGGGCATGCAGTGAGATATGAGGTTTGAGAGTCAGGCAGGACTGAAAGCATGTTAAGTTATGTGCTGTTAATAAATGATTTGGGGATTATTCTGTAGGTGATAGGAACATAGTAAAAGATTATGAGCAGAAGAGACATTAGGTTTGCTATTGGAAAATCACCAGGACAACAGTGTAGACTGAGGATCATAGTAAAAAGGTGACTGGAAGCAGCAATATTAGGGTAGCTGTTTTAATAAATAAGGGGAGACAAAAGGTTAGGACTAGGCAGTGGCAAAGGGAATGGAGAGAATTAACTGGAGGAACACTCAGAACACAAAATGGGTAGGATTTGGTGGTCATTTCAGTTGGGGATCTGAGCAAGATGGGGATGAGGGAGAAGAAAAGGGCTAGATTGACATCCAAGCTTTTGTGTTGGAAATTTGGATGTATTTGACCAAGCTGGAGAAGGTCGTGATTATAGGTGTTTCTTAACTTGGCAGTATACTGGGAGCATCAACGTTAAGATGGTTAAATTTTAATCTTTTTCTTAAGGGAAATAGAACATTATCAGGTGATTCCTCAGTTAGAAAATCAGTTTCTTCCTCACAGTTTGCAGCCTTCCTGGAATTTTATTTCCCTAGAGCTTTTAAGTTATTAATTTTTAAATAACAATTTAAGTTATTGCTAATGTGTCTAAAGGTAAAAGCTACAGCGAAAATTTAGCTTGATTGCAGTTGAATAAATGGCTTGATTACTTTTAGGGATGGCCATTATGGTGTCCCTATTAAATCAGGTCTTATGATAGGATCTGGACTTAATACCAGAAGGATTTGGATGTTCTCCTAGAAGTATTGGGGGTACTTAATACTTAGTACCCCCAATACTTCTTGTATTGTCTAGTGGTTCTAGAACTTACATCTAGAACTTAATACCAGAATTATTTATACCAGTTCTAGAACCACTAGAACTTAGATCAGGAACAAAAACGAGAATGTCTTTTTTTCATTTGAGAGAGGGACAGTATACCAGGGAGGGCCTATTCATCATCATTCCTTGATTGCCACATGAAGGGGCTTTAGCAAATTTGGAGATGATAGGGGTTTATACCCCCTACTCTTCTTGTTGTCCTTATGTCATTTAATTATTAAATGATGTAGCTGTTGGCAAGTAGTAAGACTGGCCTCTGGAGATGAGTTTGAAAGAGACTGTACTGTCATTTCTCAGTTTACTTTCTGTTCTGTTCTTTTATCATCTGTAGGCTTTTAGATTTCTGAGAGAAATCTTTACTATATGAGTTCTCAAAGGCTTTACAGGTGTTTAAGTAAACTGTATGAAAGTTGGCAAGTTGGGGTTATGATGATAATTTAACTATGTTGCAAATTAAATTCTGGTAAAAGCTCTCTAATATATGACATGAATCATTATGTATGAATACGTATTATATTTTGTATGTATATATATGAACATATTTTATATTTGTATTTATATTTCTTCCATCTAATTCTTAGTTGTGGTGGGAGGACTAAAAATATTCAGAGTGCTGTAAACTTTTCCCAAAAAGTCATGTATTTATTTTAGTTTCTTATTTTTCTATGTCATATAAGAATTCCTTTTCCTTATTTTAAAATATAATTTTAATTATAATTTATATATTAAATAGGCAGTACAATCACATGGTTCAAAACTCTAGAGGTACAAAAAGGTGAAGATACATCCCTGAAAGTAACTCTTCTTTTTGTTCATTATTTCACACATCTTTGCCAACCTTGTGACCCCAGGATTTGAAAGGTAAAAAAAAAGTAGTTTTTCTTAGTGTTTAAGTTTGTGACATTGACCTGTTAGATAAAATATAAACTCTTTAATCTGATGTTCCAGGCTATGTGTAACTGATCCCAGCTTAGTCTTCCAATTAGACATTAAGAAGACTACATGCACTTTCAGTGTTAAGTTGAATTTATGAAGACCAAATTACATTAAGAAGTATTAATTTCAGATCCACTTCTTTGGGTGGCTTAAGCAAGCATTTCTCTGTTGACCATGGAGTGATATAGAGATACATGAGCCTTGATGTAAATAACCTACTTTTGAAATAAATTTTACAAAGAACAGAAAAAAGCATTAATTAGAAACAAACTTGGTGTGTTTTGTGGGATATGGACTGTCATGAGTAAAAGTGGAAGCAGGGATACCAGCTAATAGGCTGTTGCAGTAATTCAAACAGCAGAGTAGTAGGTGGTGAGAAATGGTCAGACATATGTAACACACACATACCCTCACACACACTCAGCACCACCACACTTTATTGAGGTATAATTTACACTTGCATATAGTAAAATGCATCCATTTTAAGTGTACAGTTCAGTGAGTTTTGACAATTTTATGTACCCATGTAGCTGGATAATAAATTTTTTTAAAGATATAGTTAGCAGGACTTACTGATGGATTAGATATGATGTAAAGTAAGAGACAATCAATAATGACTATAGGTTTTTGGCCTGAGCAACCAGGTGAATGTAATATTAATTGAAGGGATAGGGGAACACTTGGGGAGGAAAAGGTTTGGTGTGAGGGAGAAATCAAGAATTCTGTTTGCTTTTCGTTTGGGACATCCAGATGGAGATCTTAGTTAAGCAGTTAATTATAAAAGTCTCAAACTCAGAGGCTGGATCATCTTAGTATGTAAGTAGTAGTTATAATCATGGGGCGATAGAAAATTTCCTATGCATTAATACAGATTGAGAAGAGGATTGAAGACTGAGCCTTGAGGCACTTCAGCATATAGAGGTGAGGAAGGAGAGGAGGAGCCAACAAAGGAGACAGGAAACAAGCAGTAGTGAGATAGGAAAATTGGGAGAGCGTGTTTTCTAAGAAACCAACTGCAAAAAGTGTATTAAGGGAGTATTTGGCTGTGTCAAATACTGTTGAGAGGTTGAGCAAGGTGACCGTTGGATTTGGCAAGATGGAAAGAACTAATGATTTTGAGGAATGGTTCAATGGAGTGGTGGAGATGAAGACTTGATTAAGTTGGCTTAGAGGAAAGGAAGTGATTACAGTGAGTATGATGATTTTTTTGGAGTATTTTGCTACAAAGCAGAGAACTAGGTAATACTTGGAGAGAGACAAGGGTTCAAGGTACATTTTTTGCTTGGCAGATATTGCAACATGTGTAAATGCTGGTGGAAATGATTGGTAGAGAAGGAAAAATGGATGATGTGGTGGGAGAGGAGGTAACCTTAGGACAGAAAAGTCTTTGAGTGAGAGAAAGAGAAAAGGATCCAGAACACAAGTGGAAACGTTGAACTTAGGTAGAAGCAGGGACCATTCATTGTTACAAGGGGAGAAGCAGGGTACATGGGTAGAGAAGCAGATAGGTTGGTAGATTTGGTTGGGAAGGATGTGGACATTCTGTTTTCTCAGGGAAATGATATAAGAAATCATCTGCTGGGAGGGAGGTGACAGTTGTTGAAGAACTGAGGAGATGAGGTATGAAGTTGTCAAAGTGAGAATGAATTGACTAGGGAAATGTAGGGGGATTGCTGGGTAGTAGTGATGACCTTCTTAACTTTGTGATTATAAATTTTAAGTGAATGCAACCAGCAAGTTTGCATATTTTAATCCAACTGTGTTCAGTGCTTTGGTGCAGGCATGGAATAGATAGAGTTGGATTTGACCAGGATTGGATTTTGTCAGGAATGTATAACTGAGGGGAAGAGAGACAGGGAAATTGAGAGCAAATGTGCAGGAGTGGTTTTAGTGATGAACCATGGAATATAAGCTGGAAAAGGAGAAGGTAAGTACGTGAAAGATGGGATAGTCAGTGAAAGCATGAAAAGGATAATGATTGAAAGATTTTAAAGAGGTTGAAGAATTGTTGGGGTTGGGAGCTGGAAAGATGGGAGGTGGAAGAGTGTGAGATGCTTGATTTTGAGGATGTGGTTAATGTTAATGACAAGATACTGGTGGTGTCCTTGGATCACATGTGCATATCTGTTTACAAAAATGAGCACATATCCCAATATATTTTTAATATACTGCATACATGAAATATGAGTATACTTTAATTTCCTTTAATAAAATAAATACCTTTAAAATAAATAAATTTAAGTAGAATTTCTTGCTGTGTTTGAGTAGATAATCTTTTGCACCTTCCAGGTATTCCTATTCCTTGTTAGAGACTATAGCTATTAGTATATAACCATGAGAGTTGGTGGCTGAGGTGAAATGGAGTAAAAGATTTTTTGGGTATGAAGAGGGTGGTCAAGGAATTTAGAGGCCAATGTGTGGACAGATTATTTGTGTGGCTCTTGAAGTTGCCAAGAATAATGGGAGGAGAAACATTTAAGACAGGGAGTCAGGTGCTAAACTCTTTTTTTTTTTTTTTTTGAGACAGAGTCACACTCTGTTGCCCAGGGTGGAGTGCAGTGGCTCATTGCAACCTCTGCCTCCTGGGTTCAAGTGATTCTCATGCCTCAGCCTCCTAAGTAGCTGGGATTACCGGCATGTACCACCATGTCTGGCTAGTTTTTTTGTATTTTTAGTAGAGACAGGGTTTTGCTATGTTGGCCAGGCTGGTCTCGAACTCCTGTCCTCAAATGATCTGCCCACCTCAGCCTCCCAAAGTACTGGGATTACAGGTCTGAGCCACGGCACCTGGCCTGGTGCTAAAATCTTTAATGTATGAGGGGAGAGATGGGGCAGAAGGTTAGATGACTGCAAAAGGAAGAGGCAAGGTAAGAAAGGTATTGTTCCCTAGTTTCTAGGCTTGCTTCTAGAGAGGTTAGTTTGCAGTACTTTCTATGTTGCAAGTTATGTGAATCTTGAACATCTTATTCCTTGAAACAAAATAGCGCAGTCTTTTCTATATTGTAAGTTGTCAAAGGCATATGATTTTAGCAAATGCTAAATTGATGTTACTTGTTTGTAATTTCATGATAGTATCTTATAAACTGATTTTTTTTAAATTGTAATTGTTACATATTGTGTTTTTTCCAGATTTTAAGTCTTTATTCTATGTGAAGAACAGTTTTACAAAATTCAATTGTGGTGGGTTCTTTAAGGAATATAGTGGAGCCACTTAATGCCATAATTGGATATTGATGTGCTTACATCATGATTATGTCTACACATGACTCAAAATATGCCTCTAGATCAAGAGTTGGCAGGCAAACTCTGGCCTGATCCAAACTGGCTCTTTTGTTCTCTAAAAAAATAGAGAACAAATTTTTTTCTGTAAATATTCACACTTTGGGAGGGGCTGAGGTGGCAGGATCCCATGAACTCAGGAGTTCAGTAGTTCAAGACCAGCCTGGGTAACATGGTGAGACCCTATCTCTTAAAAAGAAAAAAAGAAAGAAAGAAAAAGTTTGCTGACTTCTGCTTTAAGTCGTGGGAGTTACTTGCAGCTAGTGTTTAGGGAATACAGAGTCTAGCACCTTTCTGTGTTCTCTGTGCTCAGGCTCTAAACTATTAGTTTAGTCTTATTCCACTCAAACTACATAAGTAACAGAGAAGAGACCATTGTGCCAGTTTTCCAGCCTTATAGAAAGAAACTTTAGAACAGCTTCTGAAAACATTGAGGTCTGTGTCTGTGTAAAATACATATTTTCTGGCTGTGTGACCTTGGATGAATTATCTCTTGGTACTTCTTCAGTAGTGGAGATGATAATAACACTACTTCCAGCATAGAGTTGTTTTGAAGATTAAGTAAGATAATACCTGTAATAAAGGGGTTAGAACAGTGTCTGACAGAGTAAGCACCCAGAAAATTTTACCCATTGTTGTTATTATTTTTTATCTGATAAATAAGCAATGAGTGATGAAGAGAACTATCTAGAGAGAAAGGTTAGAGTAGGTGGGAAGAAGACTGTAAATATAACCTGAACTTTTAAGAGTGTTAGAGAAAGATGAACTAGCATAGGTTGGAGTGACCAGGGAGGTAGGAGTAACCAGGGAATGTGCCTGCAGAAGTACAGTGCTGAAATGAGCTAAGTTTTGACAATACTTTGACTTTTGGGGAGAGGAACTACATATTTTTGCTTCTGAAGCAAAATCAATTCCTATGGTTTTATAACTTTATTTCCTTTTTATAATAATTTCAAGCAAATGTTGGGCTAAGAAAACTAACTTAATTTCTCCAAAGTAGAATTAATTTGCCAGCATTTGTGTATGCATGTCTGTGTGTTCGTATGTGTCCTGTAGCGATGTTTTATGATATTTATGATGTATTTCTTTTCTTTTTTTCTTTTGAGACAGAGTCTTGCTCTGTCACCCAGGCTGGAGTGCAGTGGCACAATCTTGGCTCACTGCAGCCTCCACCTCCCGGGTTCAAGCAATTCTTCTGCCTCGGCCTCCCGAGTAGCTGGGACTATAGGTGCATGCCACCATGCCCAGCTAATTTTTTGTATTTTTAACAGGGATGGGGTTTCACCGTGTTAGCCAGGATGGTCTCGATCTCCTGACCTCGTGATCCGCCTGCTTCGGCCTCCCAAAGTGCTGGGATTACAGATGTGAGCCACCGTGCCCAGCCGAGTCACCGTGCCAAGCCATTTTATGATGTATTTCTTTTCTTTTTTTTTTTTGGTATTTTAAAAATATATTATTTCTGAATTTTAAAGAGTCATATGGCTACCCAGAATAAAGATTATATTTTCCAGATTTCCTTGCACTTGGTGTGGCCATGTGATTAAATTCTAGTCAATGTAATATGAGGGGAATTGATGTGTACAACTTCCAATTAGAGTCTTTGAAAGGAATGGACCTGACTTCCTCTTATCTTGACCCATTCTTGATAACTGAGGTATGGACCCAGAAGGAATGACGATTTTCAACTATGTGAATGAGATCAACAACTGGGGGATGATGGGTAACAAGACTGAAGAAAGTCAGGGTCCCAATATCATCAGGTTGCTTCCAGCCATACTACTTCTGAGCTGCCTACTTAGACTTTTTTTGAGAGAAACGTTTTCTATCTTATTCAGCTACTGTATCTTTGGATGTCTTTGCTACAACAAACTAATCTTTACCCTAGCTAATACATGTTATGCTTAATTAACCCTATTATCGCTAAGATAACGTCAAAATTTCACATCTTGGAGTAAGAGAACATCTTGCTCTACACCCTATTTTATCACTCTAGCTTCTCCTCATTCTCTTACTCCTACTCTTTCATTCTGAATTACCCTGAATTCATCATAAATGCATGGTTTCTTTCAGATCTTGACCTTTCAATGTCCCACCCATTTCTTGCCCCACCCATTCCTATCTCCTCTACTTCCAGAATTTTCTGCCCCGCAACCCCCCACCACGCCCCAACCCGGGAACTTCCCAGGCTTCTTCCCAAAGCATTTCTGAGAGGAGGTGTTACTGATTTTGGACAATTCTAAGGCTTCAATCCCCTTTTCCTATGCAACTCCCCCACCCAACAGAATCCATGACTCCCTGCTAATCTTAGGACCTATGAAGCAGGCAAAGTCTATTTTGTAGATTCTAAGAGCTGGATAATTTTTTAAGGTGTAGAGAAGCATCTTTTGCTAGAGGTTCTTCTTTGTGTCTTTTATGGTCATCTTCATTCCAAAGCTGTGCTACTGAGTCCACATTCCTTTGAGGGCAGATTGGCTTTCCAAATAGATTGGTATCATGTGAACTGTTTTTTTCTCAGTGAATAATGGCAATACACATGTGTCTCAAGCAGGTACTTAGTTTGCAAAGAAAAATAAATTCATTTATACTTTACCATCATCTTCAGCTATAAAGTGTATTGTCAATAAATTTCATTGCCACGGAGTTGATGCAGTTGTCTTCCATTGGTTCAGCAGCCATCTTTATTCCTGCGACAAATAGTCTCTTGTGAGAGGAAGCAATCTGGAAGGTCTGAGGTCCCTTTCCTCTTCCCGAGGCCCTTTGCTCCCCTGGCAACTGCCTGAATAGTCAGCAAGGAGTTGTTTCCCAGTGCTTTTTGCATTCCTGGCTGCCAACTCTGGCTGCTAAAGTGTCTGCCACCTGCTACAATTTATGATGTTTCTCTACGTGATGACTGTTCATTTCTTTTTTCATTATCTTTTGTAGCAACAGGGGTCTCACTGTGTTGTCCAGGCTGGTCTTGAACTTCTGGCCTCAAGCGACCCTCTGCCTTGGCCCCTCAAAAGTGCTGGGATTACAGGTGTAAGGACCATGCCCAGGGCCAGTTTTTACTTAAAAATTTTTTTCCTGTCATGATTTTAAAGAAATGAACCTAGGATCTTTTCGTAGTGTGTAATTTTCATACATTATTTTGTTATCAAATCTTGATTTACATACTTTAAAAGTTGATTTCTAAAATGAAATTTTAAGGGATTATGTGAGGAGGTTCTGTTCTTATGATTTAGTTTAGTTTCAAATGAGTTTTGCAATTAAAATGCCCAGGGAACTTAAAATTAGGCATTTCTAGAAATGTGCTATTGATGCATCAAATGTGTTTGTTCTGATTTTTTAGGAAATTTCAACAAAAGAGCCACTGAACTTGTTCACTGCATGATATAAAAATAGTTCAGGAAAAATTGCACAAAGCATTTTGAATACTCAATAGGGATGTTCATATTCTACATTAGGACTTTTGCACATTTGTTAAAAGGAGTGGAACTGAGTTTGAAACAGAGGCAGTGAAATTACTGCAGGATGTAATTGTACCTGGTATTTGTCTTATGTATCACTGTTATAGTGATATTTTTTGGCAGCTTTGCTAAAAGGTACCTGCTGATTTTCTTTAGTAAGTTTGGTTTATTAAAACATTTTCTGGTTTTATTAATCCGGGTATTGTTATTTCGAAAATAGTTTTAATAAAGTTTTTTTTTTAAAAAAAACCTATAAAATTTAACTTTAATTATAACAAACACTTTAAAATTTGATAACCTGCCTATGTCTGAAAGAGTTTGTCAGCCTAAGAATTTAAAATAATACCATGTTGACTAATTTAGGGATATAAATAGAATGATGGTCTTACAGGAGCAGAGAGAGCACGTATTACTAGGCACTTGAGAGGAGTTAGTTTGCTGCTATTGGAGACTGGATTTTGTTCTGAGTTTATTGGCGGCCAAGGCAAAAAGGGATGCACATTGGCTCTTTAATAGTCCTCCTGGCTAAAGAAAGTATATAAATTTGTTTGCAGACTTTTCTTAGACCTTAATCCAAAGAGGATTTTTATTATGAAAATAAAATATGACATTAGATAAAATCTCCAACTACAAAAGACTCAGAACCACTGTTAAATAAGATAATGTTTATGTTGACCATTCATGAAGACTTTTTATGAGAGAATATGGCTGAGAAACCTAGTTTTCTGATCATGTAATTTAAACCAAGAGTACCACTTGGGAAATTTAGAAGAATGGAAATTTTACATAAATCATTTAGTTTTGTGCTGTCTAGTACAGAGGGAACTAACTATATGTGCTATTTACATCTAAATTTAAATCAATTTAAATTAAATGTAAAATTCAGTTCTTCAGTTACAGTAGCCACATTTCAAATGCTCACTAGCCACATGTGGCTAGCGGCCACCATCTTGGATAGTGCAAATATGGAACATGTTCATCACCACAAAAAGTTTTACAGGACAGTGCTGATTTAGCCAGTGCTTCCCAAACTGACTATCTTTAGAATTGCTGGGGTGCTTTGCAAATATGGAGATTTCCATATCCCCTAGGAGGTCCTGATTCTGTAGGTCTGTGATAGTGATGGCAAATCTGTCATTTTAGAAGTTACGCAATTGCTGAAGAGTATCAAATTAGGTCTTAGAACTACCATATTTGATTCTTTCTTAAGAATCCATCTGAAACAAAGCTTTAGCAGGTGCTGGATGACAGTTCTATTGGTACTCCAGAAAGTGTTTATTGACTTGAAATTTTGAGTTGAATTTTCTTACAGTGGTTCAGCTGTTTTGTGATTTTCTTTCTGATTAAAAGTGAGAGCAATGTGTTTTAGCTGTGCCATTTTAGCTGCCAAAATTAACAAATATTTAAACAGGTTCATTGGTTCATTTAAAGACAAGACTGGTTTGTTCTCTTCCATATAAGCAAAGAGTGTTGAGAGATAGCTATTCTGAATGTTGAGGTAGAATTTTTTTTTTTTTTTTTTTGAGCTAGGGTCTCACTCCCATCACTCAGGCTGGAGTGTAGTGGTGCAGTCTCGGTTCCTGGGCTCAAGTGATGTCCCTCATCTCAGCCTCCTGAGTAGCTGGTACTACAGATGTGTGTCACCACGCCCGGCTAATTTTTTGTATTTTTTGTAGAGGCAAAGTTTTGCCATGTTGCCCAGGCTGGTCTTGAACACGGGTCTGAAGTGATCCACCTGCTTTGGCCTCCCAAAGTGCTAGGATTGCAGGCATGAGCCACTGTGCCGACCAGAATAATTTTTTTTTTAAGAAAAGTTTTGAAACTTCTTAAGTACTTGCATTATAATTGTACTTCTAGACAACATCACTAGTAGATCTGCTCATTTTTTTTTCTCTGAAGCATGTCTTAATTCTCACGTTGATTTTTCTATTCCATTGCCTTGTTTCCATCCTTTGCTGTCTTTTGCCAAGGGCCATGATTCACAAACTGTGCCAAGGAGCCCAGGGGCACTGCAGAGAACTCACAAGGGAGCAAGAGATGTTTAACAATTTTGAAGGAAACGTAGCAGCATCTGTTGGAAACCACACAAAGTATAGTTGGTCCTCTCTGTATCTATGGGTTCTGCATCTATGGATTCAACCAACTGTGGATTGAAAATATTTGAAAAACAAAATTGTATCAAACATGTACAGATTTGTTTTGGTCATTATTCTCTAAAAAATACAGTATAAAACAATATTTACATAGCATTTACATTGTATTAGATATTATAAGTAATTTAGAGATGACTTTAAAGTATACAGGAGGATGTCCATAGGTTATATGCAAATACTATGCCATTTTATGTCAGGGACTTGAGCATCCTCAGATTTTGGTATCCTCAGGAGGTCCTGGAACCAATCCTCCACTGATACTAATGGAAGACTGTACTAGCTTGAGGTAGTTCAGTTTCAAAATTAGATTGCTACTTTCTTTTCAATGATACCACATTTTTGCAAAGCTGGGGTTTTGGCAGTTGCTATGACAAAAAGCAGACATCACATGAAAATCTGTGTGGTACAGGAAACTAGGGAGGCAGTGTCCAATCTAATTCTCAAGTTTGAGAATTAGATTGTCAAGTGTCTAAAACAGGTGCTAAGTTTTTAGGACATACATCCTTCTTAAGTTGTTTGGACCTGACTACTTAATAAACAAAATGGTTAGGTATTTCTTTTGGCTTGGGGGTGAGGGAGTCTGAAAAAAATTACACATTAAGGGCCTTGTAAACCCAGAAAGTTTGGGAACCTCTAGTGTAGGCTTTTGTGATGGCACTTAATGCTTTCCTGGCCCCTCTGGTCTCCCCTTTGCCTATATTACTGCCATAGTTGTCCTTCTAAAATTAGCCTTCCTTTAAATATGTCCTTATTCTGTTTTACTAGTCTTCTTCCAACCATTTCCCTTAAGATTCTGAAATCTTGTTTTTACTACATGCAAATAGTTTCTCTCAAATTTTATCTTTTATTCTTCTCTTTCCCTCTCCAAAATCATTAAATGCAGAAAGCTGTATAGTAAAACCCTGTCTCAAAGTAACTTAATTGAAACTGGATTTATTCATGCAATAAGTGGGTCTAGATATCAAGTTTAATGGTTCAGCTTTAATTTGAAGAGTACTCTAATTTGCAAAATTACTTTTAAAAATTGGTTAATTCATTTATTTTGAAACTTTTTATGGAATTAATTTTAGGCTTACAGAAGAGTTGCAAAGATAGTACAGAGCAGGGGTGTCCAATCTTTTGGTTTCCCTGGGTCACACTGGAAGAAGAATTGTCTTGGGCCATGTAAAATACACTAACACTAATGACAGTTGATGAGCTTTAAAAAAAACTCCCTGCATAAATCTCATAATGCTTTAAGAAAGTTTGTGATTTTGTGTTGGGCCGCAGTTTGGACAAGCTTGATATAGAGAGTTCTTACATATCACATCACCC
This sequence comes from Homo sapiens, assembly GCF_000001405.40. Taxonomy (NCBI): domain Eukaryota; kingdom Metazoa; phylum Chordata; class Mammalia; order Primates; family Hominidae; genus Homo; species Homo sapiens. The sequence goes on from NC_000002.12 coordinate 62,720,943, forward strand.
AGCTTTTTTTGGGTAAAATTTGAATAAATAAATTTACCATTGTCATTTATCAAAACTAAGATTAATATTATTAGGCAAGCTACAGGACTTTATTAGATTTTACCAGTTTTCTCACTAATATCCTTTTTCTGTCCAAGGATGTAGTCCAGGTTACCACATTGCATTTAGTTGTCATATCTCCTCTAATCTGTAATAGTTTTTAGTCTTTTTTTGTTTTTGTTTTTCATGACCTTGTTAGGTTTGCCAAGTGCTGGTTAGGTTATTTTGTAGAATGTCCCTCAAATTGGGTTTGTTTGATGTTTTTTTAGTCATTAGACTGAGGTGATGGAATTTTGATAAGATACCACAGAGGTAAAGTGCCTCTAGCCCCTGTCACATAATATGATATACCACATGATATCAACGTGACTTATCACTGGTAATATTCACCTTGATCACTTAGTCTATGGAGTTTCTCCACTGTAAAGTTACTATTTTACCCTTTCATATTTTATGCATTAGAAACCAGTTTCTAAATCTAATTTCTCAGGGAGGAGAATTAAGTTTCATCTCCTGGAAGGAGAAGTATCAAAGAATTTGAACATATGTTACAACTACCACAGAACTAATAAATACTGGGGGGAAGATGCTTTGAAGTTATGTAAGTGTCCTATTTTTCTTTAAAGTTTTGGTCACCAATTTAAAAATTCATCAGTAGATTTTGCTTGTAGCGATCACTACTGTGTCCTAATGATAATTTTCTGTTTCCTTTATTCCTTCTACATTTATTTTTGGAATTTTCCTGTAAGCAAGATTTGTCCTTTATTCCTCATTTATTTATTCAGTTATTTATTCATATCAGTGTGTACTTAATGGTTATTTATAAAATAACCTTTTGATATCATTACTGCCTTTTGTACAGAGGTTCTGACAAGGAGGTACATTGTTTTTTAAAAATAACCCTATTTTTAAAAAGAACCTTTATTTTGAAATAATTTCAGACTTATAGAAAAGTTGCAAACACAATACAAATAATTCACATATACATTTCCCCTCAATTCCCCAAGTGGCAACATTTTACCATATTTGCTTTATCAATCTCTCTTAAGCTATTTTGTATGTAATTTTTTTCTTAACATTTAAGAGTAAGTTGTACCATAGTGCCCCCTTACCCATAAACACTAGAGTATGTATTTCTTAAAAATAGGAATTTTGTTTTTTTTTTTGAGACAGAGTCTCACTCTATTGCCCATGCTGGAGTGCAGTGGCGTGTGATCTTGGCTCACTGCAACCTCTGCCTCCTGGGTTCAGGCGATTCTCCTGCCTCGGCCTCCCGAGTAGCTGGAACTATAGGTGCATACCACCACACCAGGCTAATTTTTTGTATTTTTAGTAGAGATGGGGTTTTACTGTGTTAGCCAGGTTGGTCTCGATCTCGTGATCCACCTGCCTTGGCCTCCCAAAATGGTGGGATTACAGGCATGAGCCACCATGCCCTGCCAAAAATAGGGATTTTTTTTTTTTTAAACATAACCACAGTTTAATTTGTCAAAATCAGGAAATTTACATTTGTATGTAATGTTATTACTTAATCTATAAGCCTAATTCAGATTTCTCCAATTATCCCAAGAATTCCATTGATACCAAAAGAAGAATTTTTTCCTCCCTAGACCAGGATCTAATCCAGGACCATATGTTACATTTAGTTGTCACACCTCTTTAATCTCCTTTAATCTGGTAGAATTCCTCAGTCTTTGTTTTGACACTTGACACTTCTTAAGTGTCAATTCACCTTGACACTTTTGAAGAGTGTTCCTCAATTTGTGTTTGTCTGATATTTACTCATGATTAGGTTCAGGTTATTAATACTTTGCAGTAATACCAAAGTGAAGCTGTGTATTCTCTGCATCAGGAGTCACATGATATTGATTGTGCTGTGGTTCAAGAGAGCTGTTGTTATGATTTCAGTTCTTTTGCTCCTTGGCTGAGGTATTTTATGTCCAATTATGTGGTTGATTTTAGAGTATGTGCCAAGTGGAGATGAGAAGAATGTATATTCTGTTGTTTTTGGATGGAGAGTTCTGTAGATGTCTATGAGGTCCATTTGATCCAGTGCTGGGTTCAGGTCCTCAATATCTTTGTTCAAAGTTTCTGCCTTAGTGATCTAATACTGTCAGTGAGGTGTTGAAGTCTTCCACAAGTCTCTTTGAAGGTCTCGAAGAAATTGCTTTATGAATTGGGGTGCTCCTGTCTTGGATGCACACATATTTAGGATAATCAGGTCTTCTTGTTGAACCCTTTACCATTATGTAATGCCCTTCTTTGTCTTTTTTAATCTTTGTGATTTAAGGTCTATTTTGTCTGAAATTAGGATTGCAACTTTTGATTTTTTTTCTGTTTTCTATTAGCCCTGTAGGTTTTTCTCCATCCCTTTATTTTGAGCCTATGGGTGTCATTGCATGTGAGGTGGGTCTCTTGAAGACAGCATACCAATAAGTCTTGGTTCTTTATGCAGCTTTCCACTCTGTGCCTTTTAATTGGGGTGTTTAGCCCATTTACATTTAAGGTTAATATTGATATGTTTGGATTTGATCCTGTCATCGTGATGTTAGCTGGTTATTATGCAGACTTGTGTGGTTGCTTTATAGTGTCACTGGCCTGTGTACTTAAGTGTGTTTTTGTAGTGGCTGGAAACAGTCTTTCCTTTCCATATATAGTGTTTCCTTTAGGAGCTCTTGTAAGGCAGATCTGGTGATAATTAATTTCCTCAGCATTTCCTTATGTGGAAAGGATTTTATTTCTCCTTCGCTTATGAAGCTTAGTTTGGTGAGACATGAAATTCTGGGTTGGAATTTCTTTTCTTTAAGAATGTTGAATATAGGCTCCCAGTCTCTTCTGGCTTTTAAGGTTTCTTCTGCTGAGAGGTCCACTGTTAGTCTGATGGGCTTCTCTTTGTAGATGACCTGACCTTTCTCTCTAGCATTTTTTCTTTCATTTCAACCTTGGGGAATCTGATTATTATGTGTCTTGAGGATGATCTTCTTGTGAAGTATCTTACTAGGGTTCTCTGCATTTCCTGAATTTGAATGTTGGCCTCTCTAGCTAGGTTGGGGAAGTTCTCATGGATGGTATCCTGAAATACGTTTTCCGAGTTGCTTACACTCTCCCCATCTCTTTCAGGGATACCAGTGAGTCATAGATTTGGTCTCTTCACATAATCCCATATTTCTCAGAGGTTTTATTTGTTCCTTTTCATTCTTTTTTGTCTATTCTTGTCTGACTGTCTTATTTCAGAAAGCAGTCTTCAAGCTCTGAAATTCTTTCCTCCACTTGGTCTGTTCTGCTGTTAGTTCTTGTGATTGCATTATGAAATTCTTGTAGTGTGTAACCAATTCTGTCAGATTGGTTACATTCTTTTCTATACTGGTTATTTTGTCTTGTCAGCTCCTGCATTGTTTTATTGTGATTCTTAGCTTCCTTGGATTGGGTTTTAGTGTACTGCGTCTCAGTGATTCTTGTTCCTGTCCATATACTGAATTCTATTTCTGTCACTTCAGCCATCTCGGCTTAATTCAGAAAGCTTGCAGGGGAGGTGTTGCAGTTGTTTGGAGGAAGGAAGGCACTTTGGCTTTTTGAATTGTCAGAGTTCTTTTGTTGGTCCTTTTTCATCTTTATGGGCTGATGTTTCTTCAATCTTTGAAGTTGCTCACCTTTGGATAGTTTTTTTTTTTTTCTTTTATCCTATTTGATGGCCTAGAGGAGGGGTTCCCAACCCCTGGGCCATGGACTAGTACCAGTCTATGGCCTGTTGGGAACTGGGCTGCACAGCAGGAGGTGAGTAGTGGGCAGGCAGGCGAGTGAGCATTACTACCTGAAATCCGCCTCCTGTCAGATCAGTGGTGGCATTAGATTCTCACAGGAGCACAAATGCTATTGTGTACTGCTCATGCAAGGGATGTAACTTGTATGCTCCTTATGAGAATCTAATGCCTTCTCTCAACTTGTGTAGAAAAATTGTCTTCCATGAAATTGGTTCCTGGTGCCATAAAGATTGGGGACTGCTGACCTAGAGGACTTGATTGTGGTATAAGGTGGATTCAGCCAACTGACTTCATTTCTGGAAGATTTTAGGGGGCCAGTGCTCAGCTCCCAACTCCTGGACTGTGTGCTCTAACTCTGGAGGACTTTTATCAGCCCTGACTTTGTTCTCTGGCTCCTCGGGGATAGGAATCCACTGTGCTGTGGCGGTGGGGGCGCTCCAAGGTGCTGGGTGGTGTTGGCCAAAGTGTTTTGTAGTGTGGTGACAGTGATATCCATCCTCATTTGCTTGTGCCTTATTTGCATGTGCCTCATTTGCATATGCCAGCAGCAGCGGCTGTGGCAGTGTGGTGGAGTGTATGCTCATTGGTTGCGGCAGTGTGCTAGTGGGTCCCGGGGTGCCTGCCTCCAAGCCAGTGTTCACCTCAGTGGCAGAGGCAACCCATTCGTGGGGATGCGGGGGCCCCCTGCTGGCAACTGTGCATGCCGTCATGCTGGTGGTGGTGTTGGCACAGGGGTGGGGCACTGGCAGGCACAAGTCTGTGTGCACTGTGTGCACTGCCATCAGGGGTGGTTACTCAGGGCAGCAGGGAGTCTGCTGTTTTCTGCCTGGTTTCACTCCCACAGCAGTGTTGGTACAAAGGCAGGGTGCTGGTGGGGGTGGAGTTGGATGGCTCTGTGCCTGCCGAGGCTCCCATTGAAATATGGTTGGTGGAGGATGGGGGATGGACTGCACTTTGGAGGCAGCAGTGGCTGGGTAGGGTGCATGCACATGGGCAGCTGATGGAGCAAGGAAGCCAAAACTTGCCCATGCACACACTGCCAGCAAAGCGATGTGGGGGGTTGTCATGATTGGAGGTGGTGTGTGGGAGCTACAGTGTGGGGAGGAAGCAGGTAGGCTGGTGCGTGGCTATGAGAGCTGCCCTGCTGGAGCTCTCCACCAGTCAAGCACTGTTGCTAGCATAGGAGCTAAGTTGTGGGCCCCTAGGGCGCTCAAGGCTTCTGTGCAAGCAGAAGTGGCCAGGCTAGGACCCAGGGAGAGGCCAGCAGACCAAGGGACACAGGGGTTGGGCTGGCCTTGTCTGATGGGCAAGACTGCCCTGCAGAGTTGAGGTCCAACAGTACCTCTAGGGCTAAAATCTCCTATGGGAGCAAGTCAAGCCTAGGGGGATGGGCAACCCTGGCTGTGCCCTATTACAGATGCTCCTTCACCAAACCCTCTGAGCTCCACATCAGCTGGCTTACTGCCCCTACCACTTCTCTAAGCAGCTCTCCCTGCCAACTCGAGTGTCCATTGTGGTGGAGGAGTCTCCTCTTGCCAGGATTCCAGAGGTCAGTGGTGAGAGTGGGTGGGTTTCTCCTTGCCAGTTCAACTCACCCAGTCTCCTGGAATCCTTGGAGGCCTGGAATGATTACTGGTGTGCGGTAGGTAGCCCCGTGCTGGGTTTCCAGCTTCCTCCACCTTCATCCCAGCTTCTGTGTCTTCCCTCTTTCTGCTCTCAGTACTTTTCCTCTGAAGATCTGTTAGGCATGTGCCAGTCATTTCAATCCCTTCGTGGCATCTGTTCTATCTGGCTGCTCTAGTCGGCCATCTTGCCCTCTCTCTTATCCTATTCCTAATCAAACTCTTACCCATTAGTGTTAGTATTCAGTATGGTTTTGTTTTTATTTTTTATTTTAGACTTGTTAAGTGCACTATTGAGAAAGGGGGAAAGAATAGAACTAGGAGTTCAATCTGTTACTGACTGTGAACAATCGATTGAGATAACTCACTACCAGCCTGGTTTTGTTTTTTATTTGAAGCATAGATAGATTCGTTTGTATTTATATTTCACACTATAAAATCCTCCCATCCTGTTGAATTAATTAATTAATTAAATGTTAATGTTGTTCCCCATGTGAGAACTATTTTTTTTTTTTCGAGACGGAGTCTTGCTCTGTCATCCAGGCTGGAGTGCAGTGGTGCGATCTCGGCTCACTGCGACTTCCACCTCCCAGGTTCAAGCAATTCTCCTGCCTCAGCCTCCTGAGTAGCTGGAATTACAGGCACATGCCACCACGCCCGACTAATTTTTGTATTTTTGGTAGACACGTGGTTTCACCATGTTGGTCAGGCTGGTCTCAAACTCCTGACCTTGTGATCCGCCCGCCTTGGCCTCCCAAAGTGCTGGGATTACAGGCGTGAGCCACTGCGCCCGGCCTACAAGAACTATTTTTAAAATTATGTCTTCCCCATCCTGATTATCCTATTCCCAACTCTGTCCTTTCCACCTTGTTCCACCCAACTCCTGAATGTAACCAGTTTTGTTATTCTGGATTTCTTCTTCTTCCTTTTTTTTTTTTTAAACAGATTTATTGAGGTATAACTCATGTACTAAACAGTTTGCCCTTTTAAAGTGTACAATTCAGTGGTTTTTAATGTATTTCTAGAGTTGTGCAACCATAGTCACTATCTAATTTTGGAACATTTTTGTGAAAAAATCCCGTACCTGTTAGCAGTCACTCCGTATTCCTCTGGAACTCCCCTCCCCACTCAACCCCCAGGTAACCACTAATCTAATTTCTGTTCTCTCTAGATTTGCCTATTCCAGATACTATATGGTCTTTTGTGACTGGCTTCTTTCACTTAGCATTATGGTTTCAAGGTTCATCCATGTGTAACAAATGTCAATACTTCATTCCTTTTTATTGCTGAATAATCTATTATATGGATATGTTACATTTTACCCATTCATCAGTTGATGAACATTTGGGCTGTTTCCACTTTTCTGCTATTATGAATAATGCTGCTATGAACATTTGTGTCTTGGGTATGTTACAGATCACAGGCTCTTTGGCTCCCTGTATAATAAAAATTAACATAGGGCCAAGTAGATATCCCAGACAAGGCTGTTATTTTGGGGCTTGCACTTGAGCGCAAGGGAGACAGCAGAGGTGCAAGGACTCTTTAGCTGAGTCTGTGAAACAGCTGGTAGGGAATTTTTTGTTAGACAAAGTGCACGATTGACATCAGGGGTGAGACATGCAGACTGGGCTGGGAAAAGCCTGTGAAGGGTAGGGTATGAGGGTCAGCATATCTGGTTGTGATATTTATCTTAAATATTGGACACCCTAGTAGTCTGGCCAGAGGCAACAAGGCTATAAGTTAATTGTTAAGCATTCTTTCCTGAAGTGGGACACTCCACAACCTCGGTTTGATATTTAGATTTCCTAAGGCCAGTTCCTGGAATTCTTTAAGTAAAAGGCATGGTTTAAACATTACGAAGAAGGAGCTGTGTCCCATTCCTATTCTATCTCAGGTACATACCTGGAAGTGGAATGCTGGACCATGTAGGAACTAACTTTTTGAAGAACTGTCAAACTGTTTACCAAAGTGGCCGCATCATTTCACATTCCCACCAGCAATGTATGAAGGTTCCAGTTTCTTCATTTCCTCACCAACACATCTGATTGTCTTTTTTATTTTAGCCATTTAAGTACATGTAAAGTGTTATATCATTGTGGTTTTTGACTTGCGTTTCTCTAATTGCTGAACCATGTTGAGCCACAATATTTTCATATGCTTATAGACCATTTACATGTCTTTTTTGGAGAAATGTGTATTGTAATCATTTGCCCATTTTTAATTGGATCGTTTCCTTTTAGTGTTGTAAGAATTCTTTATATATTTTGGATATAAGACACTTATCAGGTATGTGATTTGCAAATAGTTTCTCTCATGTTGTAAGCTATTTACTTTCTTGGTGGTGTTTTTAAAAAAGGGCTTAATTTTCATAAAATGTAGTGTGTCTATTAATACATTAATAATATGTCTATTTTTTATTTTGTTACTTGTACTTTTGGTGTTGTGCCTTCTTAGACTTTGCCTAACCCAAAGTCACAAAGATTTACTACTTCTATTTTTTATAAGAGTTTTATAATTTTAACTCTTACATATAGTAAGAGTAAGTCTATAATCTATTTTGAGTTAATTTTTGTGTATGGTGTAAGGAAGGTGTCTACTTTTATTCTTTTGTATGTGAGTATTTACTTCTAGCACCATTTGTCTAGTCTGGTTATTTTCTTCCTTTGTTTCTTTTTGCATGAACGTGCAGATATATGCACTTCTAAAAAATTTATTTATTTTACCTGTGCAGAAGACGTAAGACAATACAATCAGTACTTTCACTTTACTTTTTCACTTAATATATTCTGGAAATCATTCCATATCAGTTCATAGAGTTTGTCCTTATTCTTTTTTTTTTTCCTCAACAGCTACAAAGTACTATCTTTGTGATACACTATAGTTTATCCAACTATTCTCTTATATGTGGTCATTTAGATTTTGCACATATAATATTTTATAATATAATATAATATTTATAATATAATATAATATATATAATATATATAATAATAAATATAATATAATATAATAATAAATATCATATTTATTATATATAATAAATATAATAATAATAATATAATATAATAATAATAAATATAATAATAAATATATAATATATAAATATATAAAAATATATATAAATATATAAATATATAATAAATATAATAAAATAAATAAATATAATATATATAATATATATTATATATAATATATAATATAATATAATAAATAAATATAATAATAATATATATAATAATAAATATAATAATAAATAAAATAAAATAAAATAAAATAATATAATATAATATAATATTTTGCACCTATAATACTTTAATGAATAGCCTTTATGTTTGGGAGTAAAGTCCTAGAAATGGAATTGCTGTGTCAAAAGGTAAACACATATGTGGTCTTGTTAGATATTGCCAAATTCCTCTCCATAAGGGTTTTACCAATTTACCTTCCCACCAGAAATATATGAGAGTGCCTGTTTCCCCACAGCCTCGAGTACCAAATTTGTTGTCCTGAGGTTTTTGCCAAAGTGAGAGGTGAGAAATGGTATCTTGGGGTAGTTTTAATATGTACAGACATACCTCAGAGATATTGTGATCTTAGTTCCAAACCACTGTAATAAAGCAAATATTGCTATAGAGAGAGTCACACAAATTCTTTGTTTTCTTAGTGCATATAAAAGTTGTGTTATTTATTGACTACTGTTCTATCTAGTTTTTGGTCTTTCTCCTTTAACTTTAAAACAATTAATAGACTTTATGGTTTTGAGCAGTTATGAATTTACAGAAAAATTAAGTAGAGTACAGACAATTTTCATATACCCCTCATCTGCCCCTATTTCCCCCCACTTATTGATATCTTACATTAATAATGACATGATTCCACCGTTATAGTATCATACAGAATATTTTCATGGCTCTGAAAATCCTCTGAAATCTCTCCCTCACTCCCCCTCTCCCTCCCACTGAATTTCTGGCAACTACTAATCTTTTTACTGTCACCATAGTTTTGCCTTTTCCAGAATGTTATGTTGTTGGAATCATACATTAGGTAGACTTTTTAGATTGGCTTCTTTCAGTCATCAATATGCATTGAAGTTTCCTCCATGTCTTGTGGCTTGATAGCTTATTTCTTTTCCATGAGTAAATAATATTCCATTGTCTGGATGTGCCACAGTTTATCCATTTACCTGTTGAAGGACATCTTAGTTGCTTCTAAGTTTTGACAATTATGAATAAAGCTGCTCTAAACATCTTTTTCTTTTTTTTTAGAGAGAGAGAGAGAGACAGAGACAGAGAGAGATAGACAAAGATACACAAAGAGAGAAGGACAGAGAGAGACAGACAGACAGACAGAGATACACAAAGACAAGATACACAAAGATACACAAAGAGAGAAAGAAAGAGAGAGACAGACAAAGAGACAGACAGAGAAAGACAGAGATGGACAGAGACAGAGAGAAAAAGAAAGAGAGAAACAGAGAGACGGAGAGAGAGAGACAGACAGGCAGACAGGCAGGCAGAGAAAGAGTAAGACAGAAGACAGACACAGTGAGAGAGACAGGTAGAGAGAGAGACAGAGATAGAAAGACAGAGAGAAAGATACTTGTGGGGAGTTTGATTGATACTGCATTGAGTCTATAGATCAAATTGGGAAGAACTGCATCTTGGTAATATTGAGTCTTTCCATCCATGTACAGATATCTCTCAATTTATTTGGATCTTCTTGGATTTTTGTAATTTTTTTCCCATAGATCTTGTATATATTTATTGGATTTATACCTAAGTATTTCATTTTTTTGGTGCTAATATAAATGGTATTCCTGTTTTTAAATTCCAATTCCAATTGGTAAATTCCAATTGTTCATTGCTGATGTATAAAAGGAATTGACTTTTATATATTAACCTTGTATCCTGCAATCTTGCTATGATTGCTTATGTATTTTAGGAGTTTTGTTGATTTTTTGGGACTTTCTGCATAGACAATCCTATCACACGCAAACAAATACAGTTTTATTTCTTCCTTTCCAACCTATATACCTTTTCTTTTTCTTGTCTTATTGCATTAGCTAGGACTTCCAGAATGATTTGACTAGGAGTGGTGAGAGCAGACATCCTTGCCTTATTCCTTGGCAGGAAGGCATCTAGTTTTTCACTGTTAAGTATAACGTTATCCTTAGGTTTTTTGGTAGACGTTCTTTATCAAGTTGAGGAAGTTCCCCCTTTTTTCCTAGTTGTCTGAGAGTTTTTATCATGAATGGCATTGGATTTTGTCAAATACTCCATCTAATGATATAATCATATAGCTTTTCTTCTTTAGCCTGTTGATATGATGGATTACAATGATTTTTATAATAATTGGTTTTTACAGTAATTGGTTTTTAAATGTCGAACCAACCTTGCATACATAGAATCCAATTTGATCATGTTGTATAATTCTTTTTAACCATTGTTGGATTTGATTTGCTATGTTGATCTGACTTTCTGACTATATAATTTTCCTTCTTTTGAATAATTTTTTACAAAACAGTTGTCATAAGGGAAGTCTATTGGTGATAAATTTTTTTAACTTTTGTTTGAGAAAGTCTGTTTCTCACTTAAGAAGGACAGTTTCACTGGATACAGAATTCTAGGTTGGTACATTTCCACTCCCATTATTATTTTATTTCACTCTCTTCCTGCTTACAAGTGTGGGGACCCCACACTTTTGTGAGTTTTACCTAATTTACATGATATTTGAAAAGACTGATGTTATTGTTGCTTTATAGGTACGGTGTTTTTTCCTCTGGCTTCTTTCAATATTTTCCTTTGTGTTTGATTTTCTGTAGTGTGACTATGATATGCCTACATGTAGATTTTTTTGTATCTATCCTGCTTAGTGTTCTCTGAGTTTCCTAGATCTGTGGTTTGGTGTCTATTAATTTTTGGGAATTCTCAGACACTGTTGCACTGTTGCTTCAAATATTTCTTCTATGCCTTTCTCTTTTTCTTTTTCTTTTGGTATTCCCATTATGTGTATTTATGTCTGATACGGTTTGGATCTGTGTCCCCACCCAAATCTCGTGTTCAGTTGTAATCCCCAATTTGGAGGTGGGGCCTGATAGGAGGTGATTGAATTGTGGGGACAATTTCTAATGGTTTAGCACCATCCCTCTAGTGCTGTTCTCGTGATAAGAGTTCTCATGAGATCTAGTTGTTTAAAATGTGTAACACCTTCCCTTGCTCTCTCTTCCTTCTCCTCTGGCCATGTAAAACGTGCCAGCTTCCCCCTCACCTTTTGCCATGAATTAAAGTTTCCTGAGGCCTCCCCGAAAGCTGTCATGCTTCCTGTAAAGCCTGTGGAACCATGCGCCAATTAAACCTCTTTTCTTTATAAATTACCCAGTTTCAAATATTTATAGCAGTAGGGAACAGACTAATTCAATACTTTTTGTAATTGTCTCACAGTTTTTGGATATTCTGTTCTTTTTCTTTTTTTCCCAATTCTTCTATTTCCACTTCAGTTTTGGAATTTTCTACTGACATTTTCTCAAGTTAACTTATTTCCTTGACTATCATCAGTCTGTTGATGAGCCTATCAAAGGCATTCATCATTTCTATTAGTGTTTTTGATTTCTTGCGTTTCCTTTTGATTTTTTAAGAGTTTTCATTTCTCTGCTTCCAGTAACACCCTTAGCATATCAATCATAGTTGTTCTAAATTTCAGTTCTGATCATTTCATTATCTCTGCTCTGAGTTTGATTATGATGCTTGTTCTGTCTCTTAAAATGATTTGTCTTTTGCTCTACCTTGTAATTTTTTGTTGAAAGCTGGAAATGATGTACTGGGTATGTGAAATTGAGATAAAATAGCCCTTTTTAGTAAAAGGTTTTCTCTTTATCTGGATAGGAGTTGGGCTCTGTTTACTGTTTACCGCAGCTATAGCTATAGGTGTCAGAGGCTAAAATATTCTCTGTACCTTTTTTTGTTTTTTAAATCTCCTCTGTTGTCTTGTAGTTTCTCTAGAGATTTCTTCCTAACTGAGGTCTGAGTTGGATAGTTCTTTCAGTTGTATTTCCCTGTTATTATATGGGAGCCCTACTGATATGGTGGTAAGGTGTGGAGGAATGGGAAGTATTCTATAGTCCTATAATCAGGCTTTTAGTGATTGTGTTTTTTGGCTTTACCCTCCCCAGTGCTCCTCAATTTTTTCCCCTTTAGGTGAGAAAGGAAGTCTAGAGGGTACTGGAGTTGGTTATTTCACTTCTCTCAGTTCATTTAGTTTCTAGTAAAATAGTTTCTCTTGAGGGTAGGCCTTATTAAGAGGCTTGGGAAAGTATTTCAAAGTGGCTACTTTTTCTCTTCTTTGCCGGAGGGCATTTTTATCCAGTCTGCACTGTGAGAGAACCTGGTAGGGCTCCTGGAGGTAAAACTCACAAAAATGTGTGGCCTCCCAAGACTGATCTTCCTGGGAGTTTTTAACTCTCAGACTTGTCCACATCCAACCTCTAGTAATTGGTCAATTACAATTTAGGCTTTCTTACTCTGGTACTGTGGAGCATACTGGTTCCTGGACTGCTTCTCCTGTAAGTTGTGATTCTCTTTGTCTGCCTTTCACTCCAGTTTTGGGGGTAGTGATTTGCCCTGTGACCTCAATTCTCTGAGGAATCTAAGAAGAGTTGATTTTCAGTTTGTTTGTTTTTTTATGTTGTGGGGCTATATAGAAGTGACAGCTTCCAGGCTCCTGACATGCTTGACTGGAAAGTAGAAGTCTTTTTGTCTTTCCTGTACCAGTGTCTTATATTGCAAATAGTTTTTCCCATTTTCTTAATGTATAACTTTGTTTATGTTGTTTTTCAGTATGCCTTTTTTTTTGAATATAGTTTATCAATATTACATCTTGATTTTGAGACATAGTGAAAGTATTTCTCTATCCAGGCTTATAGAAATTCACTCATGTTTTCTTCTAGTACTTATATGGTTTCCTTTTTTAAAAAAAACATTTTAACATTTCCATCTTGGATCCATTTTGAGTTTATTCTTATGTAAGGTGTGTGGCATGTGTCTTTTTTTTTTTTTTGAGATGTTTCAAATATATATATATAATTCATTGTAGATTGTTTCACAAGCATGTAAGCAACCAAATCTTTTGATTAGTATTAGCATGGTATATTTGTCTACATCTACTTACTTTTAATCTATACTTGTCTTTATATTTAAAGTAGGTTTCTTATGGAAAACATACAATTGGGTCTTGTTTTTTGAACCTCTGACAATCTTTTAATTGGTGCATTTAGACCACTGACATTCAAAGTGGTTATTGGTGTAGTTAATGTCTACCTTATTTGTTACTGTTCTCTATTTGTTGCCTTTGTTCTTTGTACCTTTTTTCCACTCTTTTTCTGTCTTTTGTGTATGTGTGCGTGCATGTGTGTGTTTTAATAGAGACAGGGTCTCGTTATGTTGCCAAGGCTGGTCTTGAACTCCTGGGTTTAAACGATCCTCCCACCTTGGCTTCCAAAAGTGCTGCGCTTACAGGCGTGAGCCACTGTGCATGGCCCTTCCATGGGTTTCTGTTTTTTTTGAGATGGAGGTCTCACTCTGTCACCCAGGCTGGAGTGCAGTGGCGCGATCACGGCACACTGCAGCCTCAACCACCTGGGCTCAAGCAGTCGTCCCACCTCAGCCTCTCAAGTAGCTGGAACCACAGGCATGCACCACCATGCCTGGCTTAAATTATTTGTAGAGACGAGGGCTCACTGTGTTGCTCAGGCTGGCCTCAAACCCCTGGGATCAAGTGATCCTCCTGCTTCCACCTTCTAAAGTGCTGGGATTACAGGAGTGAACCACCATTCCTGGCCCCTTTTGTGGTTTTAATTGAGCATTTTATATGATTCCATTTTCTCTCCTTTCTTGGCTTATCAGTTATACTTCCATTTTTTTTTTTAACTTTTTTTTTGTGGTTGCGTTAGAGTTTACAATATACATTTAAAACTAATCCAGGTCCACTTTCAAGTAACACTGTACCTTTCTACAGGTTGTGTGAGTATTTTATAATAACAAAATAATCCTAATTCTTCTCTCCTGTCACTTGTATCATTGCTGTCATTCATTTCACTTATATATAAGCATATATGTATATATACACACTATGTATATTAACAAAGGATATATAATCAAATACATTGTTGCTATTTATTATTTTAAATAAACTGTTATCTGTTAGATCAATTAGGTATGAGACAAATACAAGTTTTCCTTTTACCTTCATTTATTTATCCTTTGGTACTCTTCCTTATGTAGATTCGAGTTTCTGACCTATGTTACTTTCCTTCTGTCTAAAGAGCTCTTTTTAACATTTCTGGCAGGGCATACCTACTGGCAACAAAATCCAATTTTTGTTTGTCTGAGAAAGTCTTTATTTTTCTTTGACTTTTGAAGGATAATTTCAAAGGGTACAGAATTCTAGGTTGGTGGGTTTTTTTTCTCTCAACACTAAAGATTTTACTCCACTCTCTTCTTGTTTGCATGGTTTCTGAGAAGTTGGAAGTAATTATTGTTTCTCTATAGGTAAGGTATTTATTTCCTCTGGCTTTTTTCAGGATTTTTTTATCTTTGATTTTCTGTAGTTTGAAATGGATATGCCTAAGTGTAGGTTTTTTGGCCTTTATCCTGCTTGGTGTTCTCTGAGGTTCCTAGATCTGTGGTTTGGTGTCTGACTTTAATTTGGAGAAATTCTCAGTCATTATTGTTTCAAATATTTCTTCTGTTCCCTTTTCTTTTTCCTCTGCTTCTGGTATTTCTATTATGTGTAGTGACATCTTTTGTAGTTGTTCCGCAGTCTTTGGATATTCTATTCTGTTTTTTTTTTCAGTCTTTGTTCTCTTTGCCTTTTTTTTTTTTTTTTTTTTGAGACAGAGTCTTGTTCTGTTGCCCAGGCTGGAGTACAGTGGTGCGTTCTTGGCTCACTGCAACTTCTGCCTCCTGGGTTCAAGGAATTCTGCCTCAGCCTCCTGAGTAGCTGGGATTAGAGGTGTGCACCACCATACCCGGCTAATTTTTGTGTTTTTAGTAGAGATGGGGTTTTGCCATGTTGGCCAGGCTGGTCTCGAACTCCTGACCTCAAGTGATCCACCTGCCTTGGCCTCGCAAAGCGCTGGGATTATAGGCATGAGCCACTGTGCCCAGCCCCTCTTTGATTTTTAATTTTGGAAATTTCTATTGTGATATACCCAAGCTCAGAGATTTTTCTTCCTCAGCTATTTACAGTCTACCAATAAACCTATCAAGATCATTCTTCATTTCCATCGTAGTGTTTTTGATCTCTAGCATTTTATTTTGTTTTATTTTGGTTGGTTCTTTCTTAGTATTTCCATCTCTCTGCTTACTTTGCCCATCTGTTCTTGCATGCCATATACTTTATCCATTAGAGCCCTTAGTATATTAATTATAGCTGTTTAAATTACTGGTCTAAGTATTCCAGTATCCCTGCCATATCTGAATGTGGTTTTGATGCTTGCTCTGTCTCTTCAAACTCTGTTTTTTGCCTTTTATTATGCCTTGTAATATTTTTCTTGATAGCCAGATGTAATGTACTGGGTAAAAGGAACTGCTGTAGTAGGCCTTTAGTGATTCAGTAAGGACTGGGTTTGGGGGAACATTCTATAGTCCTATGATTAAGTCTCAGTCTTTTAGCGAGCCTGTGCCTCTGGACTGTGAACTGTAGAAGTGCTTTGTTTAGCGCTTAGGTGGGGCAGGATGGCTAGAATGGGCTGGAGTTGGATATTTTCCTTTTCCCAGGTCAGTTAGGCTCTGACAAAACCCCAGCAGGCTAGGTTCTAGTTAAACAGTTTCTCTTGTCTTAATGAGTCAGGCCTCGTTAAGAAAAGAATGCTCTGGGATAATTCAAAATGGTTTATTTCCCCCTTTCCTTGTTGGGATCATGAGGGGATTTTTCTCTGTTGTTCACTGTGAGAATGTGGTAAAGCTACAGGAGGTAAAACTCCCAAAAATGTGCTTCCCCTTTCCCCCGCGACTGGGTCCCCCTGGAGTTTTTATCTCTCAGACTTGTCCATACTGAGCCTTCAGTAGTTGATCAATTACAGTTCAGCTTTCCCTACCCAAGTACTGGTTCCCACAGAGGTTTCAGCTCTGGTAAGTTGTGATTCTTTGTATTCACCTGCTAATCTCTCTAAATTTGGGGGCAGTGGTTTGCCCTGCGACCTCATTTCTGTTATGGATCTAAGAAGAGTTGTTGATATTTCAGCTTGTTCAGCTTTTTACTTGTTAGGATGGAGCGGCAAACTGGAAGACTGTGTTTAACTTTTGAGGAACTGCCAGACTATTTTTCGTAGCAGTCCCACCAGCAATGTATGAGGGTTCCAGTTTCATCATATCCTTGTCAGCCCTTGTTATTGTCTGTCTTTAAAAAAAAAGAGTTTTTTTTTAGAGGCAGGGTCTTGCTTTGTCAGCCAGGCTAGAGTGCAGTGGTGTGATCATAGCCCACTGTAACCTTAAACTCCTGGGCTTAAATGATTCTTCCCTCTTAGCCTCCCAAGTAGCTAGGACTACAGGGTCATGCCATCATGTCCGGCTAATTTTTTAATTTTTTTGTAGAGACAAGGTCTCACTATGTTGTCCAAGCTGGTCTTGAACTCATGGCTTCAAGTGATCTTCCTGCCTTGCCCTCTCAAGTTGTTGGGATTATAGGCACGAGCCACTGTGCCTGGCCTTTGTCTTTTTTTTAGTAGCCTTCCTAATGGGTATGAAGTGGTATTTTATTGTTCAGCAACATACTTTCAACTGTTCTTTTACTATTTTGATTGTAGACTGTATCTCCTAGCTTGTTGATTTGGTAGGTGAGGATTTAGCCCTCCTATCATATCCTCCCTGAAGCATACTTACCCTTCTCTTTTCCTATTCCCTCACTTCCCAGTCAGGTCTATCAGAGTTAGGTCAGAATTCATTGTGACTTAGTAAACATAGTTAGCAGCTGAGCCCTATAGTATTATCACATTAACATTTTTTAAAAATTTCCTTGTGTTAATAATTACTAATTTTGTTTTGTCCTTCCCGCACCTTCCCTTATGACCCTGCAGTGTGTGTATCATTATTATTCTTAAACTTACCTGTTACCTCTCAAAATCCCCCTCAAACAGTTAAACACATTGGTAATTCATCAGTTCCTTTCCTCACCTGGAGGCCACAAGTGTCCTGCTCCACTTTGGAAAGGTCTGTCTCAAAGCATCCAGCATAAATGACATCTTAGGACCTTTTTTCACTGCTGTACTGGGGATAGTCAGATATTTAGCCTTCTGGATTTATCTAAATTTCCTGTATTTCTCTCTTTTAAAATAACCGTTATTTTATTCTAGTTCTGGAAGATTTCCTCAAATTTATATTCCAACTCTGCATTTTTTGCTCACCTAATGAAAAATAATGACATAATTTTCAGAACGCTTTCTTATGTATTAAATATTCCTTTGGTATTTTTCATGAGTGTAATGTCTTTAATACCTCTGAGCATACTGGTGATATTGTCTCGGCTTCCTTCAAGTTCTTTTTCTTCTTTTTAGCCTGTTTTCTGTCATATTGGAGGCTTTCATTAGATGATCTTTGGTTGCCTGTTCGCATTTAAGAGGGAGACTGTACAAAGCTATTTGGAAGCTCTATGCATACACATGGACAGGTTGCTAATGTTTTTGGAGAAGTTACTGAAAGCAAAGCACTCCACTAAGCACTTCATATATCTTAACTATTCGTTACATTGGTCCTGTATTCTTATTTCACAGATGAGGAACATCTTGAGGCTTAGATGATGCAACCAGAAAAAAGTTGTCTTCATGTGATTCTTTTATCTATCATACTGTTTTTCTGCCCTGTTCTCAGTAAATGCTTTTTGAATACCAGGAAATCTCTTGAGACCCTTAAGGTCAGAAACAAGACAGACAAATCTAGTCATCCAAAACACACAATTGCAGTAATTATAGAAGTGTGTTGAGATGAAATTGTGAATATGATTGTTTGGACTGAGGAATGGTCAGATTGATAGATTCTTTTTTTTTTTTTTCTGCTATCTTGAATTCCAGGGAACCGGGTATATAACCTGGGCATACAAATATTTGTTTTAGTGACATGTGAGGCTTCTTCCAATAGGTCTAGAAGAAAAGAGTAAATAATATGCTAAATTAAAGGAATCATTATGGGTGATACTGTAAAACAATAAAGTATGAAGTATTATTTGAGAAGACCAATATTGCACACATATACAGCAGTGATTCATTATAGTGTTGTTTGTCTTACAAATATCCTTATATTAGAAAAATTAGGCCTTGTGTGGTAGTGCATGCCTGTGATTCCAACACTTTGGGAGGCTGAGGCAGGAGGATCACTTGAAGCCTGGAGTTGGAGACCAGCCTGGGCAACATAGCAATCTCTACAAAAAAAATTTAAAATTAGCTGTTGTGGTGGCATGTGCCTGTAGTCCTAGCTACTCAGGAGGCTGAAGCAGGAGGATTGCTTGAGTCCAGGAGTCTGAGGCTGCAGTGGGCTATGATCACTCCCTTGTACTCCAGCCTGGGCTAGAGTGAGAGCCTGTCTCAGAAAAAAAAAAAAAAAAAAGAAAAATTATAAATTCTTTATACTGTTGTTAGTAAGATATTTATTTATTTATTTATTTTGGTGGCCCATCTGAAAGTACACTCTGCTGTAATATGCCAAACTTCAAACTATGTTTCCTCACTTTAAGGTGCTGTTTCTAAATACTGGCATATAGATATTAGAAATACCTGTCAGAACAGTTCATTTGCATTATCAGTTATTTTTAACCAAAAGTAATCACTCTGTTAAAATATTTTTAAACAATAGAATGACACAAAAATATAAGTAAAAAAACAAAGTATTTTTATTTAACTGACAAAGATGTTTTGCATCTTTTATTATTAGAATTGTCCTTTATTTTTACAGAAAAGAAATATATCCTATGTATGTACTTTGTCTTGTATTTGTACAATTTTTTTCCCTATTGAATAATTACTGCAGCTTGCAAAATAACTCTTGTGAGTAAGCATAAAGGAGTATAATTAACTGGAACTGTAGCAGTGGTAGTTTAATAGGAGGCAGAT
Organism: Homo sapiens; assembly: GCF_000001405.40. Lineage (NCBI taxonomy): Eukaryota > Metazoa > Chordata > Mammalia > Primates > Hominidae > Homo > Homo sapiens. The sequence continues at coordinate 62,740,457 of NC_000002.12, forward strand.
GTACCTACTGAAGGATAAAAATAATTACTTGAGAAAAAGTAAAGTTAGAGTATTTCTGTGATAAGACAATCTCCCCCTTTTTTGTTTAAATATTCACAGCATCCTACCATGAAATGTTCGTTTATGGCTAAGAGTCCTTTTCCCTAAAAGAAATAACCTTATTAGTGAAGTGCCTATTCAGTTAAGTTTGGTATTAATGTTTTGAGCTCTTTTTTTCTTATTTTAAGCATATCCTGGATTCTGTGGTGAGACAAATGTGTTGTACTTTTTGTGTTCCAAAGACTTACAGTTCCTTATTTTTAATTTAGGAAAAGCTTGGAGGCTTTCCAAGTTTTGAGGTACAGCTATCTTTTATTTTTTTGACATAGTGATTTCCTACAAATGAAAACTGATAGGACATAAAAAGGATAAATTTGGTCTCAGCACTTTGAAATGTAAGCTTTTACAAGACAGCAACTATTATTGTTATGTGTTTTTTTTAATTTACTGAGTTTTCTAGAACATTGAGGGGTTACTGTAGCAGATACACCCAGAAATCCAAGTTGGTGAACCTAACAAAAGTTTATTTTTTGCTCACTTCTCAATGTAGAGAGGGTGTTCCAGGTCAACTGGCCTTCTGTGTGGTCACTCAGGGGCCCAGGCTACTCTTGTCTTATGACTATGCCCTCCTCTCTGTTCTAGAATCCTGTCCATTTAGATAGTGTGGGGAAATATACTAGTTTATTATTCATTTACTCCAGAAGTGACATAGACCCCTTCTCATGTTCTAGAGGTGAGAAGTATGATGTGACCCCATCTTAATGCCAGCATGGTGGTGGTGGTTGGAAAGGTCTGGGAGTAGGGTGCTTCTTGTAACGCCTCTCGTGATTAACACTGCGCTTTGAACAGGGAGCATAAATCTGATAGTCAGTTTACTGTTCTGCTAAAAGTTATTACTTCCCCTTTCATAATATTGTTCAAAGGTGGTAATATTAGCTACTTCTAGATTGTGAATAGACAGGAGACAAATGTCCTTGCCTCATATTCTTTACCCTATTTCTGAATTTTTCATTTTGCTTTTAAACTACCAAATATTTAACCAATTAGTGTCAGCGTTTTTGTTGTTGTTTCTTTGTTTGTTTTTTAACTGTTGAGATTTTAGTGCAGTCCCTTCATTTGATAAATTAGGGAATAGGCTCAGAGAAAGTAAGAGATATTTCTAAGGTCACTTAGTATGAGAGCTAATTCCCGGTCTAGAATTCTCTTCTGCATACAGTCTGCCCTCCTTATCCGCAGGTTCTGAATCTGTGGATTCAGCTAACTGTGACTTGAAAATATTCAGGGAAAAAAACCAATAGAAATAACAATATAATAACAAAAAATAATATAAACAATACAGCATAACAACTATATAGTATTTACATTGTTGTATTAGGTATAGTAATCTAGAGATGATTTAAACTTAGTCACACACTGCAGAAGAATGTTTTGGTCAACAACAGACCACATACATGAAGGTGGTCCCATGAGATTATAATACTGTATTTTTTACTGCACCTTTTCTATGTTTATATATGTTTAGATACACAAATACTTAACCATTATGTTAAAATTACCTACAGTATTCAATACAGTAACATGCTGTACAGGTTTCTAGCCTAGGAGTGATAGGCTCTACCATATAGTCTAGGTATGTAGTAGGTTGTACTGTCTAGGTTTGTGTAAGTACACTCCATGATGTTTGCACAGAATTGCCTAATGATGCATTTTCTCAGACTATATCTCTATCTATCGTTAAGCAGAGTGTGACTGTATACAAGAGGATGTGTATAGGTTATATGCAAATACTGCATCATTTTATATAAGGGACTTGAACATCCTTAGATTTTGGTATCTGTTGGGGCTCCTGGAACCAATCCCCCACAGATATGGAGAGACAACTGTACTATGTCATCTTTGAAAGGTCTACTTTTATAAATTCATATCTCCTGAATTAATACAAGTTTTGTCCCCCAGATTCCTTTCCTCTTAATAACCTCCTAAGATACTTACCCTGGAGAAATGGGAATTTTAATTGATGTAGAAAAAAATGAGTGGTCTGAAAAGCATTTGTCATATTATTGTTTGGGTCTGGCCAGCCCATACTGGAATGTCATATTGACTTTGAATGCCTGAGAAAGAATGGCCCAGGAATTGAAGGAGCTACCAAAAAAGGAGGGGAGGTTGCCAGAGTCAAGTGGGGCCTATTTAAAAAATTTTGCTCAGATCTTAGGGGAACATTTATGTTAACTTAAGACAAAGAACACTACTCCCCTACTTCTGTTGACTTGGAAAACAAATTAATTTAGTTGTTTGAGGGCTTTGTGATTTCTCTGAAATTTAAACAAAATAATTTATTTAATTCTGTCTGTTCATAATTAATTCCAAACTTAAAAGTGCTGATTTGTATGTATTTATTTATTCTGCTTCTTAATAAGTGTGCAACTGATTTGTTTTTAATAGCTCACTCCCCACATTTAAATACCTCCCACCAGCATAAAGTAATATAAATTCATGGTAGAAAATACAGAAAAGCATAATGACATGTAATTTTACTTCCCAGTAATAAACACAGATAGCATTTTGAGGTATTTCCTCTTGGTTCTTCTCTTATTATATCGTATAGAAATATTAAAATCTATATGAAATAAACTGACCATGATATCCTAAGCATTGTCCTATGTTTGCAAATGTTCTTAGAAAATATTTTTAATGCCTGTGTGATTTTCTAGTAAATAGACATACTGTAATTAGTCCCTCATCTTTTTTTGGGCTTTACATTGAAAGTGTCATTGTAAATTACAGTTTTTACAAATTTTAAATTTAGTAATCTCTGTGGTTGGGCAGGTTCTTTCTGTCACTGTTCATGTTTTTTCCTGAGATATTTATAAATAGTTTCTTTAAGCTAAGGTCTTTTCATCTTCTCTATGTTCTCCAAGGTTGTGCCTGGACTAGGGTAGTTGGTTTAATGGTCTGTCTCCCCACTAGATTGTGAACTTCCAGTGGATCTTTCTTTCATCCTTGTATCTCCATTGCTCAGCATGGTGTCAGGAACATAGTAGGCATTCAGTAAAATATTTGTCGAATGCTTATTATGATTATGGAAAGTGATGGGACTGATTTTCATGTGATAGTTTCGGGTTTTTCTCATGGCTTTTAAAGTTTCACCTCACACATGTGTCATAATCAGAGAGTGGAAAAGAGTAAAGGAGTTAAAATTTAAGCCAGAAATGTTTTTCTTTAAACTTAGTTTTCATACACAGTAGCTCACTTAGTGGTGAAGAGGAGGGCATGCCTTAGTTGCATGCCAGGGAAAGCTCAAGCTAATTGCTTTATAATCTGAATATTGTAGCTCTCCTTTTAGCTTCTCCTCTCTTCTCCACTTCAGTCCTCTGTGCTCTTCCTCACTGCTGTCTCCTGTCCTTTTTCCTAGCCTCTTTCTTCCTTTCCAGAATTTGACGTCAGGAGCACAATATGAGACAAAGCATGCCGTCTTCAGATTTAAGATGTTCCTTTTTAATGGCTTTGGAGATAGGATAGAAGGTGTTAAATCTTTATTTTTAAATGCACAATTTCCTTCCTTGAACAAGCCAACCAAAAGGCCTCAAATTTTCCAATGGAGCCCTTTAGACAGATTTCACAGGAAGTGTGACTGTGCATACATTTTATGTGTATGTCCATAAAATGTTTACATGTAATATATAAAAATGTGTATCATATATAGGGTTACCTACTAACTAAACTGAAGTGATGGGATAGAGATGTTAAATATGTAGTTGTTGAATTCTCTCTGAAACCCTGTCTATCAGGTTTTCTTGACTTTTTTTATAGGAAGTTGTATAATTGTAGGTTTATTGGTAGTTGGAGAAAACGCTCATAACTGTCCTGTCTGTGGTCTCTTGGGAGTATATAAGTAAATATTTAATGGTTCTTTTCTAGTGTAGCATGAATGCTTAAAATATTAATTGTGGACAGCCAGTGATGTGGTTCTTGGTGCCCTTCTATTGAGAAGAATAACCCACAGCAGTTCTTTATTTTAGAACACTGCCTCAGTTTGTTCCCGATAATTAAATAGTCGACTGATTTCTAGTGAAGATATTTAAAATGTTAACATGACTTAAAATCACAAAAATGTTTAGCCATCTTTGGGGGCATTCATAAATAAGTGACTTTTGATCTATTTACATTCTTGGAACATCAGGCATATATACAGCTTAGGAGACCGCCCTTCTTGCTTTTTTATGCTAAAAAGCTTTCATTTTCTGAAGCACTGAGATGCGTTAAGTGGCAGGAGGGTGCTAAGCATTAGAATGAGGCAACAGTTCAGGTGGCACTAGGAGGATGTTGTGTAGGGGACACACTCTCATTGCCATCACAGGTAATGCCTCACTAGACTTTCAAGTCAAACAGTGGTTGTCAGCCTTGGCTGCACATTAGAGTCACCTGTGAAATTTAAAAAACTGCACACCAGACCAATTAAATCAGATTATCCAGGGCTGGAACCTAGGTATCAGTATTTAGAAACGCTTCCCTAGAGTTTTTATTTTAATGTGCAGCAAGAATAAGGATCCCTGCAAAGCTTGGATGAGTTGCAGAGATGATGTATTATATAGCTACTGGCTTCAGTTGGACCTCATCAATTATAATTAACCAATTGGGAGTTCCTGGATGAAACTTAAGGTTTATTCAGTGCCGCATATTCATTGAACCTCAACCTTGTACTAGATTATTAGTTGGTAGGATTACAAAGATAAATAAGACGTGGTTGATAAAATAGTGCAGTCTAGTGTGAGAGACAGAAATAATAAATACTTACAATGCAAGGTGTATAGAGTATTAAAATAGAAAATAGGTGTGTCTAGGTTGTTATTGGGAACACAGGTGTAATTAACTCTGAGGCTTAGAATATGGAATGGGTGGGAGGGGATGGGGCAGGAGATGACATGAGAAATGGTCAGGGTTACACAGAGAAAGTGATAAATTAGGGGTTTACTAGGTAGAAAAATGGAAGAGGAAGTTTTTTTGTGTGTGTGTTTTTTTAAACATTGTAACATTGCAAAGATGTGAAGAAATGAAGAAATATGTGTTCAGGGGTTGGTTATAGAGCAAGATGCCTATGAGATATTTGCAGGTTATACAGCTAGAGAGATAGATCAGAGTCAAGTGGTGAGTGAAATGCCTTACAAGCCGTGTTGAGAAACAAGGGTGTCACAGGGCCAAATGCACATAGGGTCTAGATAGATCATTTTAAGGAGTGAAGCTGGTCAGGTGTGAAGCAGTTGGTAGTGTTGGAGGCTCTCCTAATCTGGACAGCATAGGCCTTGTTTAAAGGCATTTAAATAAGAACTTTTTAAAAGAGTTTAAGTTTAAAATAAAATAGAATACTCTTTCAGTCAAGTAAACCTGTAAAATTCAACCTGCAAGGGCCAGTTGGTGGTACCTTCAATTTAAGAGCCCAGCATAGGATGATAAACAAGGAAAAACTGTAAGATAGCATTTCTATAAAAGTACTGTCGAAATATAATTTCAGAGTTGAAATTGTGCTGGAGCTGTGGAGATGAGAGCATAAGTGAAGAGGTTAGTGCAGTAATCTAGGTAAAATGTTCTGGCAAGCCATCAATGTTTTCAAATGAGGTAGCTTACATTTGTTGGCTACTGTTCTCCTCTTGTTAACTTGCCATCATAGATCATACCTTCTTCCCAACCCCATCTATCATGTTGTTATACCGCACTCCATTCTTACTCACTGGAATTGTCCTAGTGCAGGTTTCTGTGTTGAACAAGGTGTTTTTTTTGTTTTTCTTTTAACGGTTGTTTGTTTTTCCATTGGTATAACTCTCTCTAGATAGCAGTATAGGTTTGTAGGTGGATCGCTGAGTGAGGAGTTTAAGGCTGGAGGCCTCTTATGTGTGTGTATATATATATATGTATTTAATTAAATGAAATAGGAGGAAAGGTTATCTGCTGAAAGCACGGGATTCCAGTGTAAAATGAACAGGACATAGAAAGTGGTGAAGGTCAACAAGATGAGTATGACTTTCATTTCTTGGTTAAGAAGCTTTTATCTAAGATTTTTTAAAATGAAAATTTAAGTAAAATAAGTGATAATCATAATCTTGATGTTTTTCATAAGAACAAAAGAGAACTTAGTTATATTAGGTTGATGCAGAAGTAATTGCGGTTTTAGTCGTTAAAAGGAATGGGAAAAACCACAGTTACTTTTGCACGAACCTAATTTTACCTGAAAATGTATTATTTTTGTTTGACTTTATATTAGTGGAAGATAGAGAAGAGAAATCTGAGATTAGAAGACCTGTATTTCAGTCTTGGTTCTGCCAGAGCTTTTGATTATTTAACTTAATAGTCTTTTAAGCTTAACTAAAATAGGGATAATAGTATATACCTTGCCTATTTTTTCAGTACCGTATTGTTTTTAATGAAGATTGAGATGATTGGCTATAATAATGTTTTAAAAACCACAAGCATTGTTCATGAGATACAGAGATGCAAAAGTAGTGAATTCATAGATTTAAATTATTTTGCAAGTGCCCTTTTTATGCTTGTTTACTTCACATTAAAGGGAATAATGTGTTAGAAGTATGGTGTTAATTTATGGAGAAGATATGTGTGTGCTTTTTTTCTTTTTAAAATAGACCAGTTCTAAATATTTTATTTTACTTGGTTTGTCCCTGTGATTTAACTTGCTAAAGTATTGTTGGAAAAGGACATGGAGGAAATATTAGTTATGCAAATTAGGTCACATCTGTAGTTAACATCTACTATATTTGATAGAGCTTTATTGTAACAGTAGCTGCTTTATGTAGCCTAAAGCAGATGACATTTTTGCCCTTTTAAAGGCGCTAAAATGAAACTTTATTTATTTAAGATAAATTATGTTTAACTTTTTTTTTGTTTGGCAGGCAACCAGATAAACTGGTGGTAGTTTGGACCAGAAGAAGCCGAAGGAAGTCTTCTAAGGTTAGTGTATTTTCTAAATTTCTTACCTAATTGTTGAATACAAATTAGCAAACTGCTCTGGTTCCAGTGTAGAATATTTTAAAATATTACTTGATGTTTTGTTTTTTTTTCTTGATTGTCTACTGAAAATGGATTGATCAGATGCTATAATCTTTTAACTGCTTGTTCTCAAAACGGGAGCCAGATACCTGAGTTTTGGTCTTGGATTTGGTAATTACTATGGTTTGAAAAAAATCAGGTGTTGCCAATGTAATAGAATAGGTTGGTGCAAAAGTAATTGCGGTTTTGCCTTAAAAGTAATAGCAAAAACTGCAGTTACTTTTGCACCAACCTAATATAAGGAGGTGGGGGGCCTTTAAGAAGTGATTAGGGTAAGGACTTCTCCCTTGTGAATTCAATTAGGCATCCTTATAAAAGGACTTGATAGAGGGAGTTTGTTTCCTTTTTGCCCTCTGCCTTCTGCCACATGAGGATGCACTAAGAAGGCCCTCACCAGATGCCGATGCCTTGATCTTGAACTTCTAGCCCTTAGAACTGTGAGAAAATAGATTTCTGCTCTTTATTTATTACTCAGTCTGCGGCATGTTGTTACACCAACACAAATGGACTGAGACAGTAGCCTTGAATAACATAATAGTTAAGTTACTTCTCTGTACTACAGTGTTAAGAATTAATGATTAAACAGGTACCACTTACAAAATTGTACCTAAGATTAATTTATTTAGATTACAAGATGACGAAGTTAGGGCACACTTAAGAAGTTACGAGTTATCTGAGTCTGTTGCTGGGGTGCAGAAGAGGAGTTGGATTTTTCAAAGATTTTAATTTCTTTTGGTACTGATAATTTTGTTTGTGGGGAGTGGAACCGAATTTTATAATATTCAATAACAGTTCTACAGATATTTAAAAAATTCTATCCTGGCCAGATTCTATCCTTACGCCTGTAATCCTGGCACTTTGGGAGGCCAAGGCAGGAGGATCGCTTGAGGCTAGGAATTTAAGACCAGCCTGGGAAACATAGTGAGACCCCATATCTACAAAAACAAAAACAAAAACAAAATTAGCCAAGTGTGGTGATGCACCTGTAGTCCCAGCTACTGAAGAGGTTGAGATGAGAGGATTGCTTGAGCCCAGGAGTTTGAAGCTTTATTGAGCTAAGATTGTGCCACTGCCCTCCAGCCTGGGTGACAGAGTGAGACTGTCTCTAAAAACAAAATTCTGTTCTAAAATAAATGTGACTATATTTTTTATTAGTATACAATGACCACAAGAATGTTTATTGAATGTTGGTTTTTCTACAAGTAGACCTGTATAAAGAAAACTTTATTAGTTTTAATTGAAATCCTACAATTTTCTGTATTTAAAATTTTTTATTTAGGGCCTCTTTTCAAGTCTTTTATTTTTATTGAGCTAAAACTTACATATGTGTAATACACAGATCTTAATTTTATAATTCAGTAAGATTTGATCAATATGTATACTTGTATAATTACCACTTCTGTAAAGATACAGACTGTTTTAATCACTTTTTTCTTTTTTATTTTATTATACTTTTAAGTTCTAGGGTACATGTGCACAACGTGCAGGTTTGTTACATATGTATACATGTGCCATGTTGGTGTGCTGCACCCATTAACTCGTCATTTATATTAGGTATATCTCCTAATGCTATCCCTTCCCCATCCCCCCACCCCACAACAGGCCCCCTGTGTGTGATGTTCCCCTTCCTGTGTCCAAGTGTTCTCATTGTTCAATTCCCACTTATGAGTGAGAACATGCAGTGTTTGGTTTTTTGTCCTTAAGATAGTTTGCTGAGAGTGATGGTTTCCAGCTTCATCCATGTCCCTTCAAAGGACATGAACTCATCCTTTTTTATGGCCGCATAGTATTCCATGGTGTCTATGTGCCACATTTTCTTAATCCAGTCTATCATTAATGGACATTTGGGTTGGTTCCAAGTCTTTGCTATTGTGAATAGTGCTGCAGTAAACATACATGTGCATGTGTCTTTATAGCAGCATGATTTATAATGCTTTGGGTATATACCCAGTAATGGGATGGCTGGGTCAAATGGTATTTCTAGTTCTAGATCCTTGAGGAATCGCCACACTGACTTCCACAATGGTTGAACTAGTTTACAGTCCTACCAACAGTGTAAAAGTGTTCCTATTTCTCCACATCCTCTCCAGCACCTGTTTCCTGACTTTTTAATGATTGCCATTCTAACTGGTGTGAGATGGTATCTCATTGTGGTTTTGATTTGCATTTCTCTGATGGCCAGTGATGATGAGCATTTTTTCATGTGTCTTTTGGCTGCATAAATGTCTTCTTTTGAGAAGTGTCTGTTCATATCCTTTGCCCACTTGTTGATGGAGTTGTTTGTTTTATTCTTGTAAATTTGTTTGAGTTCTTTGTAGATTCTGGATATTAGCCTTTTGTCAGATAAGTAGGTTGCAAAAATTTTCTTCCATTCTGTAGGTTGTCTGTTCACTCTCATGGTGGTTTCTTTTGCTGTGCAGAAGCTCTTTAGTTTAATTAAGTACCATTTGTCAATTTTGTCTTTTGTTGCCATTGCTTTTGGTGTTTTAGACATGAAGTCCTTGCCCATGCCTGTGTCTTGAATGGTATTGCCTGGGTTTTCTTCTAGGGTTTTTATGGTTTTAGGTCTAACATTTAAGTCTTTAATCCATCTTGAATTAATTTTTATATAAGGTGTAAGGAAGGGATCCAGTTTCAGCTTTCTACCTATGGCTAGCCACTTTTCCCAGCACCAATTATTAAATAGGGAGTCCTTTCCCCATTTCTTGTTTTTGTTAGGTTTGTCGAAGATCTTATGGTTGTAGATGTGTGGTATTATTTCTGAGGGCTCTGTTCTGTTCTATTGATCTATATCTCTGTTTTGGTACCAGTACCATGCTGTTTTGGTTACTGTAGCCTTGTAGTATAGTTTGAAGTCAGGTAGCATGATGCCTCCAGCTTTGTTCTTTTGGCTTAGGATTGTCTTGGCAATGCAGGCTCTTTTTTGGTTCCATATGAACTTTAAAGTAGTTTTTTCCAATTCTGTGAAGAAAGTCATTGGTAGCTTGATGGGATGGCATTGAATCTATAAATTACCTTGGGCAGTATGGCCATTTTCATGATATTCATTATTCCTATCCATGAGCGTGGAATGTTCTTGCATTTGTTTGTGTCCTCTTTTATTTCGCTGAGCAGTGGTTTGTAGTTCTCCTTGAAGAAGTCCTTCACATCCCTTGTAAGTTGGATTCCTAGGTGTTTTATTCTCTTTGAAGCAATTGTGAATGGGAGTTCCCTCATGATTTGGCTCTCTGTTTGTCTGTTATTGGTGTATAAGAATGCTTGTGATTTTTGCGCATTGATTTTGTGTCCTGAGACTTTGCTGAAGTTGCTTATTAGCTTAAGGAGATTTTGGGCTGAGACAAATGGGGTTTTCTAAATATACAATCATGTCATCTGCAAACAGGGACAATTTTACTTCCTCTTTTCCTAATCGAATACCTTTATTTCTTTCTCTTGCCTGATTGCCCTAGCCAGAACTTCCAACACTATGTTGAATAGGAGTGGTGAGAGAGGGCATCCCTGTCTTGTGTGAATTTTGAAAGGGAATGCTTCCAGTTTTTGCCCATTCAGTATGATATTGGCTGTGGGTTTGTCATAAATAGCTTTTATTATTTTGAGATACGTCCCATCAATACCGAATTTATTGAGAGTTTTTAGCATGAAGGGCTGTTGAATTTTGTCGAAGGCCTTTTCTGCATCTATTGAGATAATCATGTGGTTTTTGTCTTTGGTTCTGTTTATATGCTGGATTACATTTATTGATTTTCGTATGTTGAAACAGCCTTGCATTCCAGGGATGAAGCCCACTTGATCATGGTGGATAAGCTTTTTGATGTGCTGCTGGATTTGGTTTGCCAGTATTTTATTGAGGATTTTTGCATGGATGTTCATCAGGGATATTGGTCCAAAATTCTCTTTTTTTGCTGTGTCTGTGCCAGGCTTTGGTATCAGGATGATGCTGGCCTCATAAAGTGAGTTAGGGAGGATTTCCTCTTTTTCTATTGATTGGAATAGTTTCAGAAGGAATAGTACCAGCTCCTCCTTGTACCTCCGGTAGAATTCGGCTGTGAATCCATCTGGTCCTCGACTTTTTTTGGTTGGTAAGCTATTAATTATTGCCTCAATTTCAGAGCCTGTTATTGGTCTATTCAGAGATTCAGCTTCTTCCTGGTTTAGGCTTCGGAGGGTGTATGTGTCCAGGAATTTATGCATTTCTTCTAGATTTTCTAGTTTATTTGTGTAGAGGTGTTTATAGTATTCTCTGATGGTAGTTTGTATTTTTATGGGATCGGTGGTGATATCCCCTTTATCATTTGTATTGTGTCTGTTTCATTCTTCTCTCTTTTCTTCTTTATTAGTCTTGCTAGCGGTCTATCAATTTTGTTGATCTTTTCAAAAAACCAGCTCCTGGATTCATTTTTTTTTTGAAGGGTTTTTTGTGTCTCTATCTCCTTCAGTTCTTCTCTGATCTTAGTTATTTCTTGCCTTCTGCTAGCTTTTGAATGTGTTTGCTCTTGCTTCTCTAGTTCTTTTAATTGTGATGTTAGGGTGTCAGTTTTAGATCTTTCCTGCTTTCTCTTGTGGTATTTAGTGCTAGAAATTTCCCTCTACACACTGCTTTGAATGTGTCCCAGAGATTCTGGTATGTTATGTGTTTGTTCTCATTGGTTTCAAAGAACATCTTTATTTCTGCCTTCATTTCGTTACGTACCCAGTAGCCATTCAGGAGCAGGTTGTTCAGTTTCCATGTAGTTGAGCGGTTTTGAGTGAGGTTCTTAATCCTGAGTTCTAGTTTGATTGCACTGTGGTCTGAGAGACTGTTTTAATTTCTGTTCTTTTACATTTGCTGAGGAGTGCTTTACTTCCAACTGTGTGGTTAATTTTGGAGTAAGTGTGGTGTGGTGCTGAGAAGAATGTATATTCTGTTGATCTGGGGTGGAGAGTTCTATAGATGTCTATTAGGTCTGCTTGGTGCAGAGCTGAGTTCAGTTCCTGGATATCCTTGTTAACTTTCTGTCTCGTTGATCTGTCTAATGTTGACAGTGGGGTGTTGAAGTCTCCCATTATTATTGTGTGGGAGTCTAAGTCTCTTTGTAGGTCTCTAAGGACTTGCTTTATGAATCCGGGTGCTCCTGTACTGGGTGCATATATATTTAAGATAGTTAGCTCTTCTTGTTGAATTGATCCCTTTACCATTATGTAATGGCCTTCTTTGTCTCTTTTGGTCTTTGTTTAAAGTGTGTTTTATCACACTTTGTTTAAAGTGTGTTTTATCAGAGACCTGGATTGCAACCCTTGCCTTTTTTTATTTTCCATTTGCTTGGTAGATCTTCCTCCATCCCTTTATTTTGAGCCTATGTGTGTCTCTGCACGTGAGATGGGTTTCCTGAATACAGCGCACTGATGGGTCTTGACTCTTTATCCAAATTGCCAGTTTGTTTCTTTCAATTGAAGTATTTAGCCCATTTACATTTAAGGTTAATATTGTTATGTGTGAATTTGATCCTGTCATTATGATGTTAGCTGGTTATTTTGCTCGTTAGTTGATGCAGTTTCTTCCTAGCATCGATGGTCTTTACAATTTGGCATGTTTTTACAGTGGCTGGTACTGGTTGTTCCTTTGTATGTTTAGTGCTTCCTTCATGAGCTCTTGTAGGGCAGGCCTGATGGTGACAAAATCTCTCAGCATTTGCTTGTCTGTAAAGTATTTTATTTCTCCTTCACTTATGAAGCTTAGTTTGGCTGGATATGAAATTCTGGGTTGAAAATTCTTTTCTTTAAGAATGTTGAATATTGGCCCCCACTCTCTTCTGGCTTGTAGAGTTTCTGCCGAGAGATCTGCTATTAGTCTGATGGGCTTCCCTTTGTGGGTAACCCGACCTTTCTCTGTGGCTGCCCTTAACATTTTTTCCTTTATTTCAACTTTGGTGAGTCTGACAATTATATGTCTTGGAGTTGCTCTTCTTGAGGAGTGTCTTTGTGGCGTTCTCTGTATTTCCTGAATTTGAATGTTGGCCTGCCTTGCTAGGTTGGGGCAGTTCTCCTGGTTAATATCCTGGAGAGTGTTTTCCAACTTGGTTCCATTCTCCCTGTCACTCTCAGGTACACCAATCAGACGTAGATTTGGTCTTTTCACATAGTCCCGTATTTGTTGGAGGCTTTGTTTCTTTTTGTTCTTTTTTCTCTAAACTTCTCACTTCATTTCATTCAATTGACCTGCAATCACTGATACCCTTTCTTCCAGTTGATTGAATCGGCTACTGAAGCTTGTGCATTTGTCACGTAGTTCTCATGCCATGGTTTTCAGCTCCATCTGGTCATTTAAAGAGTCCTCTACACTGGTTATTCTAGTTAGACATTCGTCTAATCTTTCTTCAAAGTTTTTAGCTCCTTTGCGATGGGTTCGAACTTCCTCCTTTAGCTTGGAGAAGTTTGATCGTCTGAAGCCTTCTTCTCTCAACTTGTCAATGTCATGATCCGTCCAGGTTTGTTTCGTTGCTGGCGAGGAGCTCCGTTCCTTTGGAGGGGGAGAGGTGCTCTGATTTTTAGAATTTTCAGCTCTTCTGCTCTGTTTTTTCCCCATCTTTGTGGTTTTATCTACCTTCGGTCTTTGATGATGGTGACATACAGATGGGGTTTTGTTGTGGATGTCCTTTCTGTTTGTTAGTTTCCCATCTAACAGTCAGGACCCTCAGCTGTAGGTCTGTTGGAGTTTGCTGGAGGTCCACTCCAGACCCTGTTGCCTGGGTATCACCAGTGAAGGCTGCAGAACAGCAAATGTTGCTGAACAGCAAATGTTGCTGCCTGATCTTTCCTCTGGAAGCCTCATCTCAGAGGGGTACCTGGCCGTGTGAGGTTTCAGTCTGCCTCTACTGGGGGGTGCCTCCCAGTTAGGCTACTCGGGGTTTAGGGACCCACTTGAGGAGGCAGTCTGTCTGTTCTCAGATCTCAAACTCCCTGCTAGGAGAACCACTACTCTCTTCAAAGCTGTCAGACAGGGACATTTAAGTCTGCAGAGGTTTCTGCTGCCTTTTGTTCAGCTATGCCCTGCCTCCAGAGGTGGAGTCTACAGAGGCAGGCAGGCCTCCTTGAGCTGCGGTGGGCTCCACCCAGTTCGAGCTTCCTGACTGCTCTGTCTACTCAAGCCTCAGCAATGGTGGGTGCCCCTCCCGCAGCCTTGCTGCTGCCTTGCAGTTCAATCTCCGACTGCTGTACTAGCAATGGGCAGGGCTCTGTGGGCGTGGGACCCTCCGAGCCAGGAGCGGGATATAATCTCCTGGTGTGCCGTTTGCTAAGATTGTTGGGAAAGCGCAGTATGAGGGTGGGAGTGACCCGATTTTCCAGGTGCTGTCTGTCACAGCTTTCCTTGGCTAGGAAAGGGAATTCCCTGACACCTTGCACTTCCCGGGTGAGGCAATGCCTTGCCCTGCTTCGGCTCATGCTCGATGGGCTGCACCCACTGTCCTGCACCCACTGTCCGACAAGCCCCAGTAAGATGAACCCGGTACCTCAGTTGGAAATGCAGAAATCACCTGTCTTCTGCATCGCTCAACGCTGGGAGCTGTAGACTGGAGCTGTTCCTATTTGGCCATCTTGTAACCACCCCCACTTTTTTCTTTTGTTCCTCTTCTAGGCAGTTCCCAACCCTCAGAGGTGAACACTGTTTTGATTTTCTGTTACCATAAGACTAGTGTTGCTTGTTCTTGAGTTTCATGTAAAATAGTACAGTAGTACAGTCAGGCTTGTTTCGCTTGACATAACGTTTTTGAGATTTGTTCATGGTGTTTTGTGTTTTGGTAGTTTATTTGTTTATTGCTAAGTAGTATTCCTCCATGCAAATATACTACAATATGATTATCTCTTCCTGTGTTGATGAACATTTGTTTTTTTTTTCCAGTTTTTTACTCTTGTGAATAAAGCTGCTATAGACATTATTGTACAAGTGTCTTTGGGGAAAAGTATTTTTTTATCTTGGGCATATCCCAAGGAAAGGCATAACCAGGTAATAGGGTAGGTTCATTTTTAACTTGTAAGAAATTGCCACGCACTCTCACCAGCAATATTGAAGAGTTTCAGTGGCCTCACATCCTGAGCAGCAGCATCTTTAAAGCATATGTTTATAGTTTGAGAGCATTATAATTTGAATGCCTTCTTACCATTAACATATGAGAAGGGGTTTTAAAAAGAAACATAACATTTGTTGGTCAATATAAGCTTTTGTGGGAAGGACCAATATAAGTTTATCCACTAAGTATAATAGGTGAATATGACTAGACCTATAAATTTTAGAAATAGCCTCTAAATGTTTTTAGTTATCAACAAAAAACAATTTATCTCTTTTAATAATTAGCTTGAATGCCACATTCAGGGCTTGAAAAAAAATTAGATAGCAATTATTGTCTAAGAGAAAATGAGAAACATAAGGAAATGCGTTAGATTATAGGTCAATTAAGAATACCCTGGCTGGTTGTGGTGCTTCACGCCTGTAACCCTAGCACTTTGGAAGGCTGAGGCAGATGGATTACTGGAGTCCAAGAGTTTGAGACCGGCATGGGCGACATGGTGAAACCCCCTCTCTACAAAAAAAAAAAAAAAGAATACCTATATTTGATGTTTGATATTCTTTTTTATTTCATTGCATTTACATTGAAAAGATTGAAAAGTTAGTCAAATAATTTCTCTGTGAGGTCCAGATTCTTTTTCATATTGTATCAAACATTGTTTGAATCCAGAATGCAAACATATGAGGCTACAGGTTGATTTTCATAGAATATAGTATTTTGTAGAAGAAATTACTTATTGTTGGATGAATTTTCCGTTTGTAATGCTCTTAACATTTTAAAATCTTTCCTGAATACGTTAGAATCATTGTGATTTCTCTTGAAACACAGATGTACTTCTTGTGAAAAGTTAGTATGATGCAGTATGTTCATGTATTTATGAAAATGCTGTTTTAGGCTGCGCGTGTTGGCTCATGCCTGTAATCCCAGCACTTTGGGAGTCCGAGGCAAGTGGATCACCTGAGGGTCAGGAGTTCTAGACCAGCCTGACCAACATGGTGAAACCTCATCTCTACTAAAAATACAAAATGAGCTGGAAGTGGTGGCACATGCTTGTAATCCCAGCTACGCGGGCGCTGAGGCAGGAGAATAGCTTGAACCCGGGTGGTGGAGGTTGCAATGAGCTGAGATCGTGCCATTGCACTCCAGCCTGGGCAGCAAAAGTAGAACTCTATCTCAAAAAAAAAAAAAAAAAAAAAGACAGAAAATGCTGTTTTATAAATTGTACATAATAAGCTAAATAGGGAAATAAAAATAAGTTCCAGAAACTATGAAGGAAATGATTATATTATTATAAAAGTTAAGCAACTGAAAAAGAAATCTTGAGAGTGAGATCCATGACATTTCAGAATGATTGAAAAACATTTGTTTCCAGCTGCTAAGTTAGGTATCAGTTACGTTAAATCTAAAGACTAGAACCACTTTTTATTGTGAAAGACCTTTCTGTTTTCTGATGCTTTTCCTTTAAAATATACGTTACTTGCTGCTAAGTACCACTGAACTCACATAGGAGGAACAAATCTCTGCAACTGTTGGTCAGAAAATATATATATATTTTAAGACAGGATCTTACTTGTTGCCCAGGCTAGAGTGCAGTGGTATGATCACAGCACTGCAGCCTTGACATCCCTGGGCTCAGGTGATCCTCTGACCTCAGCCTCCCAGGCAGCTGGAGAGGCGTGCACCACCATGCTGGGCTAATTTTTTGTTTTTTTGTAGAGATGGGATTTACCATGTTGCGCAGCTAGCAGAATATATTCTAGTTTTTACTTTGTACTATGTTTTAGAAAGAGTTTGAACTACATGATAATCATTTCTTTCTTTCTTTTTTTTTTCTTTTTTTTTTTTTTTTTTTGAGGCAGAGTCTTGCTCTTGCTCTGTCGCCCAGGCTGGAGTGCAGTGGGATGATCTCGGCGCACTGCAACCTCCGCTTCCTGGGTTCATGCAATTCTCCTGCCTTAGTCTCCCGAGTAGCTGGGATTACAGACATACGCCACAATTCCCGGCAAATTTTTGTGTTTTTAGTAGAGACGGGCTTTCACCATGTTGTTCAGGCTGGTCTCAAACTCCTGACCTCGAGTGATCCACCTGCCTTGGCCTTCCAAAGTGCTGGGATTACAGACATAAGCCACCATGCCCAGCTACAATAATCATTTCTTTTTGGCATCTGTGTAGCTTACTATTTTTCTTTACTGATTCTCAGTATATTATCTATTTTTATTTTTAAAAATTTAGAATTGACACCCAGATAGGTCAGTTCATTACCTGATTAGACAATAAAATAATAGGACGCCTTCTGTAGTCCCTGCTACTCGGGAGGTTGAGGCAGGAGAATGGCGTGAACCCAGGAGGCGGAGCTTGCAGTGAGCCCAGATAGCGCCACTGCGCTCTGGCCTGGGCGAAAGAGCGAGACTCTGTCTCAAAAAAAAAAAAAAAAAATTTACTTCTCAGTTTATTGCTCACTCTTTTTTGAGGTACGTGTTTGAATTTGGAGCTAAATATACTAGGAGCTCATTATAGAATCTTTGTTTTGTTTTTGAGACAGTCTTACTCTGTTGCCCAGGCTGGAGTGCAGTGGTGTGATCTCGGTTCTCTGCAACCTCCACCTTTCAGGTTCAAGCAATTCTCATGCCTCAGCCTCCTGAATAGCTGGGATTACAGTCATGCACCACCACACCTGGCTAAGTTTTGTATTTTTAGTAGAGATAGCATTTCACCATGCTGGTCAGGCTGGTCTCAAACTCCTGACCTCAGATGAGCCGCCCGCCTCAGCCTCCCAAAGTGTGGGATTACAAGCCTGATCCACCACATCTGATCCTAGAATAATTTTTGATTGAGAGAATAATTACCCTGAGTAGTTAACACAATATGCAGCTTCCCTTCCTCTTCTCTTTAAGTCATGGCTTTTATAACAAAGATTTTTGTCAGGCTGCAATTGATTTGTATATGCTTAAATAAATTATGTTTCAGTACAATATGTGACAGTATTGGAATCAGGGCAGTTAGGATAGACCAGAAAAATTATGGCAGAGTAGTTATGTTGCCCTAAATCCTGTTATCTTATTAGAAATTTAGGCTCACAGAGAGGTTGGAGAATTCCAAAAAGAAACCATAACTTTAAAATCCTCACCAATTTTTTTTCATGGCATTACCACCTTTACTTCCTTGCTCTGTGGTTGTGCTACAGCCTTTGCAATGTGCTACCATTTCAAGAAGGAGAGTACAGCTAGCTGCAGAGCTTTGCCTAATGACAGTTATGTTGACAACTCTAAGATGACTTTATATATGACATCTTATGTGGATATATGCAGTTTTAAAAATTGAAAATTGTCAGTTTAAAAACTATATGGCATTTGTAAATTTTCACTGAAATATTTCAATTTTACAGGAATCAGAAATAACGAATGATTGCTAACTCTGTACTTAGTTCTGTACTAGGTACACGTTTTTTAGGTAAGAATATGACATGAAATAATTAGCGAATGAGACAGTTTATAGAGTCACCCAAAATTGAGAAGTGTTGCCTTTTTCCAAGTTGGTTT
The DNA here is from genome assembly GCF_000001405.40 of Homo sapiens. Lineage (NCBI taxonomy): Eukaryota > Metazoa > Chordata > Mammalia > Primates > Hominidae > Homo > Homo sapiens. The sequence goes on from NC_000002.12 coordinate 62,759,133, forward strand.
TTGGCAGATGTCAAAGGATCTTTGATGTGACTTGAAATGTGAGGAAAATTGTAGAAGGGGACCAGGATAATGTATCCTAACTTTTTCTGCCATTAGCTGTACTAGGATATTGGCAAATGATTAAATAATCTGCCTTTCCTAACTATACTAAGGAGCCAAATGGCTGTATGTGTGTTCCTGTGCCTACTTATTTTATAGGGAAATCCTTTCTATTACTCAGAATGAAAAATGATCAGGGCTCTCATAGTGCTGATGTTTGCCAATATGGTGTGCTTTTTCTTTTGTTTTTTTGAGATGGAGTCTCGCTCTGTCATCTAGGCTGGAGTGCAGTGGCGTGATCTTGGCTCACTGTAGCCTCCACCTCCCTGGTTCAAGCGATTCGCCTGCCTCAGCCTCCCAAGTAGCTGGGATTACAGACGCCCACCACTATGCCGGCTAATTTTTGTATTTTCAGTAGAGACAGGGTTTCACCATGTTCACCAGACTGGTCTCAAACTCCTGACCTCAAGTGATCACCTGCCTCAGCCTCTCAAAGTGCTGGAATTATAGGCATGAGCCACCGTGCCCAGCCAGTGGTGTGCTTTTTCCTATATCAACCTCTTAAAAACCTAAATTAGTGTCTCTGTGGGTTAGTACAATTAGATATTTATTACCATAACTCTTTCTAGTTACCTGTATTAAACTTGTCATTCTTTTTCTAGGTTCAGATTACCACTGTTTGAGGTAAAAGTTGTAGTAAATTCTTAGAAAACAGTAACACTATTTTTTTTTGGTCAGATTTTCCACTTTGAATGTCCTTGGTTTCTTCTCTGGTGAAACTTACTGATCCTCTGCTTTCTACTAGTACAGTTGTCCCTAGGTATATACGGGGGATTGGTTCCAGGACCCCTGTGTATACTGAAATCTGCACATAAAGTCCTGAAGATGGCCCTGTGGAACTTGCATATGTGAAAAGTCAGCCCTCCACATATGCAGGTTTTGCATCTTGTGCACACTGATTTTGGTCTGCTTTTGGTTGAAAAAAAATCTGCATGTAAGTGGAACTGTGCAGTTCATACCTGTGTTGTTCAAGGCCAACTGTAAATAATAATTAGCTAAACGATAGAAAGCTGGCCCTGACTGTACTCATTGTCAGCTATTTAGCTAGACTAATTGATACTATTACAGTGTCTTAACTCAGCCAGGTTGTACAGCCCCAGAAGGAATATCAAAAAGCCAGAACTCGGTTAGACCTTTTTGTTGGGAGAGAGTTCCTGGATAGAATGGTAAGAAAGAAGCAGTGTACTAGCAACTTAGGAACTAGCATACTAATGTCTCCTTTTATTAATCATAATAAAAAGATTTTAGTTTGTTAAGCAGATTGTATTTTTGTTTGTTCAGCAGTCTAATTACTATTCCCTGATCCAGGACTGAGGATTTAGAGGACCAAGCTTTAGGATACCTGAGGAAATTATCTGAAGCTATCATCTCCTAACTCTGCCCAGTTGTTAGACGGTCTCCGTATTCCCTGCTTTTCCCACTTTTGATCACTGTGTCATACACTGAAATATTAAGTCCTAAGGGATAGAAGACTATTTTCTTGACTACCATGCAAATCAGAGATAGAGCAGGGCATGATATGGGTTTGGTGAGTCATGGAGTCTGGGCTCTCCTCCTGGTTGCTAGTATGAGTTCATGCAAACCATTTACTCTTTGCTTGCTTCAATTTCCTTATCCAGATCTGAATTAGATCTAAAGATATTTTCAGGTCTAAAAATCTCTGATGGGTATTTTTCATTGAGAATTTAATAGGTAGCCTTGTCTTTTCTGCTGGGGATGATTAGAAAGATTCAGTGATTACACTCTTTTTCTAACATTTTTATTGCATGGAACAACTATGAAAATTTAATTGTGGGAAGCTTGAAGAGACCAGAAAAACAGCTTGATTAACCATAAGAGTTAAGGTTGTTATAAGTTTTCAGAATTAAGTATGTGGAGTTTTAATTGAGTATTAAGAGTGGAGTTTTGATTGATTATCTAGGGTGCACAGAAATTTACTTTTCAAAATGGAGATTGTTTACTTTGTGGAGTTTTTGTTTTAGGGCTGTCAACAGACATGGAAATAGGGGACTAGAGAAATCTCTGGAGAGATGTTTTTTAATCAAGAAAACTCTGTTCTGTACCTTTCACTATGGTATGCTAAGTCTCGTGATGAGCCTCTGTTTCCATCTCTGTACCTGAAGTTTTGTGACAGGGTGGCAATAGAAAGAGAATAGAGGGAGAATTATTGACAATTCATAAGTTGGATTTGGTGTACACTGTTAAACCTGTATCTTCTTTTGGCATTTTAACTAGTAAGATGTGATAAGATTTGCATGGACCTAAGTTTACCTAATCTTGATCCCTTCTCGGTTCCTTGGCCCAGGTTCAAATCAAATTCTGCTACTTACTTTCTGTGTGATCTTGGGCAAGTTTGTCCCTCAGTTTTTCAATCTGTTAAATCTGCTGCCTGACTTGCATCTGCACTCATATACTGTAACTTCTTTTTCTATTATTATGGAAGAATGGTCTGTGCTTCCAGGAAGGATCAATCTGTCTTATTGTATACTGTTAAGGACATTAGCAATTCTCCCTTCTCTCTTCTGCATCATTAGATTTTCCCTCTCAACTGAATATTTCCCATCAGCATAAAATATTTTTCTCTTCTTAAAATTCTCTTCTGCAACGATTTTCTCCACTAGCGCCAACCTGTTTCTTTTCCTTTCAGCAAAACACCCCAGAGGAGTTGAGTATATTTGCTCTCTTCAATTTGTTTCTTCCCATTCTTTCTTAAATTCATTCCAGTCAGGTCTTTGTTCTCGTCACTTTACTGAAACTGCTCTTGTAAAGTTATTAATGCCTTCTCAAACTCATACTCCTGGGCTCAAGCTATCCTCCCACCTCAGCCTCCCAAGTAGCTGGGATTCCAGGCATCAGCCACTGTACCTGGCCTTATTAATGGCTTCTGCTTTGTTAAACCCAGTGACCGTTTTTCAGGCCTCATCCTATTTGACTTGTCATCAACATTTGGCACAGGTGATTGTTCTCTTCTTGAAACACTCTTACCACTAGACTTTCAGGATGCCACACTTTTGCTTCAACTGATGGGCCTTTGCTGGCTTCTTCATTTTCTTGACCTGTTTAATGTTTTTCTCCGAGACTTAGTCTTTGGAGCTTTATATTCTTTATCTGTACTCACTCCCTTGGTATTATCTGTATTCTTAAACTTTAAATATTACCTGTATGCTGACAGTTCCCAAATTTGCAGCTCCAGACACGTAATCCAGCTGCTTATTTGAACATCCACCCTTGAATATCTAAGAGGCAACTCATATTTAATGTGTGTGAAATGGAGCTTCTGAACTTATTTCCCAAATCTGTCCTTTCTATAGTCTTGCCTCCTATCTGTTAATAGCAATTCCTTTCTTCTATAAGGTAGAAGCCTTAGAATCAGCCTTGGCTACTTTCTTTGTCTCTTATAATCAGGCAGCACATCTTGTGGACTCTACCTAGAAAATATAAAAAGATACCCAGAATCTGGCTCCTTTGTACCACTTTTCTACCACCCCAAGCCAAGTAACCATCACATCTCCCTTGGATTATTGCAGTCGCTTTTTAATTGATCTCCCTGTTTCTCTCTTATGTTTGGAACCTGTTCTCAAAACATTAGCCAATATAAGCCTGTTGAAATATATTAGATTGTCATTCCTCTCCTTGAAACCCTCCAGTGGCTTCCCATTTCACTCAAAATATAAGTCAATATCTTTGCAATGACCTACCAGGGCCTTATATGATTGGACCCTCCTTTATTTCTCTGGCCTTGTGTCTTACTGCTATCCTCTTGACCACTCTGTTCCAGCCACATTGCCCTCTTTATTATATAAGAGCCTCAGCACCTTTCCAGTTGCTGGTTTTTCTCCCTAGATACCTCTTTTCATGCATTTACATGTGTGATTCCTTTACCTTGTTTTGTTTTTGGCCTTCTCTCAAGTGTCATCTTCTCAATGAAGTCTTCTCTAAGCACCCTATTGAAAAATATTACCTTTTCTTACCCCCAGTTCTTCTTCCCTACTTTTTTTTCACTACAGCACTTACCTCTACCTAACATATTATATATTTTTCTTAATTGTTCTGTTTGTGTTCTCTTCCTACTGTATTGTAAACTCCCCCAAGGCAGATTGTTTTTCACTCCTCCAGGGCCTAGAACAGTGCTTGGCAGATAGTATCAATTAAGCAAATGAGTGAATGAATGAATGAATAATAGAAGAACATCATAAGGTTCTTATGTAGATTAAATGAGTTTAACATAAGTAAATTCTTAAGACATGGACCGGCACATAGAAAGTACTCTGTAAGTGTTAGCTTTTATTATAATTTTCATAGCATGTCCATGGACAGTCCTGTAGCCAATAGAGGTGAAGACTTAGTTGAGTTGAGATGTCTTGGCATGCCATCTTCCATTAGCTCAACTTTGACTAGAAGTTCCACAAAGGAAGAACTATGGTGGTTACCCCCAAATTTTGGAGTGTGGAGGTTCCTTAGGGAACCTTGATAATCAAGATTTACAAGGAAAAAAATACCTATAATTATCAGTAACTAGGAATATTACCTGGAGAAACTGATGCTGTTCTTTATCTGCCCCAAATAAACATTACAGTTTAGTGGGAAATGAACTTAAATGCAAAGTTATACAGTTAGTTTTTTCTTTTAAAGTATGAATTTGTCTTAAAGTTCCTAGTCCACAAAAATAATTTTTAAAATATCTCTTCTAATAAAATACTTTAAACAGATAGTAGCTTTTGAAAACATGAGACATCATGTTTTCATCATTTTTGCATGTTCTTCTGTGTGTATGAGGGGATAAAGATTTGTTTACAGATAGTAATCTGTAGCTGTCATATGATATAACTATCTTGGCCCAAGCTTAATGCTTGAAAAGTTTTATTTGATTAAGCATTTTTGTTTCAGGGATACTACATAGGGTCAATATACCATTGTAAATTACTAACATTGCATTTCCTGTACTTCATATTGAAGGTATCATTTTATTCTGGTAAATTACTAACATTGCATTTCCCATACTTCATATTGAAGGTATCATTTTTATTCTGGTAGGCACATAGCTGGCAACCTGGAATAAAAAATCCCTATCGTGGTGTTGTTGTGTGGCCTGTTCCTGAAAACATTGAAATCACTGTAACACTTTTTAAGGTAAGTTCCATTTTTATAGGCTATAGAATTTATTATATAACCAGGGTACCAAATGACAGAATATTTCAGTGTTCATTGTTCTATACATTTGTGTCCAGTCTGGTACCTACTGTGCATTATTTTTAGGGACATAGCAATTTATAACAATGCAAAGGAATCACAGTATTTCATGGTTTATAAAGTCGGGGATCTTCTTGAACTTATTACAATTCAGATCAGCTGACATAGTTCTTTTACCACTTCCTACACTCTACCCACAGAAAACTGTAAAATGCCTTCCCTGTGGAAAGCTGAGGAGTGTGGAATTCTGAGTCTTGACCTTCATTTTGTTAGCCTTGTTTGATAAAAGAATGCTTTAAAATTAGTATATTATAAATATCTTATTAATGTTAATGTAACAAGATGTGTTTTAAATTGATATTTGATAAATATTTTATTGATATTAGTATTTATAAGTGTTGCTGCTTAAAGGCAAAATGCTGGTTGTAAATTCAAAGCACCTCATAGAGGAGGTGCTTTTTAAGAAAGTTATCAGTATGTTTAATTTTTCTGTGATTTAACCAAAAATTAATTTCTTTAGCCTGCTTTTGAGATTTGAGTTAAATTGAAAATAGCTGTTTCCAGTAAATTTTTTTTTAAAAAGACCTTTAGGATTTTGAGAAGGACAATGGCTCTTCAAGCTATTTTTAATTTTTCTCTTTAGTGCAGTGCTAAGAAAGGAGACAGTAGAGGGAGAGTAGGATATAAAAAAAGGCTTAATTGAATTACGCTAGAAGCAATTCTCATTACAAATGTTTTTGTCTGCTCAGTAATATGGTTAATTATGTAGAGATACCATTTTTAAGTGCCTTGGAAATGAACATCATTGCTGCTTATTTTACATCTTTTTACTGACTTGGCCCTATAAGATGTGCCTCTTGGTCTCATTAAAATTATTCTTTGGTAAAAATTATTTTAGGGATAATACATTATCTGTGCTTTAAAACGTATTTCATTGCTTTAAGAGTTAATATATGTCATATGTATATGGTGCTGTTAAATATTTATTAATTTATAAGATATATATTCATTACTTCATTAATCCAATATTCTTGAGAGCCTTGCTATGTGCCAGGTACTTTTCTAGATCCTGGGGGCACAGTGCCTACACTGAATTAACAAAGTGGGTAAAAGTCAGACAGACCTGGAACAGCAACATAGCTTAAACACTAGTTGTGCATTGTGGGAAGCTGCATCTCTTAGGTTTCATTTTTCTGCTCTGTTAAATGGGAGTGAAGATAGTACCTATCTCATAGGTTGCTATGATGAGTAAAACACTTAGCACAAGAACTGGGACATGGTGTTGCTCAGTAAATATTTTATATTATTATTTTGATACTAACTGTGCTGGAGCTGTGCTGCATTCCTCAAAATACAAAATGAGAGGGGAGGGATAGGCAGGGAGAATGGTATGATGTCTCCCCTGCATTGCATCACACTGTATTACTTGCTTTCTAAAGTAGTACTCTCTGTGTCCTAAGTGCATCATGGAAAAGCTCTTTCAACCTTTATATACAATTCTTTTTCTCCTTAAAACCAGTTTATTGGCAGAGCCAGCTGAGGAAGCAAATATTAAGTATATTTTTTCCACTTCCCTTTTCTTTCTACCCTTTCCCTGTTCACCACCACCAAAGAAACTTATTTTGGCAGGTTTTTATCCTACCTATGTGAATTTACTCATAAAAATAGTTGCTTCAATACAGCTCAAACTCAGCCAGCTGCCATGCTATTATACTAGAAAATGAGTAAACAGACATAAGAAGTAACTAAGGAGTTTGGAATTTATCTCATAAGTTGTAGGGGTTGTTAAAGAAATCTGAGTTGGTACTCATATGGTCAGAACTGTGGTTTGGGAGAATTAATCTGTGTACAAGATTGAATGGAGATCAGAGAGACCGAGAGAATGCTGCAGTCACGTTCATCTTGAAATAGCCTAGGTACGATCTCAACTATGGCAATAGAAATAGAAGATCATTAGTAGACCAAAGTGGAATCAATCATAAATAAGATGTTTCTCTTTGAGAAACATGGGACCTGAGAGACCCAGTAGGGAAATATCAGAGTCCATCTCCCATCCGTGTATGCTCAATCTTAGAGTGCAATGTTGAGCCAAAAGCATACTTTATCGAGATAATCTCTCATTCTCTTGATACCTCCATTCCTACCTCACTTCTGATACATGGAGTGGACTTGAGTAAGTTAAATGGGCATGTAATGTGACCCCACTACTTTTCTCTGTTTCTTGTACTTTGTTGCCTTTTGCCTTTACTTACTCTAAAATCTGTGGAAATCTTATATAATCCCACCCAGCCCAGATGTTTTCTCTTTCATGAAGTTTTTCTTGTTCATTCTTGTAAGAAGTAGTATGTCATTTTCTAATCTCTGGTAAAATCATTTATTTCATTCATCATACATTTATTTGGATTTAGAACTACTGTGTTTGTCTTTGAAGGCAAGGACAACTGTCTTTGAATCCATGTAACATCTCTACAATCCCTTATATACTAAGTCCCCCATAAATATTTCTCAAATAAATGCTTGCAAAAGTGTGCTTCATTAAAAAAAAAAAAAAAAAAAAAAGGTTGCATTTGGTTGTAAGATCCATTACCCTTTCTCAGGTTTCTAAGGTATTTCTGGGGTTAATGAGGGAGAGGTAAGAGGAAGGGCATCAGTAGCCCCGCTGATTTGCCATTTTGTCTAGATTATCAAGTCCCTTTTAGTGCTTTGAAATTCCAGCTGTTTATTTAACCTCTGCACTGAAGAAAACGTTGCCGCTAGCGGTACTTTTAAGATACATACAGGTATAAAAATGAAGGCAGGGCTTTATGTTAGCATTTAATATCTTAATAAGCTGCTTCTTAATAGTACATTTACTGGTTTATCTGTCTCTGATCAGGTAGAGTTAGTGATGGAAGATAGTGATATGCATCAACAAAAATAAAATAGAGGATTTCTTAATATTAAATAATGATTATAATTTAGATAAATTATGGAAGTATTATAAAAGTAGGGTATGACCAGGCACAGTGGGTCATGTCTGTAATCCCGACACTTTGGGAGGCTGAGGTGGGTGATCGCTTGAGCCAAGGAGTTCAAGACAAGCCTGGGCAACATGGTGAAACCCCATCTCTACAAAAAATACAAAAAAAACGGACCAGGTGCAGTGGCTCACTCCTGTAATCCCAGCACTGTGGGAGGTTGAGGCAAGGAGATCGTTTGAGCTCAGGAGTTCAAGACCATCCTGGGCAACATGGCAAAACCCTGTCTCTTTTGAAAATACAAAAAATTAGCTGGGTGCAGTGGTGTGTGCCTGTAGTCCCAGCTACTCAGGAGGTTGAGGTGGGAGGATCGCTTGAGCCCAGGAGGTGAAGGTTGCAGTGAACCAAGATCATGCCCCTGCACTGCAGCCTGGACAGCAGAGCAAGACTCTGTCAAAAAAAAAAAAAAAAAAAAGTCAAGACTAAGAAAATCACTCAAAACCATGCATTTACATGGAAATTAAACATCATGCTCTGGAATTACTTTGGGGTAAATAATGAAATTAAGGCAGATATCAAGAAGTTATTTGAAGCTAATGAGAACAACGATGCAACAGACCAGAATCACTGGGACACAGCTAAGGCAGTGTTAAGAGGGAAATTCAAAGCACTAAATACCCATATCAAGAGTTAGAAAAATCTCAAATTAACAACCTAACATCACAACTGAAAGAATTAGAGAAGCAAGGACAAATCAACTCCAAAGCTGGCAGAAGACAAGCAGTAACGAAAATCAGAGCTGAACTGAGGGAAATAGAAAATGAAAACTCATTCAAAAGATCAACAAATACAGAAGTTGGTTTTTTGAAAAAATTAAGATTGATAAGCTGCTAGCTAGACTAATAAGAAAAGAGAGAAGAGCCAAATAAACACAATTAGAAATGATGAAGAGGCTGTTACCACTGACCTCAGATAAGTGAAAATAACCATCAGAAACTACTATGAACACCTCTTTGCACACAAACTAGAAAACCTAGAAGAGATGGATACATTCCTGGACACATGTACCCTCCCAAGAGTGAACCAGGAAGAAATTGATTCCCTGAAAGGGACCAATAACGAGCTTCAAAATTGAATCAGTAATAAATGGCCTACCAACCAAAAAAAGCCCAGGACCAGATGAGTTCACAGCCAAATTCTACCAGATATACAAAGAATAGCTGGTACTGTTCCTACCAAAACTATTCTAAAAAATTGAGGAGGAGAAACTCCTTCCCAACTCATTCTATGAGGTCAGCATCATCCTAATAACAAAACCTGGCAGAGACACAACAAAAGAAAACTTCAGGCCAATATCCTTGATGAACATCGATGCAAGAATCCTCAGTAAAATACTGGCAAACTGATACTAGCAGCACATCAAAAAGCTAATCTACCACGATCAAGTCAGCTTAGTCCTCGGAATGCAAAGTTGATTCAACATATGCAAGTCAATAAATGTGATTCATTACATAAATAGAACTAAAGATAAAAACCACATGATTATCTCAATAGATGCAGAAAAGGCTTTTGATAAAATTCAACATCCCTTTGTGTTAAAGACTCTCAAAACTAGGTATTGAAGGAACATATATCAAAATAATAGCTATCGATGACAAACCACAGCCAACATCATATCGAATGGGCAAAAGCTGGAAGCATTCCCTTTGAAAACCGGCACAAGACAAGGATGCCCTTTCTCACCACTCCTATTTAACTTAGTGTTGGAAGTCCTGGCCAGAGCAATCAGGCAAGAGAAAGAAATAAAGCGCATCCAAATAGGAAGAGAGGAAGTCAGTTTATCCCTGTTTGTAGACGACATGATCCTAATCTAAAATACCCCATAGTCTCAGCCCAAAAGCTCCTGCAGCTGATAAATAACTTCAGCAAAGTTTTAGGATACAAAATCAATGTGTAAAAATCACTAACATTCCTATACACCAACAAAAGCCAATCCGAGAGCCAAATGAGGAACACAATCCCATTTATAATTGCCCCAAAAATAATAAAATACCTAGGAATACAGCTAACCAGGGAGGTGAAAGATCTATATGATGAAAACTGCAAAACACTGCTCAAAGAAATCAGAGATGACACAAACAAGTGGAGAAACATTCCAGTGCTTGTGAATAGGAAAAACAAATATCATTAAAATGCCATACTGCCCAAAGCAATTTACAGATTCAGTGCTATTCCTATCAAACCACCAATGACATTCTTCACAGAACTTGAAAAAACTTTTTAAAAATTCATATGAAACCAAAAAGTCTGAATAGCCAAGGCAATCCTAAGCCAAAAGAACAAAGCTGGAAGCATCATGCTACCTGACTCCAAGCTATACTGCAGGGCTATAATAACCAAAACAGCATGGTACTGGTAAAAAAAAAAAAAAAAAAAAAGCAGGCATGTAGACTAATGGAACAGAATAGATAACCCAGAAACAAGGCCACACACCTGCAACTATCTCATCTTTGGCAAAACTGACCAAAAAAAGCGATGAGGAAGACTCCCTATTCAATAAATGGTGCTGGAATAACTGGCTAGCCATATGCAGAAGACTGAAGCTGGACCCCTTTCTTACACCATATACAAAAATCAACTCAAGATGAGTTGAAGACTTAAATGTAAAACTCAAAACTATAGAAACCCTGAAGGACAACATAGGCAATACCTTCCTGAACATAGGAACTGGCAAAGATTTCATGACAAAGCCACCAAAAGCAATTACAACAAAAGCAAAAGTTGACAAATGAGATCTAATTAAACAAGAGCTTCTGCACAGCAAAAGGAACTATCAACAGAGTAAACAGACAGCCTACAGAATGGGAGAAAATATTTGCAAACTGTGCATCTGACAAAGGTCTAATATCCAGCATCTCTAAGGAACTTAAATTTACAAGAAAAAAACAAAACAACCCCATTAAAAAGTGGGCAAAGGACACGAACAGGCACATTTCAAAAAACATACATGTAGCCAACAAGCATATGAAAAAAAGTTCAACATCAGTGATCATTAGAGGAATGCAAATCAAAATCACAAGATAGCATCTCACACCAGTCAGAGTGGCTATTATTAAAAAGTCAAAAAATAACATGCTGGCAAGGTTGTGGAGAAAAGGGAACACTTATACACTGGTGGTAGGAATGTAAATTAGTTCAACCTTTGTGAAAAGCAGTATGGCAATTCCTCAAAGAGCTAGTGGCAGAAGGACCATTCAACCCAGCAATCCCATTACCGGGTATATACCCAGAGGACTATAAATCATTCTGCCATAAAGAAACATGCATGTGTAAATTCATTGCAGCACTATTCACAGTAGCAAAGACATGGAATCAACCTAAATGCCCATCAGTGACAGACTAAATAAAATGTTGTATATGTATACAGTGGAATACTATGCGGCCATAAAAAGGAATGAGATCATGCTTTTTTCTGGAACATGGATGGAGCTGGAGGCTATTATCCTTCACATACTGTTGCGGGGACAGGAAATCAAATACTGCATGTTCTCATTTATAAGTGGGAGCTAAGTGATGAAAACTCATGAACATGAAGAAGGGAACAACAGACACTGCGGCCTATGGGAAGTTGAAGGGTGAAGGGTGGGAGGAGGGAGAGGAGCAGGAAGAATAACTATTGGGTACTAGAATTCGTACCTGGGTGAGAAAATAATCTGTACAACAAACTCCTGTGCCATGAGTTTACCTATGTAACAAACCTGCACATATACCCCAAACCTAAAATATAAGTTAGAAAAATTATAATAAAAATAATGCAAAAGAAAAGAGTAGGCTATTCTGCCTCTCCATTTTTAAAAGCTAGTAAAAGCTAAAAACAAGGCTATATGTATTTTCTTAATTGGGTTTATTGGACTAAAGACATGTATTTCAATTCCATTTCATATTTTGCTTTTGTTACAGGATCCTCATGCGGAAGAATTTGAAGACAAAGAGTGGACATTTGTCATAGAAAATGTAAGCTAATGGCAAATTCCTTCACCTTTCACATTTTCAACTTTATATATGCATTATTAAGGTACATTGGCATTTTGGTGGTAGGAAAAATGTTGCCTTAAGAAAATTAAATAGTGATTTGTAGCTTTTAGAATGTTTTTAATGAAATGATAGCCAGTAACAAAATTATTTGTAAGAAATGCTTTTATTAACACTGTAAGTCTTCAATACTAAATTGTATGTATGTTTGTATGTATGCGTGTGTATATGTGTATTATATATATAAAAAATATATATATATATTCTGTTTGGGGTTTAAGGGCAAGCCCATGTCTTACTCATCTTTTTATCTGTCAGCATCTAGCATAGTGCTTATCACATAGCAGATACTCATCTAAACATGTGTTGGATGGAACCATGAATGACCTTTGAAATCTTTAAAAATAAAGTATGTGGGCTGGGTGTGGTGGCTCATGCCTGTATCCCAGCACTTTGGGAGGCTGAGGTAGGCAGATCACCTGAGATCAGGAGTTTGTGACCGGCCTGGCCAAAGTGGTGAAACCCTGTCTCTACTAAAAATACAGAAAATAGCTGGGCGTCATGGCGGGCATCTGTAGTCCCAGCTACTTGGGAGGCTGAGGCAGGAGAATCGCTGGAACCCGGGAGGCAGAGGTTGCAGTGAGCCGAGATTGTGCCATTTCACTCCAGCCTGGGTGACAAGAGTGAAACTCCATCAAGAAAGAAAGAGAGCAAGAGAGAGAAAGAAGGAAAGAAAAAGAGAGAAAGAGAGAAAGGGAGGAAGGGGGAAAGGAGGAAGGGAGGGAGGGAGGGAGGAAGAAAGAGAGAAGGAGAGAAAGAGAAGGAAGGAAGGAAGGGCGGGGCTTTAACTGTTTATTTGGGTTGAGAGATCCTAGATTGGTACCTTAATAATCATCTTAAGTTAATTTACATGTTGTGGAATCCCAAGTGACTAGAAGGCATATAGTAGGTATTCAATAAATGTTCATTTACTGGGAATTAAAGAAGACAGCCCATCCAAATATAGTGATTAATAATGTAGGCTTGGAATTCTTGGAAAATCTGTCAAATAAGGGAGTGGACATAGGATGAAATGGAAAATATGTTAACATTCCTTCTCTCCAAACATTTATTAATATATTAGATTCACAGAAATCTAATGAAAATAATACAGATGACAGGAGTCAGGTAAACCTGATTTCAAGTCCTGTCTCTTCTACTTACAAGCTCTGTGATCACTGGGAAATTTCTTAAATTCTCAGTCATACAATTATAGGGTTGCTTGAAGATTAAATAATTTTCAGTGAATATTAGCTTTTACCATTGCCATCATCATCATGACTGTTCATCGTGATAATTGTTAAAGTTCTAAAATGTCTTTATAACAGGCTTATCACATGCTTTGTGTAATATTCTTCCTTTCTATGCCTGACTTTGGTATGTATCTCAGTGACAAAAGGAATTTTTTGTTTATTCCCTGGCAGTAACTGGGCCATGTTTAGGACTAAAGAGCTGAGAAGTTTGGTAGTGAGATCAGGTCCATTATAGATTTACTTTCATATTATGAAGTTATGAGATTTCAGAAGGATTGTGAAATTGCTATATTCTTAATGCATGGGAAAGAGCACAGATGTACATGTTATGACCAAAGCATTTGAAATACATTAACTCAAGAGAATACACTAATTTATATACTCTAAATTAGGGCAACTGTCATAAATTATGAACTATATCAAAAGGATGAGTTTATGTAATTAAACCGAAACGAGACAAACAAAACAAAGGAAGTGCTATATTCTCACCTGGAAGATAGACGAGAATGGGGTAGATCTCCCTCTTCAGTTTTCAGGAGGACATTAATTTCTTTCTGCCAATATCAACTCCTGTATAGTGAGATTTGAGAATAATTTTTTTTTCTCTGTCTAGGTGTATTAACTCTTTTTACCTGCTCTGGAAAATCTAGGCCAGTTTTCTGAGATGTGTACAGGACCCCTACTTGCATAAGTAGATTTAACGAGGGAAAAGTTTTATTTCATTCATCTCTGTATCTACCACAATTTTTTTTTCAAACCATACTACCTTTGGGGTAGTAGCTTCTCAATAAATATTTATTGAAGGAGTGAGTGAATGAATGGTATAGTTAAACTCTGTGAACTGTTATAAATCCTGTAAGGATTATTCTTTTTAAGAGAAAAATACCTGTAATCCCAGCACTTTGAGAGGCCAAGGCAGGCAGATTGCCTGAGGTCGGGAGTTCGAGCCCAGTCTGGCCAACATGGTGAAACCCCATCTTTACTAAAAATACAAAACAATTAGTTGGGCTTGGTGGCGTGCGCCTGTAATCCCAGCTACTCGGGAGACTGAGGCAGGAGAATTGCTTGAACCAGGGAGATGGAGGTTGCAGTGAGCCGAGATCGCGCCACTGCACTCCAACCTAGGTGATACAGCAAGACTCCATCTCAAAAAAAAAAAAAAAAAAAAAAAAAAAAAAAAAAAGAGAGAGAGAAGAATAACGTGAGTAACATCCATCAACTATACAGAAGAAAATTTGAAAAGTAGACCCTAGAGGCAGTAAAACAGCATGTGAAGGATCCATATGCTGTTACAGTAGGAGCTCTTCTGATCAACTTTATTGAACTTGCATAAGCCAATCTCATGAGATTTGTCTGTATTACCATCTGTGGGATTAAATATTCTTAGGCTGGGCATAGTCTCTCACACCTGTAATCCCAGCACTTTGGGAGGCCAAGGCGGGTGGATCACTTGAGGTCAGGAGTTGGAGACCATTCTGGCCAACATGGTGAAACAGCGTCTCTACTAAAAATACAAAAATTAGCCAGGTATGGTGGTGCATGACTGTAATCCCAGCTACTCAGGAGGCTGAGGCTGAAAAATCACTTAAACCTGGGAGGCAGAGGTTGCAGTGAGCCAAGATCGTGCTACTGCACTCCAGCCTGAGCGACAGAGCAAGACTCTGTCTCAAAAAGAAAAAAAAAAAAAAGAGAGAAAAGAAAGGAAGAAAGAAATGTTCTTAGACATTTTCTTTAAACCAAAATTTGATATAAGTAGACGTTGCATTTTTCAAGTATTAGCAGTTTGCTTTACTTGACATAATCTAATGAGAGATTTTTAACCTTTTAAATAGATGATTCAGTATTCATTCATTCAGCACTTAAGTATTCATTGAGCGTGTATTATGTGCTAGATACTGTTCTAGGCATTGGAAATGGTGGTGTATAAAACATATGATTCAAGACCAGCCTGGGCAACACAAAGGAGACTCAGTCTACAAAAAAATAAAAAAAATTAACTGGACGTGGTGGCATATGCTTGTGGTCCTGACTGTTCAGGAGGCTGAGGTGGGAGGATTGCTTGAGCCCAGAAGGTCAAGGCTGCAGTGAGCTGTGATCGTGACACTGCACTCCAGCCTGGATGACTAAGTGAAACCCTGTCTCAAACAAAACAAAACAAAAAAAACCAGATAACAAGTTAACAAATCTCATCGCTGTGTAGTTTACACTCATATGTGTGTGTGTGAGAGAGAGGATAAAAATTACTGTATGAAAGATTTAGTATGTTAGATAAAATAAATACATAATGTATGCTAAATATATATAGTAGGTTACATAAATGCTCTATGGAGAAAAAAGGAAGAGGGATAAGGATCCCCCGTCTTTATGATTACATAGTTATAATGAGCCACCTTATTATTTCTAAAGTCTCCAAAAGAGAATTGGGGTATGCTTGTCAAATTTATTTAAAATATATTTTAATAAGAGAGTTGATGAAATGAATATTGTAAGGTATGGGAAAGTTTTAAAATAACCTTGGCATTCTATATATAAACCTCTCCTAGGTTATAGCTCCCCTCAGTGGTGAATGATGAAATTGACTTTTGCTGATCATTATGTAGCAATAACATGTTACAATGTTATACTTTCCCTTACATTTTAATGTGCTTTCACATTTCATGCAAAAGAATTAGTGAATTTCAAAGAGCTAAAGTTCTTCTCTTTGTCTTGTAAAACCTCGGTTTTGTTAGAAATTCTGTTGGTATATTGTCCTGACACTGAAAAGGTATGCTCTTTGAATGGAATTGTAATACCTTTCTTTTCTTTGCACATTGTGTTACAACCCCACAGTTAATAAAGAAATGTTGAGACTTTAACCGTAATGTCCAGTAGTAGCATTAGTAACAAAGAGTGAAGTTATATTTAATATAAAATATCCCAATAAAACAGAAGTCTCCAAATATATATCACTGTAACAAATTTATTGGACCCTTACTATGTACCAGGTACTATGTATAATAGAATGCTTTATACACATTATCTCATTTGCTCATTATAATAACTCTGGTGTGAGTCAGATATAACCCTATTTTACAGGTAAAGAAAGTGAGGTTTAGAGAGGTTAAGTAACTTGCCCACAGTTATATAGCTAACAGGTTGGGATTTTATCCAGTCTTGTCTTTCTCCAGGGCCTTTGCCCTTAACCCCTACTGCAATAACTAGCTACCTTAATAAGAAAGATGAAAAGAGATCATTTGAAATTGTAGAATCATAGGGAAGCTTTTAATCAGTCTTCTGTAGTGGTAAGTCTGTGAAGAATATATGTATCAGATTAGTGAAGGTAGTCTTTAATTATTGTTTATATACAGTTTAGAAGTTATTTGGGTTAATTATTTCACTACTGTTAGACATTATAAAATGGAATTCTAGAATTTATCAGTCACTAGAATTCTTAATATTTTTTCTCAAGGCAACCTTACTGCTTCTTTGTGCAAATTGACATAATGCTATTTTCATTTTATTGGTTCTCTTGTTTCTGATTTCTCCGTTTTGTCTGAGCTTTCTTCTTTGGACCAGAAACTTTAGAGTTGAAATTTTAGAGGTGGTTCTGCCACTTACTGGCTATGCAACCTTAGATAAGTCATTTAATATTTCACAGCTTCCATGTAGTCATGTATAAAATGATGGTATTAATATCTACTCCACAGGTTATTGAAGATTGGAAATAATGTATGTAAAGCATCTAGCTTGGTAAGGAGTAGCTATTTTTATAATGTTCCTTTCTAGAGGACACAGAAGAATATAAAGGAAAGAAAACTAGATTTCTAAATTTTATTGTTGCAGGATTTTAGTTTTTCCATTCCTTTCTACCACTTACACCTCTCAATGATTTCTAGACTTTACTGTTATCTCAAAGCAATGACAAGGCAACTTGTAACATCTCACTTGGACTAAACTTAAAATATTTTTCTTTTTATCTTTTGATTTAGGATATCTTCCCCTTATAAATTTAATCTAGGATTAACAACAAGTATTTCTTTTGGATCATTTACAATCCATTTACTTATTAGTGTAGATAAGAATGGATACTATAAAACACTATGTTTCATTTTTATCTACTGTAATAGAATAACATCTGTTCATCCAGACAGTTGACATTGTAGGGTTTTTTAAAAATATGAAGCCACAACAGTTATATTTAGGAAACAAAATTTTTTTTCTCTTCCTGGTGTTTTAGATTACCCAATTAAATCCAGAACCATTACATTTGTAAATTATATCCATAGGTTTTAGTTTCTTGTTTTTACATTTGAGACAAGGTCTTGCTCTGTCACCCAGGCTAGAGTGCAGTGTTGTGATCATGGCTCACTGCAACCTTGAACTCCTGGGCTCAAGCGATCGTCCTGCCTCAGCCTCCCCAGTAGCTGAGACTACAGGTGCACACCATTATACCTTGCTAATTTTCTATTTTGTAGAGACGGAGTCTCCCTTTGTTGACTAGGCTGTTTTGAACCGCTGAGCTCAAGCAGTACTCCCACCTCGGCCTCCCAGAGTGTTGAGATTACAGGCATGAGCTACCACACCCAGCTGGTGTTGGTTTTTAAAATCTAAAAAAATTTATTTTTCTGATTCCACTGTTTTATTTTAATACATTAAAAGCATATTGATGAAAGGCACCAATCAGATTGAATCCATTCATTAATTTATTCAACCATTCTGCAATATTTTAATATGGATTTTCTATATGCCCAGACATTTGGTGGTTATTGAAGATACAAAGTCAGTTAAGACATGCAGAATTTTGATTCTGAGATTCATGGTTTTTTCTCCCACATTTTTTTCTGTGAAATTGGGATCATCTTATATCTAGGATGTCCCACAGTTATAACTGGTAGTTTTTTGTTTGTTTGTTTGTTTTGCTTTCTTACTGCTATATAAAATAATGACTGCTATATAAAATAATCTTTAAACCAATGATAACTTATATTTGATGACATAAGATAACCTGTCCTCAAGAAGCTTATAAAGTAGTGAAGTGTCAGAGAGGTAAAGAACTGCAAGGAAAAACATAAAAATGTTCGTAGGGTACTACAGGACAGTAATGGAGGGCAGAGTTGGAATAATTCCTGGAGGAAGTGGCTACAGAGTTTAGTCTTGAAGGAAAAAGGAAGTTAGGCAAAAAAGGCATTCTAAGTAGCGGAAAGAAATAGCAAAAGTAACTGAAAGAGGAAAAACAAAACCAACAGAAAACATGAGCTCCCCCATTAAAGATTAATAGACATCTGCTTTTTGTTTTGTAACTGTTAACCCAATGAATGTAATAATAGGCATAAGATTAACTTGGTTCTTCGTCCTCCGTGAAGATCAGTGGGGTATCAAAATGTGTTTTCTTGGTGCTACCTATTCACTATGCAGTCTTTCCCACTATTTCTGACTGTGACCCATGAGATAGGAAGTTCGGCTCCTCCAGGGCTCCACTAGTCCCTTTTTTATTGCTGTTTGTTTGATGTTACCTCCGGAAGACTTTTAAGTGAATGGCGATGGGCTAAATTAATTATGTTAATTCCAAGGCAGATGGCTGGACCTGGTAGCACACGCCTGAATCTTAACACTTTGGGAGCCCGAGGTGGAAGTATTGCTTGAGCTCAGGAGTTCAAGACCACCATGGGCAATATAATATAGTGAGACCTTTTCTCTACAAAATGTCAAAAAATAGCTGGGCTATGGTGATGCATGCTTGTAGACCCAACTACTTGGGAGGCTGAGGCAAGAGGATTGGTTGAGCCTGGGAGGTTGAGACTGTAATGAGCTCTCATTGCGCCACTGTACTCCAGCCTGGGCGACAGAGTGAGACCCTGTCAAAAAAAAAAAAAAAAAAATCCAAGGCAGTAGTGTAAATGCTTCTCTGCTTTGTTTCTTTTGTTGGATTATGTTGAACAGGATTACTTGCCCAACCAAACTCACCTGACAAGATTATACCAAGAACAGAGATGATATAATAGCTCAAATAATACAATGTAAACAATATAAAATCACAATGTTTCTGACCTTATTAAATTTAAGTTTAAATCCTTCTCCAAAATGAAGTCAATCTCTTGATCTCGCAAAATAACAATTCTGATAAATTACTTCTACTTTTTCTTTCAGAGAAAAAAAGTATATAAATGCTGCTTCTCTCCTTTAGTTGTTTTTTTTTCTGTGTCACCTCAATCAAGGCATCTCACTTCAATGTCTGGGGAAAGACTGGATATCTTTTTCAGAAACTGTAGCTTGCACTTTCTCCTGTAGCTCCAAACTGGGATTATCTTTTCAGCCCCAAGCATTTCAAGAATACATTTCCAAAGGTCTAAAGAGTGTCTAGTGCATATGAGAATACCACATCGCAAACATTAGCAGTACCCCTCTTCCACCATGGAGTCAGTTTATAATCTAACTATCAGTAGAGATGGCTCAGCCTTTTTAGGGTACGGCAGCATTTACCTTAGTATAGTCCTGTTTATAGCATTCCATTTAATGTTCCACCCCCTCTGGAAATGTGGCCCAGTTAACTTACTTGAACCTAATCAAATTTCCACTAGGCAGCATACTCCACTTTTTGTTCTTCTATTAATCCAATAATTAAGAATGGTTTAGTCAGTAATGCCCATTTATCTGTATTTGTTAGTATTATATACTATTTATATATACAGTAAACTTTTATTTTTCCTGTAGTTCATTCAACTTTGTGTGGAGGGAAACCAGTCCTTTCCTTACCCTATTGACTGCAGTTTCGTCAAGGAAGAAAGTGAATTCTCTCACTCTTGCTGAATGGCAAGAAAATTCATGTGCTTATGGCTACTTGCTCAGAGAGTATTGTTCTACACAGCACTAACCAGAATACATTTGAATGATAAATCAAAGATCCCTGTATTGTTAGATCTCTTTTAGGCCATTCTTTTGGTATAAACTTCTCAACCATGTTCTTTTCTTACAGTCCCAGAGTCTTAAACCCTTTTGGATTTCTAAATATTTCGGAAATTTGAAAGCAATGTATAGAGGACCCCTGCTCATCTTGTCTTTCATACAAATGTAGCAATTTGGATAAATCTAATCAAGATCCAGTGTTTTATTTTTAGTTTCAACTTAACTTTTTTGGTTATTTTTCAAATATGCACAAAAATAGAAGAAATAATATACTAAACCTCTAAGTACACGTCTCCCGGCTCAATAATCTTCAGTATTTTTTTCAAACTTATTTCATCAATTCTTCTACTTTTCTGTTGTTTGCTTTACCAGATTTAAAGTACATTTCAGATATTATATCATTTCTTCTATAAATAATGAAGTCCACTTGAACATCATCAGCTTAAGAACGTGGTTAAGAGTTACTGGCATGTCAGAAAAGGTGACCTACCAGCAAATAATTTTTTTTTAACTTAACTGCCTTTTAGATGATCTCTCTGACCTGTTAGGCTGCACATTCAATATTATCTTGATTCTTAAAAAGTGATATTATTCTTGTTTCTACAAAGAAAAAAAAATTGACTATATAAGAAGCAACAAAGCTTCTCTTATAACCCCCTCAGAATTAAACTCCTGAATTAACAGGAGGAAGCTCATGGTTCAGACAGGCTTTTTTAGTCTTTTAATTATCCTGTCAACTTTCTGTTGTATATGATTATGGGAATGATGACTGGCTGTCTGTAAATTAGGCGGGGTATAATAGATATGACTAGGAGCTAAATGAAAAATTTTTAGCTAACTAAATCTTACTTTGGTTGCATTTCAGAGAAATTTCATATATATATATCTCTCCTCCTTAGTTTCCCTTAATGTTAAGTATTTAATGTGCTGTTCTAATTCAGAAATTTTTCAGATTGTGCTTCTAGAGGAAAAATCCCATCTCCTTTATTCTCAAATGATCCTTTAACTTTAAATAAAATAATGGAGAAACTTTTGTTGCACTTAAAAAAAGAGGTATGCCTAAGAATGATCATGCATGCTTTGAGCCTGTCAACTATACTGTATTTATCTTTGTGTAATGCAAGAAACTCTATGTTAAAATAGTGAATAAAAATTACATGCCAGATAATTTATTTCACATAGCAGTTTAATTTGTGAAATGTCCTAGCTAACACATTTTAAGGGAAAGTTCCATTTTTTAGCAACAGAGTACTGTTTTCATACTATTACAGTGTTCTTGTTTTCTGGTTCTGTTTTTCTGAGTTTTGTCCCTGTTCAGTATTTGGAGATTATTCGTCTTTATTGACATTGATCATACATTACAGATCAAGTACTGCAATAGTATAAAAATTCACATGATTACTTATTACTCATAATTGCTTATTTATCCAACCAGTATTTAATAAATAGATATCATGTGACAGATACTTGCTACATACTGAGAGTGTAATGGTGAAAAAGGTGTGGTCTCTGACTTCCAGTATCCTACAGTCTGGAGTGGGGAAACAGGCAACCACTATGAAGATTAAGTTTAGGATGTTTTATGTTCCCATATAAAGAGTACTTAATGCAGTCTTGGTGGGTTAGGGGAGGCTTTCTATTGAAAGTGATATATAAATTGAAACCCTAAAAAGTAAAGTTTTTACAATCCTTTTTCTGTAACTTCAAAATCCAAAATCTCTACCTAAGATGTTTATAATTTTTTATTTTTTTGGAAATTTGATTCAAATTCATTTGGTGGCAAAACCTGACCTTACCCAAAATGAAGCTATTCGTGGTATTTATTCCACTTAGTGTAAATGTTTATTCATTTTGCTGCAAAAATAATATGTTTGATTATTTAGTCAGACTGCCTCAGACTTCACTGGGAGTGTGCTGTAGTATATATATGGTAAAGGCATTGTATTTCCTTCCTAAAATCCAAATGAGAGATTTCAGATAGGAGATTAAGTACTTTTGATAGTTGTCTGCATTGGATTTGTAGGGTGATTCAGGTGGCTGGAGCAGCTTGAGCAGAGGTCTGGAGGCAAGAGAGGCTTCTTTGTGCAACAGCATGTCGTTCACTAGATTACTTTCTTTTATATTTCACTTTTTAAAGAGTGGTTGATTTTTCTAGGGTTATAATAACTTAACCATATGTTAAGTTACTTTTCTTTCTAAAATTACTTAGGCCAGTGTGATGTTAACTTTAAGATCTTGCTTCACCTGCCTCTTAAAATAAAAATAAGCTATATCAGCTGATCAGTTAATAACTTCATAAATCATAAATGATACTTGATATGTTTTGTTAGAGAAAACAAAGCATTTTCAAATAAAATGGGATATTTCATCTTTATGAAGCATTTCTAAAGTGGATGTTATTATAATTTTACTCAGTGAGATTAAGTGACACGCCCAAGAACACACAGAAAGCAGCTTAGCCTGGCCTCAAACCCATGTCTTCAAACTCTGAAACCCATGCATTTTACCATTTACTCACTCACTCAATCATCAAACATTTATTGTCCTAGGCACTAGATTTAGAGCCTAGTGCTATATTAACTACTATGGAGGATACAAGAGAACACCTCCACTCAGATATTAATTTTGGTTTGAGGGATACGCGTGTGAGACAAGAGTAAGGTGATATGTACTATGGTAAATGTATAATGATAGCTGAAAAGTACAATAGAGATTAGAGATAGACCAGTTAATATGGACTGAAATTATCAACAATGTTTTAAGTGTAGCTTTTCAGACATGGCTATGTGTATTCCTAGAGGTATCTGACAGTTTCTATCTTTCTGTATTGTAAGTTTTTTTCTCGGATAAAACTAGTAGTAGTTGTATTGGTTTGTTCTCACACTGCTAATAAAGACATACCTGAGACTGGGTAATTTATAATATAAAGAAAAGAGGTTTAATTGACCCACAGTTCCGTATGGCTGGGGAGGCCTCAGGAAACTTACAGTCATAGTGGAAGGCACCTCTTCACAGGGTAGCAGGAGACAGAATGAATGCCAAGCAAAGGGGGTAAGCCCCTTGTAAAACCATCAGATCTCCTGAGAACTCATAAGAACAGTATGGGGGAAACTGCCCCCATAATTCAGTTATCTCCACCTGGTCCTACCCTTGACGTGTGGAGATTATTACAATTCAAGATAAGATTTGGGTGGGGACACAGCCAAACCATATCATTCAGTCCCTGGCCCCTCCCATATCTCATGTCTTCACGTTTCAAAACAAAATCATGCCTTCCCAACAGTCCCCCAAAGTCTTAACTCATTCCAGCATTAACCAAAAGTCTAAGTCCAAAGTTTTATCCGAGACAAGGCAAGTCCCTTCCACCTATGAGCCTGTAAAATTAAAAGCAAGTTAGTTACTTCTCAGATACAATGGGGGTGTGGGCGTTGGGTAAATACACCCATTCCTAATGGGAGAAATTGACCAAAACAAAGGGGATACAGGCCATATGCAAGTCCAAAATCCAACAGGGCAGTCATTAAACCTTAAAGTTCCAAAATGATCTCCTTTGATGCCATATCTCACAGCTAGGTCACGCTGATGCAAGAGGTGGCACTCACAGACTTGGGCAGCTCCACCTCTGTGGCTCTGCAGGGTACAGCCCCCCTCCTGGCTGCTTTCACGGGCTGTCATTTAGTGTCTGTGGCTTTTCCAGGTGCACAGTGCAACCTCTCAGTGGATCTACCATTCTGGAGTCTGAAAGATGGTGGACCTCTTCTCACAGCTCCACTAGGCAGTGCCCCAGTGGGGACTCTGTGTAGGGGCTCCAACCTGACACTTCCCTTCCACACAGCCCTAGCAGAGTTTCCCCATGAGGGCTCTGCCCCTGCAGCAAACTTCTATCTGGACATCCAGGCCTTTGTATACATCCTCTGAAATCTAGGTGGAGGTTTCTAATCCTGAGTTCTTGACTTCTGTGCATTCACAGGCCCAACACCACGTAGAAGCTGCCAAGGCTTGGGGCTTGCACCCTCTGAAGCAATGGCTTAAGCTGTATGTTGGCCCCTTTTAGCCCTTGCTCAAGTGGCTGGGACACAGGGCACCAAGTCCCAAGGCTGCACACAGCAGGGGAGCCCTGGACCTGGCTCAGGAAACCATTTTTCCCTTCCAGGCCTCCTGGCCTGTGATGGGAGGGGCTGCTGTGAAGGTCTCTGACATGAACTGGGGACATTTTCCCCATTGTCTTGGTGACTAACATTAGTCTCCTCATTACTTATGCAAATTTCTGCAGTTGGCTTGAATTTCTGCCCAGAAAATGGGGTTTTCTTTTTTATCACATTGTCAGGCTGTAAATTTTCCAAATGTTTTGCTCTGCTTCCTCCTGAATGCTTTGCTGCTTAGAAATTTCCTCTGCTGGATACCCTAAATCATCTCTTTCAAGTTCAAAGTTCCACAGATCTCTGGGGCAGGATGAATTTAGAAATAAATCAGCCTTAATAACTTTGAAGAATTTCCCCTTTACCCTTAAAATTAGGAAAAATTTAGAAAAGTGGTCAAATGACATGAAATGGATATAAAACTACTAATTAAATCACTAAAAATCATGATGTATTTACTTTATATTAAATCTTTTCAGCCAAAGCAATTAACAATATATGTTTCCTACCTCTTTTGATATTTTCCAAAATCACATTTTTTCTTTTCAAACTGAAGAAGAGAAAGATTGAATTTTTTTATAAAGGAGACCATTGTTCTACTTAATTTGGGTCACAGAATGATTGTTTTTTGGATTTCATTATCCTGGGTACTGTGATATTGGTTATACATTTACTTCCTAACATTGGGGATATGAATAAGACAAAGTTTCACCTGCATGTAGTTCTCAATCTAGTCAGAGAGGCAGATCTGTAAGCAAATCATCGAAATATAGTGAGGATGCTAAAGAGGCAGGTGGCAGGCCCCTTGAAGACGTCCAGGAGTACTCATATCTATCAGGGGCATGGGAAAGGCTTTATGGAGCAGTTGCCACATGAACTTGAAAGACTTTTAAAAGTTCACTCACCAGATAATTGTGTGAAGAGAATGGGGTCTGAGGTAAGCACAGAGGGAATAGCCTTGGTAAAGGCACAGAGATAAAATTGTTACAGCTTTATACCCAAAGTGAGGAGAGTACTAGGGGTTGAAGCTATCAACATGAGCCCTTACTCATCTTGGGTAAGACTATGGATGGCCTTGTGTGCCATACCGAGGAATTTGAACTTTATCCTAGCAGCCTGTGGATCCCAAACTTGGCTGCCTATGAGAATCACTTCTGGACTATGAAAACATATAGATTTGCCCACTGGACCCTCTATGATTCTGATTCATCATTCCAGTAAGCTATCAGGAAGCATGGAAAAGTTTTAAGCAGAGTGATAATATGGTCAGATTTGTATTTTTAAATAATCAGTTTTTACCTTTCAAACTTTTTTTTACTGTAGCTGTAAGAAATACATTTTATATTATGATCTAGTATACACATATATGTACCTGTGAACAACTGAAACAAGTCTTACTCTTACAAGTATTGTGGGATGTACTGTGGTATTTTCTGTTCTATCCTGATGTTTTAGAATGCTGTTTGCAAACCGCTTAATTGACTTTGCAACCCATTAAAATGAATTCACCATCCACTAATGGATCATAACCCACAGTTTAAAAAAGATATTTCTATAGAGAATGAATTGAAATGTGCAAAACTGAAGGACTTGAGATCAGATAGGCAACTGATTCAGTTATCCAAGTAACAGATGTCATGGGCGTGAACTGGGACAGTGGCCTTAGCAGGTGCAGACAGAGAAGAGGCGAAAAAGATTCAGAAGTGTGTAGAAGGTAGTGGAATCACTTCTTAGTGACTCATTTCAAGGGCTAAGGGAGGTCAGAGAGTGTAGGGTGACTTCCAGATTTCTAGTTTGAATGTTTAGATAATTTGCTCTTAGTCAGTATAGAGAACACAAAGGAAGAATTGGTAGGAGTGGGTTGTGGCGGGGGAAAGATATCCAGAAGGCAGTTGGATATATCAGTGATTTTTTTCCAAGTGAGATTCCTTTAAATTTTATTTTCTTTTTCTTATTAAAATATATATTTTAAGGCCCTGTATTCTCCTTCACCTTTCTTATACAACCTACTTTTTCTTACATTGGTTTCTAGTGTTTTTATGTGGATTGCCCTAAAATATTTTTAAACTTTCTGCTTATGCTGTAAACTACTGTAATACCATTCCAGTCTTTTCCAGGACATATATAACTCCTTGCCCAAATGAAACTTACGAAACTTTTTTTTTTCTTTCTGAACCACATCATCCTTTCCTCATCCATCAGAGGTAGTGATCTCATTTTTCTGACCTTTCTGCGTGTTGTTCCATTTTGTATTTCCAGCTTTGTGGGCATTAGTTGTCTACTGCATTCCCGTATGTAACCAACTAAACATTGTTATAAGCAGTGCAGCAATGCTTGCTGGAACTTGATAATTTTCTGCCACTTGTGATTCAGTTAAATAGATCAGATTATAGTCATATTAGGGTTTGGCTGGGCAGTTCTGGCTTTGAAATCTCTCATGCAGTTGTAGTCTGAGGTGGTTGGGGTAGAACATGAGGGGAGGAAGGACTGGAGCCCATGAGATGGACCCTGGCATTTCATGTGGTATCAAGGCCTCTCCATTTCCTCTCTTTCAGTGGGTTAGTGTGGATTTTTTTCAAGGCAGTTGGATTACTTTCATGGCAGCTAAAGACTTCAAGAATGACTATTCTAGCTCTCCCAGTGTAAGTTGCATCACCTTCTTGACCTAGCCTTGCCACATAGTGTTACTTCATCATTTTATGTTAGCTGTAAGCCAATCACAAACCTGCCGTGGTTCAAAGGGGAGGGGAATTAGACTCTACCTCTTGATTGGGAAGTGGTAAGGCTCTAGAAGAAAATGTGGGATGAGAAATATTTTTGTAGGCAATCTGCAATAGCTATGTAGAAAATATATCAATGTCATCATACAGATTTTTAGTTTTGCCTGGAGTTTGCTACTGTGTTCGTACTGCACCTTGAATCTTAAAGATTAAGTTAGCTTTTATGATTTAATTTTTCACATCTTGTTTAATTTCTGAACTTGGATAATTTGCTTTCTCCGCAGCAGAATTAAGTATATAGTTATGAAGATGCTTTAAGCCTATGTGTTAGGTTTCACTGGTACAGGACAGTTGCAGGCAGCAGCAGTTTGGCCAGCTCTGCAGAGTGGGCAATTTTGAATTGCATGTTATCTTGTGTGTTTTCTAAGAGCAGTTCTTGATTCCTGTCTTCAAAACTCTAAGGGACCCCTGTAGCCTGTTGAGTAGACTGCTGAAAGTTTTAAATAACTGAAAATACGTTCTCACTTTAACTGCTATGTTCCTTGTTAGACCGCAGGCATGGCTGTATGACATAAACCAAATATTACTGGCTGTATTTCATAGCCTTGCAAGTTTTCATTAGCAATAGGAAATGAATCTGACAAGACGCTGTCTTTCTTTAAGTATGTGCACTATTATTGCTTATTTTCAGAAATAAGCTCCTATCAGTATAGTCATGATTTTTGACTGATAAAGTTTAGTTCCCAGTTCTGCTGCCGTGCTTGAATTATACTTAATAAATATCATTTGATAATCTGCTGACATAAATACTAATTTTAACAATGGTTCTAAAGTTATATTTTATAAATATACTATGCAGGAAAAGAAATCCCTGAGGATAGAAAATACAAAACAACAATTAATATGGATACTCCTGTTGCCCCTCCTGCACCACCCCACACTGCACCGCTGCCCCCCCCCCCCACCCCCTTGCTCCATTAATGTGTTCTTTCATAGAGGCGTGGCAAGTTTGTCTATATTGAAGAAAGCCTATCTGGAATAGTCATTTAGTGTAATGCTGTTTAGAGTATTATAACCACTTGATGGCACCCTTTGATTTGGTACAAACCTCATTAGCCATAGCACAGTGCAGCATAGTAGTTGTAATGGAATAACACATAAGAACTAAAGACTGCAAGGTATCTGGTTAATGTAGAGATGAAATGAATGCAATAGCAAGGCTAAGCTTTCCTGACCCTTCATGAAAGAATAGATGAAAAAAGGAAGAATAAGCTATTGTGCCAAAGGGAGATGATGAAATTCAAGATCCACACACATAATCTCTGGCTCAGCCTCTGAAATGTTAATCCCTGGGTAGAATTATTTGAGCTATAGATTGCAATTTATCATCAAAATGGCACTGTGTCAAACAATACTTTTTATATGTGTGGTGTTTAGAACTATCCAATTTTAATATAAAATGGTTCACAGAGCACTGGCTAATATTTAAGTAGCAACTCTTTAAGGTTGTGATTTGGGGGAATGGAGTAGGATGGTTTCTTTACATCAAAATATGAATTGTGTTTTAGATAGAAGGCTTTGGGAGAATTTTTTTCTTTTTCTCAGTGACAGTTTATTTTTAATGCCAGGAAAAGGGATTTTTAAAGAATGCCTCTTTTAAATTAAGTGGTTTAGAATTGTTTTCTTTCATAGACAAATGATGTTTTTGTAATTATACAATAATTCTGTAATTTTTTCTAACATTGCTTAAAAATATGCTAGCTGATGAAATGTTATATATTTAAAGGTTTATGTGGTCTTTCCTATTCCAATATAAAATATTTGTATGTTTTCTCTTATTTAAATCACCCAACTTCTGCCCACTAGGGAGTGGAGTCATAATTCGTATGTGTTGTGATGTTTTTTCCCTTAAAACCAAATTCTTCCAATTAAAAGAACTAAACTTTGATAGTATAGGTGGAGGGGTGGGTATTGCATATGTCTATTAATCTGTCACTCTGAGTAATACTCATGTTATGGACTTTTCCTGTGTACCAAAAAAAAAACCCTGTTGTTATTTTCTAGAAAATTAGGAAACTTAAAATAACCCTGTTTCTGGAATCTAGAAGCTTGAAATTCCAGTTTAACTATATATTTTTCCTTTAAACTTTATCATACTAATTTATAAGAGGCTTTTTTTGCCTCCTTTCACTTAAGAAAAGCAATTATTTTCTGTTATTACTAAGAAATTATTTTACTTAATTTTGTTTTTATATTCTTCTTACCTGTTTCTGAAGGTTTGCCAATAAGCTTGATCTTTAACAGAAACCTATATTTAATTTACACCTAATAGATCATACCATTCCAGTACCTTCATTACTAATTGCAGATGTTGAAGGCATGCTGTGACCCTGTTAGATGTATTAGATGCTGTAGCACAAATCTATGAAACGCCACTCATCTGTGCATGAATAATTCTGTGTTACCATATTTTAGCTCTGGTGGGAAAAATATTTGATTTACTGGTGGTAGGGAACATGAGAGGAGTCACTGTGAAAAGCATATGTCCTGTGAAAATGTCTTGTCTTTGGCAGCTGTCTTCTTTTAGTGATCATGAAGAGTTAAACCTTAGATCCAGAGTCACACCTATGGAGACTAGAAGTTGTGCATGTTTGAGATATTGCTGGCCCTTTATAATACCCAGTCATCAAGAACAGATAGTATGGAGTAGTCTTTTGGCTGTTGCCATTAATAAGAGTGCTCTGTGAGACTGCATAGCCATTTCAAATTGTTTTTGGAGGCAAAGGGTTCAGAATGTACATTAGGAAGACACAAACACATATATATGTAGTAGAAAAAGACCTTGGAATTCCTAACTTGGTAAAATATTACAAAGTTGCTTCATCTATTTACGTAATTACATCTGCTGACGTTTTAATTTAAATGCCACCTAGAAAGTTGATAGAGTTAAGTTTAGCTGAGTGTTTTAAAAATGTGACTTTCTCAACTATGTAACACTTCTCCACCCACCCACCCACCAAAAGGCCTACTCCCTGCTTTCTGTTTCTGAGGACAGAATGTTATAAAGGACGGTTAGTGCCTCAAACGTGCACAACCTCTGATCTTCAGAGGTCTGGCTCTGGATTTAATTCTTAACTATTCATGATCACTTAAAGATGACAGCTGCCAAAGTCAAGATTTCAGTAACCTTTTAAGTAAGCTCCTGGTTCCACACGGAGTGCCAATGCATACATCTTCCAACCCACTGCACTGGCAGTCTCATACCCAATGCTGAATACAGTGTTCCAGCCTGGTGCCTTTCAGCACACACAAAACTGATCAATGTCCAATTTTATCCAACCACCCACACTAAATATGAAACCTCGTGATGCTGTCACAGATGCCTGCAGGGTAGCACTCCTGCAAATTTTAAAAAACATGAGATTGTTAAAACAACTAGGAAAAACCCCTTTCTGATGCCAGTTACCTAAAACTTACTTGTTTTTGAAGTAGCACCTTTAGTTTTCTATATGATGTCAGCGAATATAATTTGTTGAGAAAAATGTTTCTTACACATTGTTTTTCCACATCCTCCTAGTTTTATAGGCCTTATTAAATAGTTTCAGTGAGCCAGTCTTTGAAATAAAGCCCAGGTGAATATTTATATTTCCACTGTAGCAGCAGCATGCATTCTTGATGATTGACCTTTACCCTGACATAATGTCGTCTTGTGACATTGAATGAAATAAATGAAGAAACTAGTCCTTGGCTTGATTTGTATTGGCAGAAGAAAGCAAACAGAGTGGTTTGTCAGGTTGCTAAAAACGTCAAAATACAGTTCTGGGACAATTTCTAACACAAAGGTTTTTTGTTGTTTGTTTTGTTTTGTTTTTTAAATAATGTGTGGGTGGTTGGATGTTCTTTGAAAAAAGCACACATTTGAAAGGAAATTGAATTCCAGCAGTACCTGTATCAGATAATAATAGGAAGTAAATTGTTTCCCTTTATTTGAAGTTGCATTTTATTAGTCAGATGCTTGTTGGTGGCATGTTTAAACATTAAACATTTAGAGAACTGCACAGCTTTACAGAAAATAGTGTTACTTTATATAAGGATTATGTATTATTAAAAGAAATAAGGCTCTACTCCTATAAACACTTGTTGTGTTGTAACTTTAGTAATCATTAATTTTAAATAATTTTCGTTTCTACATGTAAGTTATACACGGTATAACAGAACTCCATTTGAAAAGTAAGGTCTAAAATATTTTTGTGTAATTCTCTTGTTACTTTATAGATTTTGGCTTTGCAGACAAGTTGACTATTTCCACAAGAGGTACCCATCAATGAAATATCCTGTTTTGTAGATGTTAGTGTTTATACCATTATTAAATGAGTACAACCCTATTCAATTATTGTCTCTTGTGTTTTATCTTGAAAGCATTGCTTTCAGGCAGTTAATCTATTTCAAATTAGTGTTGTAATATTTTTGTTGTTTTAAGTTATAACTCACTATTATGTTATTCCATAACCTTAAAACCTAGTTTCCCAATATAGATGTGGGTTTCTGGATTAAAATAATCAAATCACAGAAATTTAGAGCTAGAAGAAAACTTAGAAATCATAAAATTCTCCTTGCTCATTTTCAGATAAGGAAACTAAGATATCATCTGGTAACTAGCCCAAAGTCATATTGCTAATGAGTGGTAAACTATTCATTTTCATTCATTTTCTTCACTCCCAGACTGAGGTTCTATATACCAACTTTAAGTAGTACATGTATGTGATAACATGCTTTTAAATGTTTGCTTTTTATGCTTCTTCAAATAGTTCTAGAAAAATTGAATTTTTTAAAGAAAAAAACCATTTGTAATGAAAGGTTTTTAAGATAAACATCAGTTTTACTGAGGTAGATAATTTGATAGTATTTAAAGAAAATAAGACCAAAACAGCCAGCAGCCATATCTGGCTTATTCATTTAAGTTCAATGCATGTGATTCCCTGCTTCAGATCATGTGCTGCATATACTAGCTACATTTTAAAATCTAAAATCCCACTTAATCATACACTTTGCTAATATTTTTGGAAAATACATTTTTGAATAATATAAGAACATTTTAGTTTCATTTTAAAAGATGGTTATTATAAAGTTTTAAATTCTGTAATCGAGTGAAAAATATCTGACGTTAAAAGTTTTAAAAATAAAAAATAGGTTATGATGTCAAGTTTGTTAGGTAACAAAGTTTGATTAAACTTTCCAAGAGAAAAATTTTAATGATGTTTTAAATACCTGTAAGAGGCTACTTTAAGTTTTCTTTATAGAATGATTACAATATATAGTTTTATATTTACAAATTAGTAAAATAAGGAAGTGTAGCAATATAATTTAGTCAAGAATACTGCCCAAATGTTATTTAGTAATATTTATAATGGTAGTTTAGATATCTAGAGATTGCTTTAAAACAGGGTTATTTTTAATGTTAATGTATAAATTTCCATCCTGGCCAAAAAATAACACTCAGCAGCAATACTTGTTCTCTTCATATCGCTAATTAATTAGAAGTTTGCTCATAAAGTGTTTCAGAATTTCTGAATACAGTTGTGTTATACTCAGCCTTCTTGCCATCCAGATACAACATTAGACACTTTGTTATATATAGGTTAAACTTGGATTAATATTGGTTTACAAGTACTACTTACAGTTATTTCAGACCTCTGCATCTACTTTTAAGGTATGTCAGTTGATACAGTTAATTAAAGTACTACATATGCTGCTGTCTAAGCCAATTTAAATAGTAGGGAATGTATTTCCAGTTATGTGAGCTACAGAATGATGGTACTATAACATGAGATCTCCCCCTCTAAGCCAGTAATGTTCTACAGTCCAGATATATTAGTGCCTTTCTTTTCTCTTCTTTTTAAATAGCTGCTTCTTGTGGAGCAGGGCTAACTCCTAGGCAGTGAGCCCAGAGTCAGATGTATTAGTGGTTCATATTCTCGTTTTCAAAACATCTTGTCTTTTTTGTTTAGTTTTGGAATGGCAGAAATCTAACTACATAATTGATTTCTGCACTTAGAAGAATGCTTTACAAATAGTAGATCCTCAATGATGTTTGATAAACGAACTCATCACTTATTTATATACTATATTTATGGATTTTTAAAAAATTTGACCTTACTCAGCTATTTAATTTTTCATGTGATAGTCTTGTATCTCTCTGCTAATTTTAGGCTGCTACTTAAAGTTTGAAAGGGTGTGTCTTTTTGTACACTCAAACAATACCCAGCAAGATGCTATGTGTTTATAAATACCCCAATAAATGGGTGTGTATCCAATTGATTTCACTCTCAGTATACTTAGAGTGAGATATTTAAGTGCTGCTTACCTACAGTGTTATTAGTTTTATGACTGAAGAAGACATCTATTGTAACAGATTCTGTGAATTAGATGTCAGGAATAGTATGCAAATAAAATTGATAGGTTTTTTTTTTGTTCTTTAGACTTATTTTTTATTAGCACTTAGTGTATCTTTAAAAATTTTAATATTTATTACACAGCCAACATAATGACAATGCTACGTATATTAAAAAGGAAAATTATCTATAATTCCATCATATCAATAAATTGATTTTAATTTAGCATTTTTCTTTCGAACATATACATGTTGTATAATTTTTTTAGGGTGCTATTTGTTTGCATTTAGGGTAGATTAAGTTCATAAATTCATTAATGTTATTACATTTCTTATTTTAAAAGATGCCTTATGCCTAGGTCATATGAGTGCTTTTAGAACTGATATTTTTGGATAGGTATAAAAGATCAATGTGTTTATTAACTAAACATATCCACAATGATTGACTTTTTTTCAACCACTCACAAAACTGCTTTGCAGGTGTGAGCTTTGAGGGGACCTCCATTTCCGCTGCAGTGACTCTCACTTTGGAATTTACTCCAGAGACAGCTTGAACTAGTGAAAATCTATAGGGCTTTGGATTATTATACAAAACCCATCATTCACCCAGTCTTTTGCAATGGTCATGTTGATTCAAGGACAGTTTTTGTGACTAGGTTCAGCGTTGAGTTTGGAAGTAGATTTCAGTGCATATATGTCAACAAGTAGATCATATAAAATGAAAGTGATGACTAGGGGTGTGTGTGGTAAAAATGAAATAAAGTTGAAGGGAACCACCTGGGATTGCTCAATTTAATTTGGTGGAATGGTCTTATTACCTTTCAGGATATTAAAAAGAATAAGTCTAAATTGGCAGTGATTCTTATTTTGTAAATAATAGCTCTATGCTGCATATGATCTACGAAATAAAGAAAAGAGAAATGGAAAACACTAAGTGTCTTTATTCTCCAATGGGGAAAAATACAAGAGAGGTATAATTTAACTCCAATAGAAATAAACAATGGTTGCCAAACATGTGTTAAGAAGGAGGAAAAATAAGAGGAAAAGGAATCTGTTTTTATGTCAGAGGAACTATCTGTGAAGTTAAGGCCTGGATTTGAAGTCTTACTTGATATAGTTTTGTACACAAGTCTTAGAATGTCCAGATCATATGTGGCCAGTATTTCTTATCTTTGCTCTCCTAATTTCCATCCTTTGTTTAACTCTTTCTTTATAAGTTGTTGTCTTCGCAATTTAAGAATAAAACAGAGAGCTGAGAACTGACTTCAAATCCAGCCTTTTCTTCTCTTTTCTTTAGTGGCTGGTTTCTAAATAATCCACAGCATTTTCCCCTATAAATCTTTATTTTTCTTCACTCCACTCTGTGTTGGTGGACATGATTAGTGAAAATCTACTCAAAAGTCAGTCACAATATGGTTAAATTATATTCCTGGTTTTGACTGCCTGCACCCTTAAATCAAAATAGGTGTTGTGAGAAACAAAATTGCTACAACTAGTATTTCTTGGTAGCTTGATAAATAGTTTTATTTAGAAAAGTGATTTTATAAAAATTATGAAAAGATAGAATAGACAGCATTTTACATTTCTCACTAACTCTTCTTATGTATTCATATATTAAGTAAACTTTTCTTCAAACTGAATATTGTTTTTAATCATTGTACATGTGAAAAGTAAAAACACTTTAAGTGACTATGTGTCAGATTAAATTTGGGTACTACTTTCAAATACCCTAAATTTGAGGAACTCCTTTTGCAATATAACTTTTTATTCTGATTGCTCAAAATTTATGTTTTTTAAAAAAGTCTCTATATTTAAAAATTAGATAAAATAATCATGTTTGCTTATACCATATTTACTATTGAATCTTCTTTAAACTTTTTATCATCTTACTGAAATTAAAATACTAAACAGATAAGTCACAAAGCCTATTTTTGGATAAAGAGAGAAAGGTATTCAGCATTTTTCTAGTTTCTAAAAAGGTGGAAAAACTCTACACTTCAAACTACTTAAATGTTTTTATTGTTTGTGAGCCTAAAACATGTATAAACCCTTTCTTTTACCACGTGTGTATTTAAATAAGTAACACTTCATATCTTCTCCATATAAAGTGAAATATTTCCTTAACACTAACACAAGTTGGTTCTCAGCCAAACCAAATAGAAGAATGAATGCTTTGTTAATCATTCGTAACTAATGTGTGTATACACAGAAAAAAAAAATCAAATCTGTTTTTGACATGAATCTTTTGATGGAATTAGCAAAAGAAAAAAAAAGGAACTTTTTAGCACAGGTCAAGCCTCTTTTAATTTATGAGCATAAAAGTTATTTTTAAAAAATCAATACAGGCACATGGTAACAAATCCAACAGTATGGAAGAACTCGTAAGGAAAATTAACATTCTCCTGCCTCTTCCTTCCTCCCTCCATCCTACCCCATTGTGGTAGTCTCTTAATTGCTTCAGATTCTAGTTCTTCAGTGGTTTCATCCATGGTTCTAGTTTTATATATTAATAATATGATTGTACTATATTTCATAATTATTTCATGATTTATCAACTTAGGCAACATTTATTGAATCTCCTATTCAGATTGTACATGGGTGGCTGGGAGCATTTCAGAAATTTAAGTAGGTATTCTCTGCTTATTCCCTCAGTCCAACTCCTTTCTCCATAAGGTTCTTAAGGCATCAGTACAGTATAGTTCCACTGTACCCACCACTGTTCACACTACCTCTAAAACTGGCTTTACTCTCATGCTCTTCACTGTCTATGCTTGCTCTCTGATTCCTTTCCATTTTTTCCCTTGTTAATAATATTTGCCTCTTTTTGTATTAAAATTGAATAAATCATAGATTAAAGTTAGGGAACTTGTATACTTTTCCTTTTAAAAATATACAAAATGCATTTTAAAAAACATGTATAGCCCAAAGTAATTGTATTTTGTTTTGTTTTAATTTTCCCCCTGTGGGTCAGTGTTCCTGGATTTCCTGCCCTTCCTTAATAGATAATAGCCTGAAGAAAAAATTTTTGACTTTAAAAAACTGAAAAGGCAATCATAGTATAAATTGGACTTGATTTTATGCTCTAAGATTGTAACATTGTTCTCACAGAACTCTTTAATATGAAGAGAAATAATAAATTTTGTAATGTCAGACTTTTCTGCCCTTCTGCCCCTTCTGCTTGGTTCAGCTGGTCCTTTCTATTCTTTTCCTAATAAACCTCTTTAATATAATTTGTCCTTGCCCACCATCTTTTGCTAGGAGATAATTCCAATTTAAAATGGTAATCAGGATAAAAATGGAGCTTGGCATTTAATTTTAGGACTTTACTTTTACTAGAATACATCAGTTACTTCTAGAGATTCCTGTACTGACTTCAGTCCTTTTTACAGAGCTTGTTTGGGACTCTGCCTAGAAATATGCATAAAACTGTGTGACACTGCCTAAGTCTTCCTTTTCAGCATTTTATGAATTACCTTTGTTAATTTATGTTACTGACAAAATTGATTGCACCTCTATGGTTAAGTCAGAATTTCTGCCTTCAAAATAGGGGTATTAGATTGTGGATCAAGATGACTAGGTTATCATCAAATAGGTCACCTTTTAATACACAATAAGAGCTGACTAGTAATGTTTTATACCTTCCTTTTTTCATTTAACCATATACATGGATACTTTTTAAGAATGCAAGAAATACACTCTAAAAGTTTTACTGTGTCTTAATTCTTTCCACACATAAAACGTAATTTTGATTGTTAAGATTTTAAAATGTAAAATTTTAATCATGAATGCATCCTGTTTTATTCAAAGTTCCAATGCAGCTTAATACTTTGACTTCCATAGCATATACCATTTACAAAACACTTCCATGTATTTAATGGTACTGGATTCTCTCAAAAACCCTATAAATAAAGCCTGTGGATTGTGTGTTGTTCATTAATGGTTTAATGAAGTTTAAATTTTTATCTTAAACACCTCTTTCCATGACTTCTGACTTTTTTTTTTTTTTTTAAATTTCTAAGACCAAACAGAGGCAGATCTTTTTCTTTGTCTCCTAAGTTCTCCCTCCTCCGTAGGCCCCCTCTCTGGAAACACACACACATATACACTGTTTTAAAACCCAATGAATAAAAGTACAGTGGTTTTATCTTCCCTAGCTCCCGTGAAACTTTGGAGCCCTATGAAAGGATCCTATTCTGTTGTTATAAAGAGACAAGCATTTGGGAAAACCTTACTAAATTATTTCTTTTTTGTCCTATCCTGTGAACATATCCTGACTGGTAAAATATGAACATGTAGACATCAAATACAAATTTCTGTTTGTTTGTTTTTTAAATGTTCAAATACTGCTTACAGTTCTGACTCTTAGCTATGCATGGCTTTTGTGTCAGATTACTTTGCGTGCAGCAACCTGGTGGTAGTTGTTGCTTGTATTATAATTTGAGCACCAACAGCATACTGGATGCCACACTAGACACATCCCAGCCCCACGGGCACCAGTTGATTGGCAGAAAGCTACTCCCATAGAGTGGTAATAATTGCAGAAAAGCAAAAGGAACTGAAATGAAATTTTTATCAATAGTTAACCTGAAATAACCCTTGCTAGATAATGTTCTCCAAGTAAAAGTCTATTTAAGGCTTTAGTTCTCAAAGATACTACCTGTTAGTGTACTTATCTTTGCTACTGTGTTAATGAATAAATAAAAATACGCCAATCAAGTGTACTGCTATAGTATGTGAAGAGCCAAGTTCATTGTACACTTCAACACAACCTTTTTTACTTAATAGGCAAACTTTTGCCTGTTAATTGTGGATGGAGGATACCCAGGCATGAGCTCTTTTGGGCCTGCATCTATCTTTTTTAAAAAACAAAAAACAAAAATACAAAACTGTAAATGAAAACAGTAGTAGAACTGTTGATAGGATTTGAATTCCTATAGCTATCTATGCCTTGATAAACTTACAGCATGTTTAAACTTTCTGGGTCTAAGTTTCCTTCTTCATCTGTAAACAGGGGTAATAGTACCAGCCTTAACTATTTAACAAGGTGTCAATGCAGATCAAATAAACAAGAGTATCAAACTAGGTAACTAAACAAATGATAAAAATGGCCATTAACTTTCTAAGTGCTGTAAGATCAAATGGAGTGAAAATAGATCATTTTTTAAAATAAGGCATATCTGGAATATATGGAAATAGGGAAGGAAATATAAGTAGAATTGAAAGATAATTTTTGTTTCACAGAAAAATAAAGGCCGGGTGTGGTGGCTCACGCCTGTAATCCTAGCACGTTGGGAGGCCGAGGGAGGCGGATCACTTAACGTCAGGAGTTTGAGACTAACCTGGCAATTGTGGTGAAACCCCCGTCTCTACTAAAAATACAAAAATTAGCTGAGAGTGGTGGCGCATGCCTTTAATCCCAACTGCTCGGGAGGCTGAAGCACGAGAATCGCTTGAACCCAAGGGGCAGAGGTTGCAGTGAGCTGGGGTTACGCCACAGCACTCCAGCCTGGGTGACAGAGTGAGACTCCGTCAAAAAAAAAAAAAGAAAGAAATATCTGTAGAAATCTCAATTCTCTTTTCCTGTAGACTGTTAGATACAGTCAGTTGTCTGCCTCTTTAGAGACTAGTATACTAGTTGTGGTGGTTTAAGAGTGTAGGCTCTGGACATTTCCTACCTGTGTGATTCTGAGAAAGTCGATGAACTTGGCTTTTACCTCAATTTACGTATCTATAAAATGAAGATAATAATACACCTATTTCATAGAATTTTTGTGCATTAACATGTGCTTAGAACAGCGCCAGACACATGGTAAATTGTCATTGTAATTTGTGTTTTTTTTATCTGACTTAAGCAGTAGCTAGAGTTATAGAAATTCATGCTATAGGAAGGCCGGGAGCGGTGGCTCAAGCCTGTAATCCCAGCACTTTGGGAGGCCGAGGTGGGCGGATCGCGAGGTCAGGAGTTCAAGACCAGCCTGGCCAACATGGTGAAACCCTGTCTCTACTAAAAATACAAAAAATTAGCTGGGCATGGTGGCGGGCGCCTGTAGTCCCAGCTACTCGAGAGGCTGAGGCAGGAGAATGGCGTGAACCTGGGAGGCGGAGCTTGCAGTGAGCCGAGATCGTGCCACTGCACGCCAGCCTGGGTGACAAAGCAAGACTCCGTCTCAAAAAAAAAAAAAAAAAAAAAAGAAATTCATGCTATAGGAAATGTCACATGGTGTCTCTAGTCTTTTCTATATGTGAGACATAGTTTTTAAGCTTTCATATTAGATACTCTAAAGGAAAGATGTATGGTTAGAGTTGGTAGTTTATACAACTTTTATAGGGAGCTGTGTAGTAGATGTTCCATACAAACCATGTTATTCATAATTACATATTGAAAAGGTTCCCTGTAACCAGGTACATTATCTATATGAAATGTTAGTAATTTGAAATGTTGAATCTTGCATTTTAACAGTATTTGCTGATTTTTATCTGAAAATATTAATTGGTCTTTATGTTACCTCTTTTTTGCACACTGTATTTTAGAGAATTATACTGTAACTATATATGACTGTTCAGTTTTAAATTGTAATAGTTAATTATGACTTTTAAACTTCGGAAAGTTTAAAATATTTTTATCACCCTGGAGCTGAAAAGTACTTTAAAAATCACCTGCCTACCTTCCTGCTCTTAGACAATGCTGTGCCTAA
Organism: Homo sapiens; assembly: GCF_000001405.40. Taxonomy (NCBI): domain Eukaryota; kingdom Metazoa; phylum Chordata; class Mammalia; order Primates; family Hominidae; genus Homo; species Homo sapiens. The sequence continues at coordinate 62,799,530 of NC_000002.12, forward strand.
GACATCACAGAAAGCTATGGTAATTACCTATATGATTTTTTTAATCTAAAGAAAGAAGATCCTACAAATTGCCCTGAGGCAAGCTCAACACTACACAAATATTTAAGTATTTGATTATACTGGAAACTATGAAGTTGGGGCATCAGTATGAGGACCTGAATACCTTCTTACCCTCGCCTTTGAATTACCTATAGGGGGAAAACAACTCTTTAAAAAACAACCTAATCTACTCAGTACAAAAGCAAGTATGGCACCAGAATATGAAAGTTCAAGGAAAAAAAGCGTGTACTCTAACAGTGGTGTTTTATCTATATCCTTCAGGTAATTTTGGAGTTGGGCATATAAGCTGCTAGAATACCTACCTGGAGGAGGAGATGAAATGTTCCATGTGGCCACCTTGTCTCCTTTAGAGACTGTCACATTCAAAGTATATTGACCACATTAAAAGTACTCGTGGTAGAAAGCAAAGGTGCTGTTTCGTCACCTAAAGGTGAAAACGTGCTGTCTGGAACTTCGAAAAACTCAAGTATTCAATAATTTTTATGCCAGTCATGTCCAGCCCATAATTGGGTCTTTCGTCTCCACCTCTCTGCATAAACTGAATGTCCCTTGTCCTTTTTTGTAGTGATGGCAGTGATGATGCTTGAATTTTGAAGCCATAAATGTGATGTGTTAACCCTAAATGGTCCTCATGTATAGGAGTGTCCTTGAAAAAAATCTCATCTACCTCATGATTTAATATGATATAGTGTCTCTGGCAGTAGATAACCCAGCTTTTCTTTCTTTCTTTAATGTTACTTGTAACAAAATCTTTAGTCACCAAATCTAGTGACTCTTTAAAGAATGTTAATATCAGAAAGGTTTTTTGTTTCCTTTTTTTAATGGTGAGAGGGCAGTGGTTTTTAGTTGCATAGGATAAAAATTCCAGGACTGTATCCTAAGATTTGCTGGTTAAATAATTATAAAGACCATTGGATTGTGTTTTATACTGGCAGTTGTCTGGAGACTATATAAACTGTATCGCTGGGAAGAAATGTGGATGTAGTTGTTGTGAAACAGCCTAAAACAAGCTAGTGATTTATAAATCTTAGGGTTTTTGTTCTATTTTGTTTTTGGCAAGAGTGGTGGTCAATGAAGCATTTGAAGGTGTTTCTCTGCAACCTTACTAACAGATTGTAAAGAAATGACCATATCCTGCCACATATAGGTGTTTTTCAAACAGATGTTAGTATGAAGACACAAAACAATGTATTACAACCTGTTCTTTAATGTCTATGAAAGAAGCTTTGAGTTCACTTTCATTTTGGGCATACCAACCATCACCCTTCATGAAAGGCTTAGTAGAACTAGATGAGATCCACAGCATTCACAGGGTCACTTTCAGTTATCCTTTTAGTCAACATTGGACAAGAAGAAATGCTTCCAAACCAATGACTAGTTAGTTACAGGACTATTAAGGAATCAACCCTGGGCACCACCTCTAAGAGAAAAGTTACAGACCTTGCTGGATTTTTATATCCTGTTTATTCAAAGGTTTATAACTATACAATATTTTATCTAATTCACAATTTTTTGATGATGTATTTTAATTTCACCAGTGAAAGCCCATTTCTAACATTCATCTTGTTAACCACTAAGCTATTCATTTTACCAATAAACCTCACTTCTGATATTCACTATGCAAATTACCGATGTCTCAAGTGTTGATCACGATAGGGATAAAAGAAGTACTTGTGGTCGCTGCTTCTGGAGTATAGCCGTCTGATACAGTGCTCCCTTGACATGGCTCCTCAGTTAGGACTGCTGACTGCCTCTGGAGTTTGAAGTTTAACTAACTGATACATTTATATCAATCACACCATCTATACTGAAGTGTTGTGAGTATATTACAGACATCATGACAGGACTGTTGCTAAACACTTGAAATGGTGGAAATAATGTAATACATCCCTTCTTTCAGGTGGTTATGTGTTTAAATTTTTTTCAAAATGCATTTGATCAACATTTAAAAATACGTGCTTTCAGTTCACTTATTTATTGATACTCTTCATGAGAGAATTCAAGAGCTAGATCTGGCTTTTAATTTTTTTATACAACTCTTAGTAAATTTATTACAAATACTTAAAATCATGCTTACATGTCTGTAATTAAGTAGCATAATTAAACTAAATTTTGTTATTTGTAGCCATTTCTGTTTCATAGAGTTTGTATATTTAAATTTCACAAGCAAGTTGGTTTGTTGTATATTTCTTAACTAGAGACCAATTTCACTCATTATCTTTATAGAATAAAATTTGTACATTCATTCACCAATTTATTAAGCATCTCCTATGTGCTGAGATTTGTACTAAAAAATATAATTCCCAAACTTTAGTGTGCATTGGACTCATCTTGAGAATGTTAAATCGAAAGTGAAATCTAGGACTCTGCCTTTTAACAAATATCCCAGGTGCTGCTGATGCAGTTGGTCACAGGATATACTCTGAGGAACGCAGCCCAAGAGATAACTGTTTAACCACTCTGAACACCTTCCTAGAAAAGGCTCACAGCCTGTGGAGGCAAACAAGAAAACAGAACTAATAACTGATATCATATAGGATCAGGTGCAACGAATTCTAACTCTGGCTGAGGAACTTTTTAGAATATTTGATACCTTAACCCATGGTTCTCAATGAATGTAGTGGTGGGTAGAGTGTGGAACATTTTTTTCCCCGGGGGAATATTTGGCAATGTCTGGAGAAGTTTTTGAGAGTCATGTCTTGCTGGAGGAGGGGCAGGGTATGCCACTGGCCATCTAGTGGGTAGAAGCCAGGGATGCAGCTAAACACTCTATGATGCATAGGAAAGCCTCTCACAACAAAGAAGAATTTAGTCCAAAATGCCAGTAGAGCTATTGCTCAGAAATGTTGTCTTAGCTTATTTTTCTGCCTCTCACCTTAATGTCTGTTGTTCCCCTTCCCCATACACACATACTTTTGAGAAAGTTACACAGTTTTAAATAAGAATAAATGATGTTAAATATGAATAGATGATTATTATAAAAGATATAAACAATAAAGAAACGTATAAAGTAACAAAATGAAAGTTCTCCCTCACCCACACAGTCCTAGACATTTAAAATGATATTACACACACATATGTGTATTTAAAGGTTGTTAGGTTTCTGTTTTGTTCTTAAATGGGATCATACTTTTTTTTTTTTTTTTTTTTTTTGAGACAGAGTCTTCCTCTGTTGCCCAGGCTGGAGTGCAGTGGTGCAATCTCGGCTCACTGCAACCTCCGCCTCCAAGGTTCAAGAAATTCTCCTGCCTCAACCTCCCCAATAGCTGGGATTAGAGGTGTGCACCACCACGCCCAACTAATTTTTGTATTTTTAGTAGAGACGGGGTTTCGCCATGTTGGCCAGGCTGGTCTCGAACTCCTGACCTCAGGTGATCCGCCCACGTTGGCCTCCCAAAGTGCTGGGATTACAGGCATAAGCCAAAGTGCCCAGCTATAGAGATCATACTTAACATGTTGTTTTGTGACTTGCTTTTCTTCCTTCACAGTGTACAATTGCTGTACAGTGAGTGCCACGTTAGAGTACAGATGGATGTACTGTAATGATTTAACTGTTCTTCTGCAGGTGGATGTTAAGATTGTTTCCAGTTTACTTGATAGTGTTATGAATAGCACTGCATTGGGCACAGAGTGAGACCCTGTCTCAAAAAAAAAAAAAAAATTTATGCACACGTGCATGATAGATTCCCAGATACTGGAATAGATTCCCAGAATGGAACTGTTCAGTCAAAAGGGACAGTTATTTTATTTTGATAGTTTTATTGCTGAAAGAATATCCCCATAACAGGCTATAACTGTTTATATTCCCACCAACAGTGATTGAAATGCCTGTTTTTCACACCCTCAGCGATGCTAGCTATTACCACATTTCTTAATTTTTGTCACTTCGATGGGTGAAAATGCTATCTAATCATTATATCATCATTATATCTCACCATTATAATTTTATTTCCCTGATAATTAGTGATGTTGAGCATCTTGTTATATGTTTATTAGCCATGCATGTTTTTCTGTGAATTGTTCATGCCCACCCATTGCCAACTTTCAATTGAAATAACTGCATTTTTCGTACTTATTTATAGATCCTTATGTGTTCTATACATTGCTTGTTATATATCTTGCAGATATTTTCACCCTGTCATTTTTTCAGCATTGCAAATAGTGCCTTTCATCACACAGCAAGCTTTCAGTATTTATACGTTCAAATTTGTGTCTTTTATGCGGTACAGTGTAGTGGATAAATGTACAAGTTGTAGAGCCAGATTGCCTGTGTTAAGATTTCAGTTCCTCCACTCACTAGCAATGTAACCTTAGGCAAGTTTTGTAATCGTTTTGTGCCCAGTTTTCTATCTTTAAAATGGGAGTAGTAATACTATCTACTTCCTAGGATTGTTTTAAGGAACAAATGAGATATTACAGTAAAAGACTTAGACTACTGCCTGACAACTAGTAAGTACTCTATAAAAAGTAGCTTCTATTGTTATTTCTTCTGGTTTTATGCCTTATTTAGGAAGGTCTTCTGTGCCTCAAAAATGTAAAGATGTGTCACCACAGAAAAAATAGTTTGGCACAATTTTATCAGAGTATGGGATGCCTTTGGGGGAGAGACAGTTGATTTTCCTCATGTGGAATCAGAGACAGTGCTGCAAAGAGCTTTGCTATGTTAAAGAGTTTGAACTTGATTGTGGAAGCAGAGAAAAAAAACCTTGACAAATTACAAGCAAGAAAGAGTTGTATAAAAGATTCCTGCACTTCTCAATTCATGATGGAAGGAGAAGATTGTTCAGTAAATGGTACTGGGACTATTTGGGAAAAAATTACCTCCTCACCTCACTACAAAAGGAATTATAAGTGGATGAGAAAGTTTGTTGAAGAAAATCAATCAAAACTAAAAGAGAATAGAAGTGAATATTTATTAAATCGGTGGGTAAAGAAAAAACAGTGGAGAAGAAATCACAAAGGAAAATATAGATAGATTTGTTTACATAAAAATAAAAACTAACGTATATTTAAAATCATATTAAGACTCATTTTTGGCCAAGACCCACTTATTGATGGGAGTATAAATTGGTATTGTATAAATTGGGGATTGGGAGTACCAATCCCCAGCCCTCAGGCCATGGATTGGTACTGGTCCGTGGCCTGTTAGGAACCAGGCTGCACAGCAGGAGGTGAGTGGTGGGCAAGCAAGCTTTAACTCCCGAGCTTTGCCTCCTGTCAAATCAGTGGTGGCATTAGATTCTCATAGGAGTGTGAACCCTATTGTGAGCTGTGCATGCAAGGGATCTAGGTTGCACGCTCCTTATGAGAATCTAATGCCTGATGACCTGAGGTGGAACAGTTTCATCCTGAAACCATCCCCTGCCCTTCACCCCAGCCCTGGTCCTGGAAAACTGTCTTCCATGAAACTGGTCTCTGGTGCCAGAAAGATTGGGGACAGCTGTTCTAGAGGACAAATGGTAGTCATATAAAAAAGTTTTTAAAGTATACATGTTTTGGATCCATTTATTTGACCAACAGAAATTTATGTTAAGAAAGTAATTTAGGATCAATGTGAAGAATTGACTAAGAATTTTTCATCTAGTTATCACTTATGAAAAATTGAAAACAACCCAAATGTCCAAAAATATGGGATTAGTTAAATTATGTCCATAAAATGGAATATTGCCATTCTAAATTATATTATGGTATGGTATTTATTGATACAGAACTATATTTATTATATTTAATTTAAAAAGCAGTTTGCAAAAGAATGTATCCAATATATGATCCAGTTTCTTAAAAATAAATACAAATAAAGTAGAAAAACAACAAAATGTAAAAATACATATCTTTGGTGGACTTATGTATAGTCTTGTTCTTTATGTCTTTGTATTTTCTTTTTTTTTTTTTTTTTACAGTGAACCTGCATTACTTGTGTCTGTATATTTATTCATTTATTTTTTGAAACAGTCTTACTCTGTCACCTAGGATGGAGTATAGTGGCGCAGTCTTGGCTCACTGCAACCTCCTCCTCCAAGGTTCAGGCAATTCTCCCATCTCAGCCTCCTGAGTAGCTGGGACTACAGGTCCACACCACCACACCTGACTAATTGTTTTGTATTTTTGTTGGAGACAGGATTTCACCGTGTTGGCCAGGCTGGTCTCAAGCTCCTGACCTCAAACAGTCTGCCTGCCTCAGCCTCCCAAAATGCTGGGATTACAGGTGTGAACCACTGCACCCAGACTGTATATTTAAAGTGAGTTTCTTGTAGACAATATAAAGTTGGGTCTTGTTTTTTGAATCACTCTGACAATTGCTGTCTTTCAGTTGCTGCATTTAGAACCTTTATGTTCAAAGTGATCATTGATATCATCGAATTAATGTCTACTTCATTTGCTACTATTTTCTGGATTTTTTTTTTTCCTGAGTCAGGGTCTCACTCTGTCATTTAGGCTGGAGTGCAGTGGTGCAACTGTGGCTCACTGCAGCCTCGACCTCCTGGGCTCAAGTGATCATCCTGCCTCAGCCTCCCCAGGAGCTGGGAGTACAGGCATGTACCACCATGCTTGGCTAATTTTTTAATATTTTTTTTGTAGAGACAGGGTCTCACTATGTTGCCCAAGCTGATCTTGAACTCCTAGACTCAAGTGATCCTCTTGTCTTGACCTCCCAAAGTGCTGGGATTGCAGGCATGAGCCACTGTGCCCAGCCAGTTACTATTTTCTAATTGTTGTCCTTGTTCTTTATATCTGTTTTTGTCTTCCACTCTTCTACTTTTTGTGGTTTTTCGTTTGGTTTGTTTTTTTTTGTTTTTTTGAGGCGGAGTCTTGCTGTGTCACCCAGGTTGGAATGCAGTGGCGCAATCACAGTTCACTACAGCCTCAACCTCGTGGGCTCAAGAAATCCTCCCACCTCAGCCTCCTTCGTAGCTGGGACCATAGGCATGCACGACCACACCCCACTAATTTTTTCATAGAGAGGGTATCTCTGTATATTGCCTAGCTGATCTTGAACTCCTGGGTTCAAGCAATCCTCTTGCCTCGGCTTCCCAAAGTGTGGGATTACAGGTGTGAGCCACCACACTTGGCTTAATTGAGCATTTTCTATGATTCCACTTTCTTTCTTTTCTTAGCTTCTCAGTTAATTGTTAATTTTTTTTTTTAATTTTAGTTTTTTTAGTTTGGCTTTTAGTTCCCCCAGAGTTTGCAGTCTACAGCTAATCCAAGCCCACTTTCAAATAACACCATGCCACTTTACAGGTAGTGGAAGTACCTTATAATAACGCAGTAATCCTATTTTCTCTCTCTAGTCTCTTACATCATTGCTGCTATTCTTTTTACTTATATATAAGCATACAAAAACATTTATAGTCACCCCTCAGTATCTGCAGGGATTGGTTCCAGGACCCCCTGCAGAACCCACAGATAGGAAAAGTTGGCAGTCCTTATTTGTGAGTTTTCTATCCTGCAAATACTGTGTTTTCAATTTGCATTTTGTTGCAGATATGAAACCCACTGACACTGAGGGCTGACTATATTTACTGAAAAAATTTGTGTATAAGTGGATCCACACAGTTCAAATCTGTGTTATTCACGGGACAACATACGCATAACAATACGTGATCTATACAGTGTTGCAATTACTACTTTACACAAACTGATATCTATTGGATCAGTTAAGAATAAGAAAAAATGGCTGGGCGTGGTGGCTTATGCCTGTAATCCCAGCATTCTGGGAGACTGAGGCAGGCGGATCACCTGAGGTCGGGAGTTCAAGACCAGCCTGACCAACACGGAGAAACCCCCATCTCTACTAAAAATACAAAATTAGCTGGGTGCGGTGGCACATGCCTGTAATCCCAGCTACTTGGGAGGTTGAGGCAGGAGAATCACTTGAACCCAGGAGGCGGAGGTTGCAGTGAGCTGAACTGGCACCATTGCACTCCAGCCTGGGCAATAAGAGCGAAACTCCGCCTCAAAAAAAACAAAAAAAGAAAAATGTTAATTTTACCTTCATTTATTTCTCCTTTGGTGCTCTTCCTTTCTTTACATAGATTTTACTTTCTAACCTGTTATTTTTTTCTTCTCTCTAGAGAACTTCTTTTAACATTTCTTGCAAAGCAGATCTACTGGCAACAAAATATCTCAATTTTTGTTTGTCTGAGAAAGTCTTTATTTCTCCTTGACTTTTGAAGAATAAGTTCACAGGGTACAGAATTCTAGGTTGGTAGGCTTTTTCTCTCAAAACTTTAAAATATTTCACTCCACACTTGTTTGTATGGTTTTTGAGAAGTGGGAAGTAATTACTATATTTGTTTCTCTATAGATAAGGTGTTTATTTCCTCTGGCTTCTTTCTAGATATGCCGAACTGGACAATGAAGCTCAACCCTGTAATCCCAGCACTTTGGGAGGCTGAAGTGGGAGATCACTTGGGGCCAGGCGTTTATTCCAACCTGGCCGACAAAGTGAGACCCTATCTCTAAAAAAAAAAAAAAGAAAGAAAAGTACATTATATGCCTAGGTGTAGGTTTTTTGGCCTTTATCCTGCTTGGTGTTCTCTGAGCTCTCTAGATCTGTGGTTTAATGTCTGACATTAATTTGGGGGAAATTCCAAGTCATTATTATTTCAATTATTTCTTCTGTTCCTTTTTTTTTTTTTTTCCTCTGCTTCTGGTATTTCCATTATGCATATTGACTTCTTCTGTAGTTGTCCCACAGTCCTTGGCTACTCTATTTTTTTTTCCAGTCTTTTTTCTCTTTGCTTTTCATCTTTGAAGGTTTCTATTGTGCTGTTCTTGAGATCAGAGACTCTTTGCCAAGCAGTGTCTAGACTACTAATAAGCCCATCAAAGGCATTCTTAATTTCTGTTATAGTGTTTTTATGGTGTTTTTGATCTCTAGCTTTTCTTATTGGTTCTTTCTTAGATTTCCATCACTCTGGTCTTACAGGCTGTCTGCTTTATCTATTAGAGCCCTTAGCATATTAATTATCATTTTAAATTATTGGTCTGATTATTCCACCATCTCTTCTATATCTGAGTCTGGTTCTGATGCTTGCTCTGTCTCTTCAAACTGTGGGATTTTTTTTTCTTTTAGTATGCCTGGTGATTTTTTCTTGATAGCCAGATGTGATTTCCTGGGTAAAAGGAAGTGCTGTAAATAGGCCTTGAGTAATGTGATGGTAAGGTGTGGAGGAGGGAAGCATTCTGTATTCCTATGATTAGGTTTCAGTCTTAGAGTGAGCCTTTGCCTCTGTGTTATGAACTTCGTAAGTGTTTCTCAATATTTTCTTCTCCCTTCTTACGTGGGGCAGGATGGCTACAGTGGGCTGCAGTTGAGTATTTCTCTTCTCCCAGGTTAGACTCTGATAAAACCCCAGCAGGTTAGGCTCTGGTTAAACAGTTTCTCTTGAGGGCAGACCTTGGTAAGAGCAGAGTAGGCCAGGCGCAGTGGCTCAGGCCTGTAATCCCAGCACTTTGGGAGGCCGAGGCGGACAGATCACGAGGTCAGGAGTTCGAGAGCAGCCTGACCAGCATGGTGAAACCCTGTCTCTATTAAAAATACAAAAATTAACCAGGCATGATGGCATGTGCCTGTAATCCCAGCTACTTGGGAGGCTGAGGCAGGAGAATCACTTGAACCTGGGAGGCAGAGGTTGCAGTGAGCCAAGATCGCGCCATTGCACTCCAGCCTGGGCAACAGAGTGAGACTATGTCTCAGAAAAAAAAAAAAAAAAAAAAAAACAAGAAGAGCACAGTACCCTTGTGTTTTAAAATGGTTCCTCCTCCCCTCTCCCCCAACTGGAAGCCCAAGGGAATTTTCTACTGTGGTTACTGTGAGAACCTGATCAAGCTCTTGGAAGTAAAACTCACAAAAGCATGGGGTTGCCGTGTGACCTTATCCCCCTGGAGTTTTTTTGTTTTTTGTTTTTATAATTTCAATTTTTATTTTAGATTCAAGGGGTACATGTGCAGGTTTGTTGCATGGGTAGATTGTGTGATGCTAAGGTTTGGGGTATGGATCCTGTCACCCAGATAGTGAGGATAGTACCCAATAGGTAGTTTTTCACCTACCACCCTGTCACTCCCCCAACTAGTAGTCTGCAGTGTCCGTTGTTCCCATCTTTATGTCCATGTGTACTCAATGTTTAGTTCCCACTGATAAGTGAGTACATGCAGTATTTGGTTTTTGTTCCTGTGTTAATTTGCTTAGGATTTTGGCCTTCAGCTATATCCATGATTTGTCTACACCTAGCCTCTACAAAATACCTCCAAAAAAAATTTTTTTTTGCTGTCCTGTACAAAACTCAGAAATACCAAAAATACGTTCAACATAAAGATATTCACTGTACCACCCTTTCTAAGAGTGACAAACTCAAAGGGACATACATGTTTAATAATAGGGAATGGTTATGTAAATTTGTGGTAGAACCATATTACAGAATGATACACAACTTCTAAAATTTAGGTTTACAAAGTTCTAATGTTAAGTTTAAAAAATTAGATTTTTATAAGTGGTATCGTGTGAACTATTTTTAAAAGACTAGAGAAAATATCTCAAAATATGTACAGTGGTATCAACAAGTTGGTAAAGTTTTAAGGGATTCTTTTTTGTACCTCTCCGTATATTTATAATTTTCTGTGGTGAATTTTCTTATGTAATCAGAAAAAAAGTATAGCATTAAAAGAAAAGATGATCTCCCTTACAGAATCACGGAAGATGAAACCGAGGTGTGTGTGAGACTAGAGAAAGGGAGACATGTCCAGAGGCTTTAGCCTAGTGTGCTCACGGATGATGAGGCTTGCTTGAATTTAGGGAGAAGTGACAGTAGAGATGGGAAGAAGAGTCCAGATTCTGGAGAGATTTAGCAGTTAGAGCCAACTTGTTTTGATGAGTCTTGAGATTGAGAGGCTTGATGGTGGTATAATTCACTAAGATGAGAAACTAAGAGGAGAAACAGCTTAAGGAGTGGAGATGAGTTCAGTTTGGCTATGTTGAGTTTGTAATGTGGGTAAAATGAGCAATGGGCACTTGGGTGCTTAGATCGGGAGCTCAGGGATAGGTCTGTCTAGTCCTGAAGATTTAGGAGTCATTATCAGCACATGCATTCAAGTCCAGGCCGTGGAAGATGTAATACTTGGGTACCAGGTCTTATTTAAACTAACAGATTATTATATTTCTCTCAGAACATCTAATGGAAGCTAAGTTTAAGATCTGCTAGTTTTGTTTCTTGTTTAAGGTTAAATAAACAACTGCATAAAATAGTATGACTAAACTTTTTGTTGCTTTCTTTTGGGAACAGGGGAAGGGATTCATATAAACTTCCCTTAGCAACTTTGTAGTCAACTGGAGGTTAGGGTTGCTTTAATAATTTTTTTTGTTTTCAATTTGGACATTCTACAACCCATTTAGACCTTTCACCTAAACACTTTAAGTTGTATTTTAATGTATATCTGTAGTTTCCTTCTAAGAAGGTTGAGGATTTTTATTTGGATTTTTTAAGACAAAAGCTAGATTTTATTCTAAAATCAATATAATTTTTATAATGTTTATGAGTATGTATCTGAACCAATTTTTAATGTTGATTCTTTCTCTTTTACATTTGTGCTACCAAACTCTCTTCCATCCGACCATCTAAGTTGGTTATTTTAGCTGATATGGTTTCTAATTAAGTCTTTTTGGTTGAGAGAGCTTCCTGTGGCATGTCTGCTTCAGCATTTAATTGCTCCATGGACTCCAAATTAAATTTTATAGTATTCCATTTTGGTCTGCTGATGAAGCAGAGATGTTTTCAGCGTGGCCTGAGAAATGTGGTACTTGTGACAGCTTGGAGGACCAGCATCACAGTTTTGAAAAGTAAGAACTGTTTAACTTATAGATTGTCTTTTTATCATTTGACAGTAGAATTTAAAGTGTTATCACAGAGTTAAATGAGAGAATGCCAGGCCCATAATAGGCTCTTATTAATGATTTATAGAATAATGCAGAAATCATTAGTCTTGATAGTATAGCATGTCAAATTATTTTGTTTCAGAAAGAGTGAAGTCTTGAGAGTTTTTAGGTTGAAGTTGAGTGAAAAGTACCCACAAACAAATTTTATAACTGTTAGGTACAGCATAAGGTGTTCTTGCATTGGGGTGACAAGTTGGATTAAAAAACTTCTAAGGTCTCTTCTAATGATTTTGATTCTTGAGTCAGTAGAGAAAGTGGATATTTACAAAAATAATTGGGTGTGTGAATTCTTTACATTTTGAAATAATTCACATAATCATGAGACAGAGGACAAGATCTGATCCACTGAGACTTTTAAGTCCAGTGCTGTGGTTTGAATGTATCCCCCAAAGTTCTTGTGTTGGAAATGTAATCCCCAATGCAACAGTGTTGAGAGGTGGGACCTTTAAGAGGTGATTAGATCATGAGGGCTCTACCCTCACAAATGGATTAATATTATTATGGGAGTGGGTTCTGTATGGTGAGAGTGAGTTTGTTATAAAAATGAGTTTAGCCCCCTCTTTCTCTTGCTCTCATGCTCACTTTCGCTTTTCACAAGCTCTCTTGCCCTTCCACCTTTCACTTTGCGATAATGCAACAAGAAACCCCTCACCAGATGCTGGCTCCTTGAGTTGGTGTTTTTAGGCTCTAGAACTGTGAGCCAAATAAGTTTCTTTTCTTAATAAATTACCCACTCTCTGATACTCTTGTTACAGCAGCAAAAAAAAATGGACTAAGACAGAAAATTGGTACTGAGAAGTGAGATTGTGGCTATAACAAAAATACTTGAAAATGTGAAAGTGGTTTTGGAGCTTGGTGAAAGGTAGAGGCTGGAAGAATTTGGTGAAGCAGGCTAAAAAATGCCTAGATTCCTATGAATAGAGCATTGAGAGTAGTTTTGGTGAGGGCTCGGGAGAATACAAGAGCTGTAGGGAGAGCCTAGCTCTTTTTAGAGGTTATTTCAGCTGTGATTAGGATGCCAGTAGAAATGTGGACAGTAAAGGCTATTCTGAGGAGGTCTCAGAGGGAAATGAGGAAGAAGGTATTGGGTACTGGAATAAAGACCATCCTTATTATGAAGTTGCAAAGAATTTGGCTAAATTATGTCTATGTCCAAGGGCTTTATGGAAGGTAAAATTTAAGAGTAATGAACTAGGATATCTGGCGGAAGAAGTAACTAAGCAAAATATTCGAGGAGATGCATCGGGACTTTTCACTGCGTGTAGTGAGATGTGAGTGGAGAGAAATTATTTAAAGACAGAATTTATAATTAAAAGGAAAGCAGAATACAAAAAGTTGGAAGATTCATAGCCTGGCCATTTGAAGAGTGAAAAGGCATCTTTAGGAGAGCAAACTAAGAGTTTAGCTAAGCAACCACTTACTAAGGAGATTAGTACATTTGCTAAAGAGAGTACAACTAGAAGGGAGCCAGGTGCTATTCATCAAGATAATGAGAGAATAACCCCACAAGCAGTTTGATATTCCAGGCTGCCTGTCCCATCACAGGCTCAGAGCTCTAGGAGGGCAGAATGACTTCAGGGGATGGGCGTGGGGTGGCCTTAACAGGCTTACTGCCCAGGGCCACCTCAGTATTCTGTTCCCTGAATTCCAGCTCAGTGATTTTTAGCCACCCCAGCCATGGCTGTGGTTCAAGCAGGCCAAGGTACTGCTTGTGCTGCATCTCTGCAGGCTCAACCGGTAGGCCTTAGTGGCATCCATGTGATGTTAAGTCTGCAGGCCTGTAAGAATGCAAGAACTTTGGGGGCATGGATACCTCTACCTAGATTTCAAGGGATGTCATGGATAGCCTGGGGGCCCAGGAAGAAACTTGTTCCAGAGGTGAAGCCACCACAGAGAGTCCCCACTAGGGCAGTGTCTGGTGGAGCCATGGGAGCAAGGTTACAGCAGAGAGTCCTCACCAAGGTGATACTTACTGGACTGTGGGGGTGAGGCCACCTGAGATACGCCGAAACTGTGAGCTACCACTGTGCAACTCCAGCCTGGGAAAGCTGCAGGCGTGAAACTCCAACACATGAGAGCTGCTGGGTGGACTGAGTCCAGCAAAGCCATAGGGGCAGGGTTGCCTGAGGCCTATCCCTGTGGCTTTGCTCATGTGCCCCAGTGTGCCTAGGATGTGGAATGTGGAGCCAAAAGCGATCATTCTTTAGCTTTAGGACTTAATGTTGTTTTCCTTGTTGGGTTTTAGACTCTCTGGGAACTAGTTACTCCTTTCTTGTTGCCTATTTCTCTCTTTTGAAATGGGAATGTCTATACTGCATCTGTCCCACCATTGTATTTTGGAAGTAGATGACTGGTTTAATTTCACAGGTTCACATCTGGAGAGGAATTTGCCTTATAGTGAATCATGCCTTGAGTCTCACCAATATCTGCTTTAGATGAGACTCTAGACTTTGGACTTTTGAATTAGTGCTGGAACCGGTTAAGACTTTGGGGTTATTGGGATGGAATGAATGTATTTTGCATGTGAGAAAGACATGAATTTTGGGGGCTGTGGTGGAATGCTGTAGTTTGAATGTGTCCCCCAAAGTTCCTGTGTTGGAAAAGTAATCCCCAGTGCAACAGTGTTGAGAGGTGGGAACTGTATGAGGTGAATAGATCTTGAGTCCTCTGCCTTTATGAATGCATTAATTTCATCATCTTGAGAGCATGTTCTTTATTGGGAGAGTGGGTTTGTTATAAAAGCAAGTTTGGTCCCTTATTGCCTGCTCTCTTGTCCTTTGGCATTCTGCCATGGGATGACACAGCAAGAAGATTCTCACAAGATGCTGGCCCCTTGACATTGAACTTCCTGCCCTCCAGAGCTGTGAGAAATAAATTTCTTTTCTTTGTAAATTACTCAGTCTCTGGTATTCTGTTATAGTAGCACAAAATAGATTAACACAGCCAGCATTAATCTACTCACATATTCTTAGAATGCCAATCAGAATTATGGTTGCCCATCACTTTATTTTGTGGTACCCTGATTCAGTAGTACTCAGAACAGAACTTAAGAGTTCTGATGGATAAGGGCATGAACAGAATCAGGCACTAGACTGAGACTCTAGAAGGGTATGGTGCTGCAAGCAGTGATTTATTATCAGGTACTTACTATTGGCCTATGGTGATGTTAAGGCATAGCTTCTAAACAGACAAAACAACAAAGGCATGACGTGTTGCATTGGTAATCACAGGTCCACATCTAGAGAATTCCAATAAAATAAATTTGAAACAATACTACATTGAAGACTTCAGGTCAAAGTGAGACAGGTGAACTTTGTTGTGATGTTTATAAAAATGCTCAGTTCTGTTCTTATCAAATTTAAATGAAGAATTCTGCTTTTGGAAATGTGATGGGCTAGATAGCATGAATAATCCATATTGGAAAATAGCTAAAAATAGGTACAATATGAAAAAAATCTTTTAAAATGCATCCCTGAAATGGCACTTATAGAAGCAATCCAAAGACATAAAACAATAATAGTAATAACTGGAAGGGGAAGTCCAGAAGATAAGGGTTCATCATAGCTTTCCCACTGAAGGTTTCTACTGAACCTATGATTTACTGCTTTTACCTCTCCATGGAGATGTAGAAAAAGTCTAGCATCTCCCATTTCTCCAAGGTGGAAGGTCTAATAAGACCCCCTTGTTGCATAAAGCTAAGACCCCAGATTTGTACTATCACTGTAAGGATGAAGAAGAAATAAACTCACTGCATAGAAACGAATGAGGAAATCTGCCACTTCTATTCTTAGCATTAGTTGGTCAAGGCAGTATCACCCTTGAAAATTTATAACCAGGAGCTAGCCCTCACATGGGTTTCATTTAAGACTGTTCTTGATGTGGTAAAATTATTAATTTCATTACATGTCAACACTAGAGTATTAGTCTTTTTAATATGCTGTGTGACAAAATGAAAAGTATGCATAAAGAAATTATGCTGCATTGCAAAGGAGAAAGTTTTTCAAGAAAAAGCACTTGTCCGATTACTTGAGCTTTAAACTAAAGTAGCCACTTTTTTCCTGGAACACCACTTTTTACTTGAAAAAACTAACTGTGGTTATTCACCCTTGGGTATTTGGCAAATGTTTTATTGAAACTGAGCAAAGTGAGCCTGCCACTTAAAGGTGGGCAATTGAAATTATATGTCAATGACAAAGTTTGAGCTTTCAATTGAAAATTAGAGACCTTGAAATTGATAGTTTCCCAGTGCTTGAAGATTTTTCTGATGGAATAGGTGAAGATATAAACAAATATGATTTTTTGGAGGTATTATATACTGCAGTGTGTCAATATCTGCATAATTCAGAGAATCAATATTTTTCAAATGACTATAATGTTGCAAAGTCACGCCTGGATAAAAGATTCATTCAGTATGCATGATAGAGCAATGGATTTTAATGTAACAGTTTAAGAAGTTCATTGATAAAGTTTCAGCCTCTATATTACCATTAGCCTTTAAGAAACTACTACTTGTTGAGTTTCGGTATAAAATCAAATACGAAGACTTGAAATTATCTGAAAAGAATAATTAAAATACTCCCATACTTTTCCAGCTACATATCTGTGTGATACTTGATTTTTTTCTTCATATACTTCAACCAAAACAGTCTGTATTACACAGATTGAATATAGGACTAGAGCTGTCTGTCAAACCAGACTTTAAAGAGACTTTAGAGAGAGATAAAGACATTGAAGAGATTTACAAAAATGTAAAATAGAGACACTCTTCTTATTAAATTATTTTCTATAGAAAGTATATTTATTCTTCATAAAACATGTTAATATATGAACTTGTTATTTTTAAATGAATGAAATGTTTTCTAGATTGTTAGCTTTTAATAGAGTAAATATTGATAGATACAACCCACATAAACAGAAGCTCTTTGGAGTTCTCAAATAAAGTGTATAAAGGGTCTTAAGACAAAAACCCTTGAGAACTGTTAGTCTAAACTCTCCAGGAAAAGCCAGTGATTATCAGACTGGATTAAAATTGTTTTTGGATATATGCTGTTTACAAGAGACAGTTCTAAAATAAGAGGAGGTTAAATGTCAGAAAGAGGAAGAGGAGCCTGTAAAGAAGACTGTGGCTTCAGTTAGGGGATAATCTGTGTATGGAGTTGTCATGGATTTAGCTAGTTTAAGACGTGGCTCTATTGTCTCCTGACTCTCCTAATTCTATAATGTTTCTGGCATCTGATTTGCCCACAGTGCTTTTGGAATAGCTTTCCAAGGTATTACTGAAGTGGCTCACTGCCTTCATTCCCTTTTCCCCCCACATAAACCAAATGAAGGAATACCTATTTTGCTCCATTTCTCCACACACCCAGGGTCCCTTCTACCTGTTTATCCCCGTTCTGGCTTGGAGAAACCTCTGCCCAGCTGTGCAAATGGAAACAGACTGTACAGTTCTTGTTACCTCACATCTTTTTCTCGTGTTTAGGAGAGGTATTATAAAGGAATGTGCAAAAAATCTTGAACAGAAGAAACTAATGATGTAAAGGTACTTCAAAGTGTTGTAAGTCCTAGAATTACACTTCATTCACTTAAGAAGTATTTATTGAGTAGTGGCTATATGCTATGGCTCTAGGGCTAGGATACAGTGGTGAGCAAGTAAACAGTATTTGCATATTTGCTCATGTAAGTTAAGGAGAAAAAGTAAAGGGGAATATGAAATGTGTATTGGGAGTGTGGTTGAAATTTTAGGTAAGGTGGGCAGAGAAGGCCTCTCTGGGAAAGTGAGTTTTAGTAAAAGACTTGAAGGAAGTGGGCGAGCTAGCCATATAATATCTATGAGAAGAACATTCCTAGTAATGGAAATAGCAAATGCAGAGGCTCTAAGGGAGATGCATACCTGGTGCATTGGAGAAAGTAAGGAGGCCAGTATATTGGGGCAGAAAAAAAGATGGAACAATAGCATAGTAGATAAGATCAAAGAGCAAAGTCAGGAAGGCCTGGTGATATAGGGCCTGTCGGTCCAGTAAGGGCTTTTTGGCTTTTGCTGTGGGGCAATTGAAGGCTTTTGAGTAGAGGAATGAGATCATCTGGCTTTACCAGGATCATCATAGTTTCTGTGTTCAGAATAATTGCAAGGCAAAGGCAGGAGCAGCAAGATTAGTTTAAAGGGTATTAATCCAGTTGAAAGGAAATACAGTATCAAGTAAATATACAGTGTGCTCAGAATTGTGTGAGAGTGTGTGCGTGTTCAGAGGGAGGGGTGGTAAATTGAAAAAAGAGGTTTATTATAAGGTTTGTTACTTGGAATTTTGCCCAGATTATGAGCAGCTCCTCAACTCTTTCACTTATTTGTTCCTTGATTCGTGCACTTTAGTAAAATATTCCATGATCTCACATTTGAAAATTTCTACTCCTACTTTCCTTATCACATAGAAAATATAATAATTCGGTGATACAAGTGATTTTACATAAAAATGCTCCTGTCATAAAAGTGGACAGCAGTATATACACAGCAGTTAAATATTTTTTAAGTACCCCTGGAACATTTGTGAAAAATACAGGTGTACCATTAAAAAAACTTTTTAAATGGTATGCCTGTATAGGGCAGTAACATGAGTGGAGCTTGCAGGCTGGAAGTTGCTCTGGTTAAGTCAGTGAGTGAGTGGTGAGTGTACAGTAATGTCTTAGGCCTTCACATTTACTCACCACTCACTCACTGACTTAACCAGAGCAACTTCCAGTCTGCAAGCTCCATTCATGTTAGTGCCCTATACAGACATACCATTTAAAAAGTTTTTTAAATGGTGCACCTGTATTTTTACTGCACCTTTTCCAAGTTTACGTATGTTTAGATGCACAAAACCTACCATTGTGTTAGGATTGCCTAAAGTATTCAGTACAGTAACATGCTGTACAGGTTTGTAGCTTCAGAGCAATAGGCTATACCACATAGCTTAGGTGTGTAGTAGGCTGTACCACCTAGAGTTGTGAAAGTACACTCTTTGATGTTCACACAATGATGCATTTCTCAGAACGTATCCCTGTCATTAAAGGATGCATGACTGTATAGCCTTAACTGCTTATATCAGCAAAGAAGAACTGCTCAAAATTCAGGAGTTAGAACAGAATATACCCAAGGAAAGTGGGAGGAAGGAAATGATAAAGATGGCAGAAACTACTGAAATAGAAAACATTGACTAGAAAGAATCACAAAATCACAAGTTGTTGATTTGGAAAGTCTAATGAAATAACCAATTTATAGCAAGAATCATTTGGGAACAAAGGAGAAAAGGCACAAATAAATAGTATTGGTAATGAAAAATGTACAAGACCATATATTTTGCAGAGATCAATGTAATAAAAAGATATATTAAATTATTGTACTTTAGTAAATTTGAAATCTTAGATGAGATGGATAAATTCCTGGGTGGGGAGAAAATATTTAAACTCACTTAGGGAGTCTTTAAGTCTTTCAGAGAATGGGAAAGGATGCCGCAGCTCATTTTATGAGGCTAATGTAACCAGGGAGCATAAAAGAAAGGAAAATCATAGGCCTATATGCTCCATGAATATACAGAAATCCCATGCAAAACATTAGACCTCCAAAGCCAGAAATATATTTTAATATAAAGAAGTACATCACGACCTGGTTGGCTATCTCCAAGGAATGTGGAGTTGCTTTAATTTTGGAAAAATCTATTAATTTACCTCATAAGAGATTAAAGTTTAACAAAAAATCTAAAGAATGTGGGAGAATGGGAAACTCTTAGAAAGTACAAACTAATACAGCCTTTTTGGAATACAATTTGGTATTTTCCGATAAAGGTGTACATGTACATATCCTATGACCTGGCTATTCCCATCCTAGAAATATTTCCCAGATAAATTATTGTGCATGTGTACCAGGATATAGGTGTAAAAATATTTGTAACAGCTTTGTTAATAATTCCAAACCTGCAGCCGGGCACAGTGGCTCATGCCTGTAATCCCAACACTGAGAGGCTGAGGCAAGCAGATCACCTGAGGTTGGGGGTGTGGGAGTTTGAGACCAGCCTGGCCAACATGGTGAAACCCCGTCTTTACTAAAAATACAAAAATTAACTAGGCATGGTGGTGCACACCTGTAATCCCAGCTACTTGGGAGACTGAGGAAGGAGAATTGCTTGAACCCAGGAGGTGGAGGTTGCAGTGAGCTGAGATTGTGCCATTGCACTCCAGCCTGGGTGACAGAGCGAGACTCCAGCTCAAAAAAACAAAAAAAAAAAAACCCGCGACAACCCATATGTCCATCAACAATAAAATGGATAGATAAATCGTAGAAATTCATGTAATTGAATATTAGGAGCGATGAAATTTAATGAACCACAGATGTACATGTCAGCATAGATGAATATTAAGAACATGATGTTGAGGCTGGGCGTGGTGGCTCATGCCTATAATCCCAGCACTTTGGGAGGCCGAAGCGGGCAGATCACCTGAGGTCAGGAGTTTGAGACCAGCCTGGCCAACATGGTGAAATCCCATCTCTACTAAAAATACAAAAATTAGCCAGGCATGGTGGCAGGTGCCTGTAATCCCAGCTGCTCTGGAGGCTGAGGCAGGGGAATCACTTGAGCCCAGGAGGCAGATGTTGCAGTGAAATGAGATCGTGCCAATGCGCTCTAGCCTGGGCAACAAGAGTGAAACTCTTGTCTCAAAAAAAAAAAAGAAAAAAAAAAAAAAGAACATGATGTTGAAGATAAGAAACAAATTTTTAAAATGGTAATTTTATTTCCTTATATAAAAGTAAAAAGACTCACAATACTGTACAATATAAATCTTTTTTCACTTTTTAGTTGTGGTAACTATATATAACAAAATTTATCATTTCAGACATCTTTAAGTGTACAATTCAGTGCCATTGAGTACATTCACAATATTGTATAACCATCACTACTGTCCATTTCCAGAACTTTTTCATCATCCCAAGTAGAAACTATCTGTACCCATTAAAAACTCCCCATTCAACCCTTTCCCCAGCACCTGGTAACCGCTATTCTGCTTTCTATTTGCCTATTCCTCATATAAGTAGAATCATATAATATTTGTCCTTTTGTGTTTGTTTTTTTCCACTTACCATAATGTCATCAAGGTTCATCTATATTGTTGCATACGTCAAAATGTCCTTTTTAAGGCTGAATAGTATTCCATTGGGTGTGTGTGTGTGTGTGTGTGTGTATAATATATATATATATATATATATATATATATATATATATATATATGCACATCTAGTTGATCCATTCATCAGCAGGATATTTTCAAAAAGTGAAGGGAAAGAGTAATAAAAAATTTAGAATACTGTTTCCTTCTGGAGGAAGGAATGGAAAGGATACAATTTGGGAGGGGACATGCAGCTTGTAAGGTACTGGCAATGTTCTGTTTCTCAAGCTGGGTGGTGAGTATAGGATATTCATTTTATTATTCTTAAGTTTTATGCTTTATTATGTATATTTCATAATTTTAAAATTCAAATATTAATGCCATTAGTTTAATTTTTAGTGTCTTGTAAGAGACCTGATAAAGTATTTGTATATGACAGAATCTTATAGAACAGTCTATGTAATAAAGCCCTGAAAAATTATAAAAATCTAAGTAAGTTTCTGCACCTTTACCTCTAGTCCTCTTGCATGGGAGAAAGGATTACATTTCTATCATGTGGTTTATTTAATAAAATATTGTAATAAAGTCAGCCAAATATTTTAATAGGAGAGGCATTACATTAATTTTACTTATTGTGGGGTTCATAATAGATGAAAAAGCATACAATGAACTATTATTCTGTAAGGAAACTAACTTGAATAATTTGGACAAGAAATGTCCTCTCCATCTTCTTAGAATATGAATTAAAGCCTGGTGTGGTAGCTCACGCCTGTAATCCTAGCACTTTGGGAGGTTGAGGTAGGAGGATCGCTTGAACCCAGGAGTTCAAGACTAGCCTGAGCAACATAGTGAGATCCCATTCAACAAAAAATAAAAAGTGAACTAGATGTGGGTGGTGTAGTCCCAGCTACTTGGGAAGCTGAGGTAGGAGGATCGCTTGAGCCCTGTAGGTTGAG
The DNA here is from genome assembly GCF_000001405.40 of Homo sapiens. Lineage (NCBI taxonomy): Eukaryota > Metazoa > Chordata > Mammalia > Primates > Hominidae > Homo > Homo sapiens. The sequence goes on from NC_000002.12 coordinate 62,821,616, forward strand.
GCTGCAGTGAGCTGTTTTTGCACCACTGCACTCTATCCTGGGTGACAGAGTGAGACCGTGGCTCAAAAAAGCAACAACAGCAACAACATCAAAAGAATATGAACTAACAGTTATGCCATTGAACTACATTGCTTGCTACCATTATGTTTTATACCGTGTTCTTAGTTTTAGGGAGGAAAAAGTGGTGAAATTATCTAAATGCTTTTTTTAAGTATAATTTTTTATTTTTTATTTTTGTGGATACATAGGTGTATATGTTTCTGGGGTACATGAGATGTTTTGATATAGGAATGCAATGCATAATAATCACATCATGGAAAATGTGGTGTCTTTCCCCTCAAGCATTTATCCTTTGTGTTACAAACAATCCAATTCTTTCCGTTATTTTTAAATGTAAAGTTAAATTATTACTGACTATAGTCACCCTGTTATGTTATCAAATACTAGGTCTTATTCATTCATTCTAACCAAAAGTTTTTTTTTAACGATGTTTAAAAATATTTATAAAGAAGTCCTGAGTCTCAGAATATGTTTATTCATTTTTATAATCAGTTCATTTCTTATTAGAAAAATTGTAAGATCTTTCCCCCTTTATGCTCATGTACAGAGAAAACATTTATTCACCTGTTGCTTGCATTGTTACTACTTGAATAGCAATGAGAGTCCATAGAGGTGGAGAACTCATTTTAGGTTTGGCTTGAACCTAGTGGGGGTCCATGCATAAATTTTAATTATGTAACTACACTATTTTAAAGTAAACATTCTGCATTGAATTGTGCAGTTATCTATTTTTTCTCCTTTCAAGATTGGTGACCCTGGATGGACTATTTATTAGTGTAATGAACCAGGTTAAATGGTCCATAAAAATTAGTAAACACTGTTTATTGAGTGCTGACTATATGCTAAATACTCTAATTATTTTCATGTGTTATTGCAAGAATTTCTCTAGGACATATTTATAGGATGAGAATTGTTGAGTTGTTAAGATTTGCATGTATTCAACTTTACGAGGTAATGTCAGATTGTTTTTCAAAGTGGCTGTATCAGTTGAAACTCTCCAGCAGTATAAGAGAGTTTGCATTGTTTCACATTCTTATCAACACTTGGTAATGTTCAACTTTACAAAATATTTGCCAATCTGAAAGTGTGAAACTGAGGCTTAGATACATGAAGAAATCTGCCAAAGATTAACCAATGAATAAGTGCTGGTGCTACAGTCGAATCCAGGTTTGTCTGATTCCAACCGCAATAGACTGTATTTCAAAGAAATGGAAATATATAGGCTAAGTCTTTTTATAACAATGAGAATAGTTATGAAAAATAAGTGACATTTTTAAATTTAAATAATTTTGTGTAAGAACTTAGGGGAAGTGTTTCTGAAAATGTGATTTTAGATTAACTGAATCAGAATTGCCTGGTAGTAGTGGTGTGTATGTGTGGAGGGGGGATATTACTTTTCAGTAATCAGATTCCTAGGTCCATCTTTAGGTCTACTAATTTAGGATCTCTAGGGGTGGGATTCAGGCATTAACATTTTTAATAATGTTTCTTAGTTTTGTTTTTGGTTTTTAATAAACATTGAAGTTTAAGAACCTTTGCTTTAGGGATTTTGAACTAATTTCGAAAATACTGCCAGATGCACATACGAACTGATGTTTAAACATAGGCCCAGAGACAGTTATTCAGACAGACATTCAGCACTCACTTTTGTATTGACTCTTATCTCCAAACTTTCATTTTCTACTAGCTCCTCTTACTCTTTTTTCTCTCATTCTTGTTCTTTTGTCCAACCCACATGTGATCTGAAGTAGCATTAGGACCCTGGCAGCAATAATAGTAATTCTCTCTAAACTCTCTCTCTCTCCCTGGCTGATCCCTAGTCCCTTTAAGAAGGACTGTAGGATCCAAAAGACATGCTTGTTTGAGTGCAGTTATTTCATTCCTCTTATAGAACCGATTATAGCAATGATGTCCATCTTGGGTGGGTACAGATTTAGACTTGGTGGTTATAAAGAACAAAAATTCATGGAGTGGGGTTAGAGCTGTGAAAGATCCCCATATTTTCCCTCATTACTATTCTTCTTAAAATGTATTTTCTGAGATAGCTAATTTTAAGGAGAGAACAATGTCTGAGGTAGCTGGAGAATTACTAGGAACACCATTCAAATTCCTTTTCCCAAAAGGGAGACATTATATCAAGGACATAGTATATTAAGGACACAGACTCTAGTGAGGTCCTGTGTTAATTAGTATTGGGAATGGATATCATAGACTAAAAAGAGCTCTAGTCTACTCATCTGCCCAGACCTCAGAAAGGGCTCTTTGCATTGTTCCTAAGCAAATAATTGCTTAAGTAGTACAGCTAATTGTATTTAGAATTTGGTAGCTTTTATTACCTATTGTTTCAAAGACACTGATTTACCAGATGCTTAAAAAACACATTTTTGTTTGCCATGAACCTGAGTTCAGCAGAAAAATTTTTCTACATACTTTTTATTCTAAAAAATGAAATTGGCAGAATATGATAAAAAATCTAGACTTTTGCAGAAGCATTCTTAAACTAAGTTTTCAAAATTATGCTCATTTCTAAGTTATCTTAATTTTTATAGCTTATTCAGTTATAAAATTAAATAATTATATTAAGGGATCAATGTCATACTTTGTGAAACAGATTTGTTTAACAAAAACTGAAAATATGTGACAGTTTATATGTCAAGCTTTCAAAACAGAGGCTTTAAATCCTATATTATATGTAGAAATTGTTAGCTATTCTAAAGGTACAATGAGAGATTATTGTTCATATCAGTGTAATAAATTGATACTCTCTGATCATACTTTTTCATTTTGCTCATTGTCAGAACCTTGAACCTTAATCTTATTCTTTGATTGACAGTAGCAACCAGGGAAAGAACACTTGTATTGTTTGGTATAGTCACATCTGTTCAACTTGATTCAGTTGAGGATATTTGCATATTCTTAAGTATTTCTTCTGAGAGGGCTTAAATCCTTCTCAAGTGCTTGATGCATTTTTGAAATTCATTCATAAGGTATCTACATGCACTAATAGTTCTGTATATTATTGCTGTGCATAATCTGACAGATAAGGCCACATTTTAAAACAAGGTATTCTTTAGGGATGCTACATTACATTTTTACTTGTTTCGCTGGGTAGAAATATCAGGGTTTTTTTTAAAGGCTGTTTTAATATTTTGATTAAATTAGTATGTCCTTATTTTAGGCAAATTTTTCAAACATAGGAGAAATAAAGATTTATTAAATAATAGTTCAAAGGTATTAATGGTAGTTTTTCTTGTCTTGGTTTGAAAATTGAATAATTTTATGGAAAATAATTATAGAACTTGAATGGATTTCTGTTTAGCCTCCTAATTTTATGGAGAAGGTTACTGAGACTCAAGTTTTCTGACTTGCTCAAGGTCACACAGCTTGAAAATTAAGGTTTAAATTTTGGTCTTAACTCCCATATCAGTAAACTACAAGAAATAATGGTACATGATTTCTGATTTATGTTATTTACACATTATCCTACATCTGAAATTTTCCCTTTGCCATAGAACCTGCAGAGATTATGTCTTATTCATCATATCTCCCCAGAATTTACACGATGTCTTGTACAAAGTTAATGCACAACCATTATTTTGCTCTCCTGTTTTCATTGTTCTCCTAGGCTATTCTGTAAAGTATAGTTAAGAAACATAATAACTTTAGTAATGGAATGTTAAGTACTTTTGATAGCAAATAGGTTTCATTTTGTGTTCTATTTCTGATGAATTGGCAATAGCAATGTTGAGAAGAATTCTGAGATCTGCTGGAGTCAGTTAGTGGTGTCTGGGCATAGGATCAGAAAGCCAACTGTTTCTTTTATGATATATGTGCTTTTATGGGAGAGACAACTATGGACTGAACAATAAAAAAAAGGCCTGGGGAAGAAATAAGACTCAAATTACAGGATACATAGAATTCAGATGTTGTAGACAGAAAAAAAAAAAAGAGGTAGAATGCCACCAAGGCTGGAAGTTCTATAAATAATCGTAGGCGTTTAAAAAGGAGAAATATCATTAGGTTACATTAAATATTATCAAAGCAAAGCAAATAACTGTTGAGTATTTGTTGATGCCTAGCCCTGTATTGGATCCTCTTCTCATAGTAACCCTGGAGACTTTCTGTCCTAGTTTTCATTCCTTGCTTCTCCTTTTCTGGTGTTTAGGGTTGTTCTAATCTTCTCTTGTTTCTGCCTGGGTTACCGCTTTCCAATTGCATATCTGCCTTACTTATAAATGTAACAACTGTGATACAACTTCATTGTAATTTTATTTAGTTATTGTGTGATAGGAATGTAATAGGAGAAGGAAGTTTTCAATTATTATTTGATTTATTATTAAAATCGTACTTTAAAATGTTTGGCTATAAAATAACTCAAAATTACATACTTTTTTTTTCTTTAATCTTCCAGGAATCCCCTTCTGGTCGAAGGAAAGCTCTTGCTACTAGCAGCATCAATATGAAACAGTATGCAAGCCCTATGCCAACTCAGACTGATGTCAAGTTAAAATTCAAGCCATTATCTAAAAAAGTTGTATCTGCCGCTCTTCAGTTTTCATTATCTTGCATTTTTCTGAGGGAAGGAAAAGCCACGTAAGTTTCTTTTGTCAAATAAGCTTCCTTACATTGTGTTTCAGTACACCATAGCTTTTGACTCAGTAGACTGGCAATAGTTGAACATCTTACAGCATACCAATCATTTTTGCCATTCTTTGTTTCAGAGGCTGAATTAAGGGAACTCCTTGTTACTTATAAATAGTCTCTTTTGACTCCAGAGAATGTACAGTAATATAAACGTGAGCACAGCTGGTTTCAAAATTTAAATTGTATATTTTAGGATATTATAAGTGTTTTATATTTCAGTGTCTTCAGTGTAGTAGTCTGTACTCTGAGGTACACACAGTTCAATGTGTAGAACTGTTTGATGCAATTGAGACATGAGAGGAACCCAAAACGAAAAGTTTAGGATAAAAGGGATGAAATAATTAAGGGAACTCTTGCCAAATCATATTCCTTGGCTCAACCTTCCAAAAATCATGTAGGAAGGTACAGTTAGATAAGCAGTTTATTGTAATCATTTTCTTTTCAAAAATCACTTCTTAAGCACTGAGTCAGCATTGCACAAAGATTTCTAGATTCCATTCTAGTCTCTTATAAGAGTAAAATTCTAACTTGACAAAATGAGGTGAACATACCTACAAAGCGGGGAAAAAAGTAAGATTCACCCTGGTTATTGCATACAATCAAGTCAGGGGTAAGTGAATGTTACGGGTGTTGTGAAAGGGTTCGTACCTACATGGAGTGGAAGATGAAGAGACAGGAGAAATGGAAATTCTATACCTAGACTTAAAAGGTGAGGGGAAAGAGACAGCTGTGAACATTTTATCTAATCTGAATCACAGTTCTGAATGTATTTGACCTAGTGGAAGGTGGTTACTATAATTGGCCATGTCTACTTGACTGATTAGACTGGATTCTGTGCGTCAGTCAAAATGAGATGTTTGACACTCATCTACATGGCAACACATGACTTGTGAGATAACAGTAAGCCTCCTCTCTGGCAAGTTGGATTCTAAGCCAGTGTGGTAGAGAGACAGTGCAGAATGGAAGCATCTTAGTCTTTCATCTCAGGACCTTAAATTATAGACTTAAATACTGAGTAATTAAAAATAAAGATCTTACCCTGAAGTTTAAGCCAAAACAAAAGGAAAGGAAACACAGGAAGAAGAGACACAAATTCAGAGAAGATCCTTTGAGGGTGGACTTCCTTCCACTGGGCAAAAGCTGTAAGTGAATCAGCACCATTCACGGGAATCTGGGTGAGAGGAAATTCAGCCAAACCAAATGTCTCAATTTGAATTGAAAAGGAATTCTTTCCGAACATCCTAAACTGCCTCTCTACCTCCTCCTTCTTTGCCTGGTTACCTTCCCCAAAGAAAAATGTTCAGGTTTAAAATGTGAGGAAATTAAAATGGTATGCAATTAAGCAAGTTAACTTTTTTTTTTTTTTGAGACAGAGTCTCGCTCTGTCACCCAGGCTGGAGTGCAGTGGCACGATCTCGGCTCACTGCAACCTCCACCTCCTGGGTTCAAGTGATTTTCCTGCCTCAGCCTCCCGAGTAGCTGGGATTACAGGTGTGTACCACCACACCTGGCTAATTTTGTATATTTTTGGTAGAGACGGTGTTTCACCATGTTGGCCAGGCTGGTCTTCAACTATTGACCTCAAGTGATCCGCCCACCTCGGCCTCCCAAAGTGCTGGGATTACAGGTGTGAGCCACCGCGCCCAGCCAGCAAGTTAATATTTTAAGAATGACATTTTGAAATTGTCTCCTGTTGATAAGAGAGCAATTTGTAAGACATTCACGTAAGGTAATAACTTTTTTGCTCATGCAAACTTTGTGTCACTAAATTTATTTTAAAAAGGGGAAATGACTTTGTTAACTCTAAGGCTTATATGAGATAAGATGCAAAGAATTTTTTAAAACCAGTTTAGTCTGTAAAGCCATACTATATTTAGAAGATAACGGCGTATTAAGCATTACTTTACAAAGAAACAGTATCTTAATTTGGCTTTCTGAATTTGGGGGAAGTATAGCAAAGTAAAAATTAATTTGTAAATAATAGATACATATTTCATTCACTGTAGTTTATTTGAAATTTAAGGTGAAAATAATACATGATGAAAATATAAATGATTTGACTTTGAGTACTTAATGTAAACTTTATAAATTTGTACTTAAAATACTTAAAACATTTAAAAAAAGTTCAGATTTATCAAATACATGGTATTTAACATACAATCATCCAAGGTAGTTTTTTTTATCTTGTAGCTCTTAAAAAGGTTAGACTTTGTTTTTAAAGTGCTTTTCCTGCTATAATAGTTTCTTAACTTTTGGGCGGTTATGGCCCTGTTGGAAAAACAATATACTTAAGCAAGATTTAAGTGTGATTTACAGGGGTTTGCCACTTTGTTTCCCTCTTACCCACAAACTCAAAAGCCTACGTGGACTTCAGATTTAAAATCTTGTTCTAATTCCTTTGGGCAGTTTGAATATTTAAACTCTAGATCTTATCTGATTTGCAAACTGTCTCACTGTTTTTGAAACAAGTTTTTGTTTCCAGACTTAATTCTCAGGAAACCATACTTTAATTCCATGAAGAAAGTTTTAGGCCAGGCACAGTGGTTCACACCTGTAATCCCAACACTTTGGGAGCCTGAGGTGGGACAATCACTTGAGACCAGCCTGAACAACATGGCAAGACCCCCCTCTCTACAGAAATTTTAAAAATTAGCTGGGCATTGTGCTCTACACCTGGGGTCCCAGCTACTGAGGAGGCTAAGGCGGGATGATTGCTTGAGCCCAGGAAGATGCAGTGAGCCATGTTCACACTGCTGTACTCCAGCCAGCCTGGCTTATAGAGTGAGACCCTGTCTTAAAAAAAAGAAAAAAAAAAAAGAAAAGAATATTTTAGTCTTCCATATATATCTACAGCACAGAATCGAACTAATTCCTAACCAGTTAAATTTTTTAAATTATGTTATTTCAATAAATAAGTGAAACAGGTGGTGTTTGGTTGCATAGGAAAGTTCTTTAGTGATGATTTCTGAGATATTGGTGCACCCATCTCTTGAGCAGTGTACACGGTACTCAATGTGTAGTCTTTTATCCCTCACACCCCTCCCACTCTTCCACGTAAGTCTCCAAAGTCCATTATATTACTCTTAGGCCTTTGCATCCCCATAGCTTAGCTCCCACTTACACGTGAGAACATACGATGTTTGGTTTTTCATTCCTGAGTTACTTCACTTAGAATAATGGTCTCCAACTCCATCCAGGTTGCTGCAAATGCCATTATTTTGTTCCTTTTTAAGGCTGAGTGGTGTTCTATGTTGTGTGTGTGTGTGTGTGTGTGTGTATATATATATTATATATAATACTACTATATATAATACATAATACTACTATATATACTACTATATATTATATATAGTGGTATTGTGTATATATAATATATAATATATAATAATATATAAATACGTAATATTTATAATTATTTATATATTTATATTATGTATATTATACATATATACTATTATATATATTATACATATACACTATTACTCCTGCAATAGTGGCCATAATTTAAGAATAAAAAAAATAGATATTGACATGGATGTGATGAAAAGAGAACAGTTTTACACTGCTGGTGAGAATGTAAACTGGTACAACCACTATGAAAAACAGTATGGAGATTCCTTAAAGAGTTAAAAAGTAGAACTACCGTCTGATCCAGGAATCCCACTGCAGGGTATCTACCCAGAAAAAAATAAGTTATTACAGGAAAAAGACACTTGCACATGCAATGTTTATAGTGGCACAATTTGCAATTGCAAAAATACGGAACCAGCCTAAAAGCTCATTGACCAATGAGTGGATTAAAAATATGTGGTGCATATATATATATATATATAGACACACACACACACACACACACACACACACACACACACACACATATATATACACATATACACACACACACATACACACAATATGGAATACTACTATATATATAATATATATAGCTTGGATTACAGGCGCATGCCACCACGCCCGGCTAATTTTTGTGTTTTTAGTAGAGATGGGGTTTCACCATGTTGGTTAGGCTGGTCTCGAACTCCTGACCTTGTGATCACCTGCCTCGGCCTCCCAAAGTGCTGGGATTACAGGCATGAGCCACCATGCCCGGCACATATATCTTCTTTTAAGAATTGTCTATTCATGTCTTTAGCCCACTTTTTGATGGGACTATTTCATTTTTTACTTGTTCATTTGTTTGACTTCCTTGTAGATTTTGGGTATTAGTCCTTTGTTGGATGCATAGTTTGTGAATATTTTCTCCCACTCTGTGAGTTGTCTGTTTACTCTGCTGATGATTTCTTTTGCTGTGCAGAAGCTTTTTAGTTTAATAAGGTCCCATCTATTTGTTTTTGTTGCATTTGCTTTGGGGTTCTTGGTCGTGAACTCTTTGCCGAAGCCAATGTCTAGAAGATTTTTTCCAGTGTTATCTTCTAGAATTTTTATGGCTTCAGGTTTAGATTTAAGTCTTTGATCTAACCAGTTAATTTTTAATCTTATTAGCTCTTTACTAATTAAGCATGCCATTTAAAAATTAATGAATATGAGTATTTAGATTTTTCAATATTCTTGTGCAACTGATAAGAAAGACTTATTGACATACCTTATAGAAAGAAGGAATTTATTGTTTTCTTAAGAAACCATCATTTTTCTAACTGTCATTTAGTACAATGTGTTATATTTTGAATCATTGATGTAGAGATGAAGACATGCAAAGTTTGGCTAGTTTGATGAGTATGAAGCAGGCTGACATTGGCAATTTAGATGACTTCGAAGAAGATAATGAAGATGATGATGAGAACAGAGTGAACCAAGAAGAAAAGGCAGCTAAAATTACAGGTTGGTTTTATTAGCATTAAACTAAAAGTTTATCTTTTGTTGCAGAGTTCAAAAACTCATTCTCATTTCCCAGGAAAAAACAATTCTACTTATTGGGTTTCTTTTTTTTTCTTTAAGCCTTTCTACAATAAAATATACCATTTAGTTCTCTGACAACTTTCCATGCTGTTTATAATAGATTTTAGCAGTTTGAGATCAAGTACAAGGATGGTCAAAATAACAAAAAACATTCTTGAATTATAATACAAAGCAACCTAAATCTGGTCATACTTATTTTGTCAATGTGTGAATGAAACCTCTGTAAGTAAAGATCTGCCTGTAAAGGATAATAGGACACAATAAGGAGATGGATTGGCCAGCTGCTTCTATTTCATATTCATTTATTTACTTGAATTATGTGGACATTCTGTGTTTTGAATTTATATATCTTATGTATCCTGGTATTGAAGCTTCCATGCAGGTATTCCTTCAAGCTGAGTTGATCAAGCTACTAAGATGTTAAGTGGTTAGAACTTCTTTTTATTAATTGGTCAATAAATATTTATTGACAATTTGGCTATCACACTTAAGCAATTGATGTCATACTTCTATTATTGCTGTGAAAATTAAGCACAATTTACATATTCCTTTTAGTTAAATTAATTGCTCTCAATTTCTGAATTGATGTCCCTTCACTTCTATCATCTGTTTACCTCCTGGTGATTTTTTCAAATTCATTTGGGCACTTTGTTACTCATCTTTTGGTTCTGCCTCAACTCTTGCTATCATGTGGGGGATTTCCATTTACTCCATGGATCACTCATTTAACTACTCAGCTAAAAAGTTATGTGACTTCCTTGACTCTGAAGACCTTCACTTCCATTCCACAACAAGAAATCTATCATAAGGAACTGCTCAGACTTGTGTGCAAAATTAGATGTTTTTTCATGTGTAAATTTTATTATTTTCTAATTTGTGATTGCAATTTTGATTTATTATTTGGCCCAACCATGTTTTGGAGAGTGTGTTTTACCATGTGCTTTGTTTATTTATTTCTAGTTTGTTTGCTTATTCATTCAAATAAAATTCAAAAGTCTCTTGAATTTCAAATGTTTTAAAAATATTATTGAGGTTTTTTATTTGTAGTCTAGATATGTGATTTATACATTTTCTAGAAATATGTTTTTACATGTATATTCTATTTGTCGCATTCATCATTAGACTCAACTTCTCATTACAGGCATAGTTTGTTTTACTGAACTTTGCTTTATTGCACTTCACAGATTTTTTTTTCTTTTTTCTTTTTTTTTTTTTTTTTTTACAAATTGAAGATTTTTGGCAACCCTACATTGAGCAAGTCTATCAGCTTAGTCTGTTTAGTCTATCAGTCTTACCAACAGCGTGTGCTCACTTCGTTTCTCTGTGTCTCTGTGTCATTTTGGTAACTTTTGCAATATTTCACACTTTTTCATTATTATTATATCTGTTATAGTGATCTATGACCAATGATCTTTGATGTTACTATTGTAATTATTTTGAGGTGCCATGAATTGCACCCATTTAAGACAGCAAACTTAATCAAGTGTGTTCTGACTGATCCACCAACTAGCTGTTCCCTGGCTCTGTTCCTCTCCTTGGGCCTCCTCGTTCCCTGGGACATAACAATGTTGACATTAGGCCAGTTAATAACCCTGCAATGCCTATGGGTGTTTAAGTGAAAGGAAGAGTTGCATGTATTTTCCTTTAAATAAAAAGCTAGAAATGATTAAGTTTTGTGGGGAAGGCATGTCTAAACCAAAGATAGGCCGAATGCAGAGGCCTCTTGTGCCAAACAGTTAAACAAGTTGTGAATGCAAAGAAAAAAATTCTAGAAGGAAATTAAAAGTTCTACCCCAGTGAACACAGAAAAGATTTAAAAAATGCATAAAGCCTTATTGCTGATACAGAGAAAGCTTTAATGGTCTGGATAGAATATCAAACCAGCCATAGCATTCCCTTAAGCCAAAGCCTAATCCAGATCAAGGCCCTAACTCTGTCCAATTCTGTGAAAGCTGAGAAAGGCGAGGAAGCTGCAGAAGAAAAGTTTGAAGCTAGCAGAGGTTGGTTCATAAGGTTTAAGGAAAGAACCCATGTCCATAACATGAAAGTGCAAAGTAAAGTAGTAAATGCTAATATAGAAGCCACAGCAGGTTATCCAGAAGATCTCACCAAGATCATTGATGAAGCTGGCTACATTAAACACTGATTTTCCATGTAGACAATACAGCCTTCTATTGGAAGAAGATGCCATCTAGGAATTTCACAGCTAGAGGGACAAAGTCAACACCTGGCTTCAGAGCCTCTAAGCTTCAAACGACAAGTTAACTCTCTTGTTAGCACATCTTTTTATCGCGTGGTTTACTGAATATTTTAAGACCATTGTTGAGACCTGCCGTACAGAAAAAAGATGCTTTCCAAAATACTACTACTCATTCCTTTTTAGTACACTCCCTGAAAAAACAACACCACTGCTCATTGACAGCGTACCTGGTTGCCCAAGAGCTGTGATGGAGATGTACAAAGAGATTAGTGTTGTTTCTGCAGCACATAGTTCAAGGAGTAATTTTGGCTTTTGAGTCTTATTATTTAAGAAATACATTTTATAAGGTGTAGCTGTCATAGGTAGTGATTCCTCTGATGATCTAGGCCAAGTCAATTGAAAACCTCTTGGAAAGGACTCACTGTTCTAGATGCCATTAAGAATTTTGTGATTCATGGGAGGAGGTCAAAATATCAACATCAACAGGAGTTTGGAAGACAGAAGAGGCTGATTCTGATCCTCATGGCTGACTTTGAGGGGTTTAAGACTTCAGTGGAGGAAGTAACTGCAGTTGTGGAAAAATAGCAAGAGGATCAGCATTGGAAGTGGAGCCTAAAGATGTAACTGAATTGCTGCAATCGCATGATAAAACTTGAATGGATGAGGAGTTGCTTCTCTGGATGAACAAAGAAAGTAGCTTCTTGACATGGAACCTACTTCTGGTGAAGATGCTGTGAACGTTGTTGAAATGACAACAAAGGATTTAGAATATCACATCAACTTTGATAAAGTAGTGGCAGGGTTTGAGAGGATTTATTTCAATTTAGAAAGAAGCTCTACTGTCAGTAAAATGTCAAACAGCATTGCACGCTACAGAGAAATTTTTAATGAAAGGAGGATTCAATTGATGCAGCAAACTTTGTTGTTGTCTTGTTTAGGAAATGGCAACAAGTATTTTAAGGAATTACCCAACCTTCAGCAACCACCACCCTAATTAATCAGTAGTCATCAGCATCAAGGTAGACCCACCAACACCAAAAAGATTATCACTTACTGAAGGCTCAGATGATTGTTAGCATTTTTTAATTAAGGTATATATGTTGTTCTTAGACATAATGCTATTGCACACTTAATAGACTATAGTATAAACGTAACTTTTATATGCACTGGGAAGCCAAAAAGTTTTTGTGACTTACTTTATTGCAATATTCACTTTATTTTAGTGATCTGGAACCAGACTAGCAATATGTCTGAGATTATACCTGTACAGTTGAGGCTGGAACAGCATGGATTGAACGGCATGGGTCCACCTATACAATATGTTTTTTCAGCCAAACACATGGAAAATACAGCATTCACAGTGTACAAAGCCTACATACATATGGAGGGCGCACTTTTCATATATGTGGGTTCGGAAGGGCCTGCTTTGGGACTTGATGTATGGATTTTGGTATAGACAGGGTTCCTGGAAGCAATCTTCCATCTCCACGAAGGGATGACTGTATATGTATCTTTTTTTATAGTTTATTTTTTTAAAGACAGAAAACTTCACTGCTAATTATTTATTCTATAAAAGTTTATTCTCTTAAAGCCTCATTATAATTTGTATCAGTTTGCCCCATTTAATGCCTCTTGCCTTGAAATTTTGCCTGTTGATATTTGTAAACAATGGTTTTTTTAGATTTTTATTTTCTTGGCATATTTGTCACTTGATTTTTAACCTATCTGTGTTATTTTAAGTGCTTCTTTTATATACAGCATTTGGTTGATTTAACTTTATAAGCTTTGCCCTTCAACTGATATACTTAAATGTATTTATATTACTTTATTTATACTTTTATTTTGGGGCTTTTCTTATTTTTTCCACCCATCCCTTACATGTTGCTTTTCTTAGATTTTCTGTATTTAAACATTTTTCATAGAGTAACTTAGAAGGTATATAACCTAGTTTCATTTTAGGCTGGTATTCTCTCTAATAAATAAATAAGCCAGACAAAGAAATGAGTAAACTTTTATTTCTCTACTTACATTAAAAATAAAGCGGGGGAGGAGCCAAGATGGCCGAATAGGAACAGCTCCGGTCTACAGCTCCCAGCGTGAGCGACGCAGAAGACGGGTGATTTCTGCATTTCCATCTGAGGTACTGGGTGCATCTCACTAGGGAGTGCCAGACAGTGGGCGCAGGCCAGTGGGTGCGCGCACCGTGCGCGAGCCGAAGCAGGGCGAGGCATTGCCTCACCTGGGAAGCGCAAGGGGTCAGGGAGTTCCCTTTCCGAGTCAAAGAAAGGGGTGACGGATGCACCTGGAAAATCGGGTCACTCACACCCAAATATTGCGCTTTTCAGACCGGCTTAAAAAACGGCGCACCACGAGACTATATCCCACACCTGGCTCGGAGGGTCCTACGCCCACGGAATCTGGCTGATTGCTAGCACAGCAGTCTGAGATCAAACTGCAAGGTGGCAGCGAGGCTGGGGGAGGGGCGCCCGCCATTGCCCAGGCTTGCTTAGGTAAACAAAGCGGCCCGGAAGCTCGAACTGGGTGGAGCCCACCACAGCTCAAGGAGGCCTGCCTGCCTCTGTAGGCTCCACCTCTGGGGGCAGGGCACAGACAAACAAAAAGACAGCAGTATCCTCTGCAGACTTAAATGTCCCTGTCTGACAGCTTTGAAGAGAGCAGTGGTTCTCCCAGCACGCAGCTGGAGATCTGAGAACCGGCAGACTGCCTCCTCAAATGGGTCCCTGACCCCTGACCCCCGAGCAGCCTAACTGGGAGGCACCCCCCAGCAGGGGCACACTGACACCTCACACAGCAGGGCATTCCAACAGACCTGCAGCTGAGGGTCCTGTCTGTTAGAAGGAAAACTAACAAACAGAAAGGACATCCACACCGAAAACCCATCTGTACATCACCATCATCAAAGACCAAAAGTAGATAAAACCACAAAGATGGGGAAAAAACAGAACAGAAAAACTGGAAACTCTAAAACGCAGAGCGTCTCTCCTCCTCCAAAGGAACGCAGTTCCTCACCAGCAACGGAACAAAGCTGGATGGAGAATGACTTTGACGAGCTGAGAGAAGGCTTCAGACGATCAAATTACTCTGAGCTACGGGAGGACATTCAAACCAAAGGCAAAGAAGTTGAAAACTTTGAAAAAAATTTAGAAGAATGTATAACTAGAATAACCAATACAGAGAAGTGCTTAAAGGAGCTGATGGAGCTGAAAACCAAGGCTCGAGAACTACGTGAAGAATGCAGAAGCCTCAGGAGCCGATGCGATCAACTGGAAGAAAGGGTATCAGCGATGGAAGATGAAATGAATGAAATGAAGCGAGAAGGGAAGTTTAGAGAAAAAAGAATAAAAAGAAATGAGCAAAGCCTCCAAGAAATATGGGACTATGTGAAAAGACCAAATGTATGTCTGATTGGTGTACCTGAAAGTGATGGGGAGAATGGAACCAAGTTGGAAAACACTCTGCAGGATATTATCCAGGAGAACTTCCCCAATCTAGCAAGGCAGGCCAACGTTCAGATTCAGGAAATACAGAGAACGCCACAAAGATACTCCTCGAGAAGAGCAACTCCAAGACACATAATTGTCAGATTCACCAAAGTTGAAATGAAGGAAAAAATGTTAAGGGCAGCCAGAGAGAAAGGTCAGGTTACCCTCAAAGGGAAGCCCATCAGACTAACAGCGGATCTCTCGGCAGAAACCCTACAAGCCAGAAGAGAGTGGGGGCCAATATTCAATATTCTTAAAGAAAAGAATTTTCAACCCAGAATTTCATATCCAGCCAAACTAAGCTTCATAAGTGAAGGAGAAATAAAATACTTTACAGACAAGCAAATGCTGAGAGATTTTGTCACCACCAGGCCTGCCCTAAAAGAGCTCCTGAAGGAAGTGCTAAACATGGAAAGGAACAACCGGTACCAGCCGCTGCAAAATCATGCCAAAATGTAAAGACCATCGAGACTAGGAAGAAACTGCATCAACTAACAAGCAAAATCACCAGCTAACATCATAATGACAGGATCAAATTCACACATAACAATATTAACTTTAAATATACATGGACTAAATGCTCCAATTAAAAGACACAGACTGGCAAATTGGATAAAGAGTCAAGATCCATCAGTGTGCTGTATTCAGGAAACCCATCTCACGTGCAGAGACACACATAGGCTCAAAATAAAAGGATGGAGGAAGATCTACCAAGCAAATGGAAAACAAAAAAAGGCAGGGGTTGCAATCCTAGTCTCTGATAAAACAGACTTTAAACCAACAAAGATCAAAAGAGACAAAGAAGGCCATTACATAATGGTAAAGGGATCAATTCAAAAAGAAGAGCTAATTATCCTAAATATATATGCACCCAATACGGGAGCACCCAGATTCATAAAGCAAGTCCTGAGTGACCTACAAAGAGACTTAGACTCCCACACATTAATAATGGGAGACTTTAACACCCCACTGTCAACATTAGACAGATCAACGAGACAGAAAGTCAACAAGGATACCCAGGAATTGAACTCAGCTCTGCACCAAGCGGACCTAATAGACATCTACAGAACTCTCCACCCCAAATCAACAGAATATACATTTTTTTCAGCACCACACCACACCTATTCCAAAATTGACCACATAGTTGGAAGTAAAGCTCTCCTCAGCAAATGTAAAAGAACAGACATTATAACAAACTATCTCTCAGACCACAGTGCAATCAAACTAGAACTCAGGATTAAGAATCCCACTCAAAGCCGCTCAACTACATGGAAACTGAACAACCTGCTCTTGAATGACTACTGGGTACATAACGAAATGAAGGCAGAAATAAAGATGTTCTTTGAAACTAACGAGAACAAAGACACAACATACCACAATCTCTGGGACACATTCAAAGCAGTGTGTAGAGGGAAATTTATAGCACTAAATGCCCACAAGAGAAAGCAGGAAAGATCCAAAATTGACACCCTAACATCACAATTAAAAGAACTAGAAAAGCAAGAGCAAACACATTCAAAAGCTAGCAGAAGGCAAGAAACAACTAAAATCAGAGCAGAACTGAAGGAAATAGAGACACAAAAAGCCCTTCAAAAAATCAGTGAATCCAGGAGCTGGTTTTTTGAAAGGATCAACAAAATTGATAGACCACTAGCAAGACTAATAAAGAAAAAAAGAGAGAAGAATCAAATAGACACAATAAAAAATGATAAAGGGGATATCACCACCGATCCCACAGAAATACAAACTACCATCAAAGAATACTACAAACACCTCTATGCAAATAAACTAGAAAATCTAGAAGAAATGGATACATTCCTCGACACATACACTCTCCCAAGACTAAACCAGGAAGAAGTTGAATCTCTGAATAGACCAATAACAGGAGCTGAAATTGTGGCAATAATCAATAGTTTACCAACCAAAAAGAGTCCAGGACCAGATGGATTCACAGCCGAATTCTACCAGAGGTACAAGGAGGAACTGGTACCATTCCTTCTGAAACTATTCCAATCAATAGAAAAAGAGGGAATCCTCCCTAACTCATTTTATGAGGCCAGCATCATTCTGATACCAAAGCCGGGCAGAGACGCAACCAAAAAAGAGAATTTTAGACCAATATCCTTGATGAACATTGATGCAAAAATCCTCAATAAAATACTGGCAAACCGAATCCAGCAGCACATCAAAAAGCTTATCCACCATGATCAAGTGGGCTTCATCCGTGGGATGCAAGGCTGGTTCAATATACGCAAATCAATAAATGTAATCCAGCATATAAACAGAACCAAAGACAAAAACCCCATGATTATCTCAATAGATGCGGAAAAAGCCTTTGACAAAATTCAACAACCCTTCATGCTAAAAACTCTCAATAAATTAGGTATTGATGGGACGTATTTCAAAATAATAAGAGCTATCTATGACAAACCCACAGCCAATATCATACTGAATGGGCAAAAACTGGAAGCATTCCCTTTGAAAACTGGCACAAGACAGGGATGCCCTCTCTCACCACTCCTATTCAACATAGTGTTGGAAGTTCTGGCCAGGGCAATTAGACAGGAGAAGGAAATAAAGGGTATTCAATTAGGAAAAGAGGAAGTCAAATTGTCCCTGTTTGCAGATGACATGATTGTATATCTAGAAAACCCCATCGTCTCAGCCCAAAATCTCCTTAAGCTGATAAGCAACTTCAGCAAAGTCTCAGGATACAAAATCAATGTACAAAAATCACAAGCATTCTTATACACCAACAACAGACAGAGAGCCAAATCATGAGTCAACTCCCATTCACAATTGCTTCAAAGAGAATAAAATACCTAGGAATCCAACTTAAAAGGGATGTGAAGCAACTCTTCAAGGAGAACTACAAACCACTGCTCAAGGAAATAAAAGAGGATACAAACAAATGGAAGAACATTCCATGCTCATGGGTAGGAAGAATCAATATTGTGAAAATGGCCATACTGCCCAAGGTAATTTACAGATTCAATGCCATCCCCATCAAGGTACCAATGACTTTCTTCACAGAATTGGAAAAAACTACTTTAAAGTTCATATGGAACCAAAAAAGGGCTTGCATTGCCAAGACAATCCTAAGCCAAAAGAACAAAGCTGGAGGCATCACACTACCTGACTTCAAACTATACTACAAGGCTACAGTAACCAAAACAGCATGGTACTGGTACCAAAACAGAGATATAGATCAATGGAACAGAACAGAGCCCTCAGAAATAACGCCGCATACCTACAACTATCTGATCTTTGACAAACCTGAGAAAAACAAGCAATGGGGAAAGGAATCCCTATTTAATAAATGGTGCTGGGAAAACTGGCTAGCCATATGTAGGAAGCTGAAACTGGATCCCTTCCTTACACCTTATACAAAAATCAATTCAAGATGGATTAAAGACTGAAACATAAGACCTAAAACCATAAAAACCCTAGAAGAAAACCTAGGCATTACCATTCAGGACTTAGGCATGGGCAAGGACTTCATGTCCAAAACACCAAAAGCAATGGCAACAAAAGACAAAATTGACAAATGGGATCTAATTAAACTAAAGAGCTTCTGCACAGCAAAAGAAACTACCATCAGAGTGAACAGGCAACCTACAGAATGGGAGAAAATTTTCGCAACCTACTCATCTGACAAAGGGCTAATATCCAGAATCTACAGTGAACACAAACAAATTTACAAGAAAAAAACAAACAACCCCATCAAAAAGTGGGCGAAGGACATGAACAGACACTTCTCAAAAGAAGACATTTATGCAGCCAAAAAACACATGAAAAAATGCTCATCATCACTGGCCATCAGAGAAATGCAAATCAAAACCACTATGAGATATCATCTCACACCAGTTAGAATGGCAATCATTAAAAAGTCAGGAAACAACATGTGCTGGAGAGGATGTGGAGAAATAGGAACACTTTTACACTGTTGGTGGGACTGTAAACTAGTTCAACCATTGTGGAAGTCAGTGTGGTGATTCCTCAGGGATCTAGAACTAGAATTACCATTTGACCCAGCCATCCCATTACTGGGTATATACCCAAAGGACTATAAATCATGCTGCTATAAAGAGACATGCACACATATGTTTATTGCGGCATTATTCACAATAGCAAAGACTTGGAACCAAGCCAAATGTCCAACAATGATAGACTGGATTAAGAAAATGTGGCACATATACACCATGGAATATTATGCAGCCATAAAAAAGGGTGAGTTCATGTCCTTTGTATGGACATGGATGAAATTGGAAATCAGCATTCTCAGTAAACTATCGCAAGATCAAAAAACCAAACACCGCATATTCTCACTCATAGGTGGGAACTGAACAATGAGATCACATGGACACAGGAAGGGGAATATCACACTCTGGGGACTGTGGTGGGGTGGGGGGAGGGGGGAGGGATAGCATTGGGAGATATACCTAATGCTAGATGACGAGTTAGTGGGTGCAGTGCACCAGCATGGCACATGTATACATATGTAACTAACCTGCACAATGTGCACATGTACCCTAAAACTTATAATAAAAAAATAAAAATAAAAAAAATAAAGCAAAATTTATTGACTCTCTTCTTGTAGAATGAGAGATGCAGTATGATTCTCTTCTTTATTTAAACCCTTCCCTCCAACCCCATTGGCTATTATGTTTATTTCAATAACATTTTGCTAATTCTTTTCAATAGTATATACTGACATTTGCATTTTATTTTATAATGATGGCAGCAATAATTTTTTAAATGTGATATCTTTCCCATCTTTGAGTTTTGGCTTCTTTTCTTTTTTCTTTTCTTTTCTTTCTCTTTCCTTTCTTTCTTATTTTGGTTATTTGGCTATCTGGAGTATTTCCAGAAGAATAAGTGGGTGTCTTTCCCCTAGTACTACCACTCACCTTCTACCTTGTCTTAGTTTGCTTGGGCTGCTGTAACAAAATACCTTAGGTTGGGTAATTTGTAATCAACAGAAATTTATTGCACACAGTTTTGGAAGATGGGAAGTCCAATATGAAGGAGCCTGCATATTTGTTATCTGGTGAGAGCCTGTTCCATGTAATGGTGCCCTGTATGTGTCTTCATGTGAAGGAACAGCAAAGAAAAGGGACAAGGGACCAAGGGACAAACTTGCTCCCTCAAAGCCTTTTTTTTTTGAGACAAGGTCTTGCTTTGTTGCCCAGGCTGGAGTGCAGTGACACAGTCTCGGCTCACTGTAACTTCCACCTCCCAGGTTCAAGGGATTCTCCTGCCTCAGCCTCCCGAGTAGCTGGGATCACAGGCGTGTGCCACCACACTCAGCTAATTTTTGTATTTTTAGTAGAGATGGGGTTTCAGCATGTTGGCCAGGCTGGTCTTGAACTCCTGACCTCAGGAGATCCGCCCGCTTTCCTCCCAAAGTGCTGAGATTATAGGCGTGAGCCACCGCGCCTGGCCCTTAAAGCCTTTTATAAGGGCAATAGTATTATCCACGAGGGCAGATCCCTCATGAACTAATGATCTCTCCGTAAGCTCCACCTCCTAATACCCTCACCTTAGGGATTAAGTTCCAACATAGGAATTTTGGGGGGACATTGACATTCAGACCGTAATATACCTATCCTTCAAAATTTAATTCACTTGTCACATAGTCTGAGAAGCCTTTGATGCCCCCTGCCTCTTAAGCTTGACCATTCCATCCTTTATGGTACTACCATATACAAATGTAGGCATTTTCCTATAGACTGAGTTTTTATAATTCCAGTGGGTTATTAATTGGATCTTTTTAGTTAGAGAATATGGTGTATTATTTATAGATGGCTTTTGATTAAAACTAAATCTCAATTAGATACGGGTACTTTTAAGTAGGAATTTTTAAAGCCACACATTTGCAGTTGTTTTGAGCAGTATTGTGCTATTTTGATCACAGCAGTGGGAGAAAAAATGATAATATGTTACAGTTTCTACACTAGTATTGAAAGGAAGAGTGAGAACAGTAGTTTTTTAAGGAAAATATAGATGTAATGATTCAATAATTATTAGATTTCATAGCTAAACCCTTGTTGATTAAACATATACTATTCCTTATTTTCTAAAATTCCTGCAAGAGCAGTAATTTTCTTTTAGACAGTTTAAAATTCTCTGAATCTAATTGAAGAAATTGTTTTGAGGCAACTTTGGATGCCTCTATTTTGTGTTATTTACATTTTTTATATTTTATGAAATTCCCTGAAAATAGAAACTATGTTCTAATCATTTTTTCATCTCTAGCTTCCAGCACATTATCTGAAACATATTAGGAATTGAATATATCTTAACTGAAAGGCCATAGTGAATGAATGAAGCTTCATTCTCTCTGGCTTATCTTGTTCCATTTGACGTTTAATCACATAGTATCTTGTACAGGGTAGAGTGGTTCCATTTTATGGAAGGAATATGTTCTGGAGGGCACACATAATTGAAAGCTCAGTAATTCAAAACTAGTTTTCTAAAAGGAATGAATGTAAATTGTGTGTGTTGAAGAAGAAGGGGTGGGTGGGGCAGTGGGTGTCTAGATGTATGTTCTAAGTCCTAATAAATTCACAATCATTGTAGCATATTTTTTATTTGATATTACAGTTTTTTTCTTGTCATTTTCTATTATGTTTGCAGAGTATGGTAACCTAAATTAATAGCACAGCATATTATGGCAGTTGTTTGGCTTTCTTAGTTGTATTTTTGAACACATGTAAATCCCATTCTAAAGTTACTAACTTTCAGGGATATATTTTTTTAGCAACAGCACGACCACTTTAAAAGTGTTTGAGTGAAGTAGTTTTAGCAAATAAAAGGTTTATTGAAATTTAATGCATTAATGTTAAAATAATAGCTCAAGAAAACAAAATGGACATATTTTATAAGCATGGTTACAAATAAAGTATGGTAAGTATTTTTATTTACCAGCAAAAGTGGCAATAACTTAAATACAGTTTGTATTAACTCTTCCTTCCAAGTTTGAAATTGTTATTGACACAGTTTTTATGGAGGAATTATTATTTTAAATTGTTCCTGTTAATTATATCTTAATATTATAATCTAAATGCATAAAGTGCAATTGCATTATATCACTAAAAATTATATTGAATGTATTGTTTCTCCAACAAAGCTCAGAATTTCTTGAGGGAACAGACTGTTAACAATTGTGTACCTCTTAGATTGACATCTCACGGTTATTCATGTAGTGAGTAATTTCTTATGGAAAGTTGCTGTTAAATTAGCAGTATTTGACAAAACATATCCTCCAAAATTACAGTCTTTGCTAGGAGGTGAAAGTAAATCCATGGTATCTGTACTTGCACTGATCAAAAATCCCTACACTGTTCTGAGACAGACTCCCCTGCTAAATAGATACATATCTGGGGACTAGCTCTCAGGCAGGAACCATTTATTGATGCTACTTCTATAGATACATTTTACTGAGGTACAGCACCAGTGAATAGGCAGGAGAATTTTGAATTACAGTTGGAAAAATCACTGAAATGTAGCAGGAGTGATAGACCTTGGAGCTGGAGAAAAAATGCCTTTTAATAGAAAGCTTGCTGCAGCCAGTAGTAGAAATTATGAAACCATATGGTTTCAGAACAATAAATACTGGCAGTCACACAGTGCTTGAGCCAGTATTTGGCAGTATGATCATCTTTGGAATTCATGTTGAATTTCTGAATACACACCAACAGGAAGAAAAATAAAGACCCCTGTATTGTAAAGACAAGGCCCTGATGAATACATCACAGAAAATCAAGTTCAACTGAAGCAGTTTACAGTAAGCATTGTTAAGAGAACTCAGACATTATGAGGCTCCTGAAAGACCCCTGATATTCTTAAAGTTTGTTGTGTTGCAAAGATCACCATGGGGTCTACCTAAAATCAGCTGGACATTCAGATTCATTCGCATGACCTACATAGGCCAAGCAGTGTTAGATTGACTTAAAAGGATATTGGATAGGAAACACAGTATGCCAGCAGGGTATTCCTTTTTCACCAGAGTCTTCACAGCAATCTGAATACTGTTGTTTATCCCCTACCACCAAATGACAACTTGGGTACAAAGTGACAAGATTCAGATAGTTAGGAGCAGGGATTGCTTTGTCTTAAAATCCCCATGCAACACAAGAGCAGATTATCTTTTTTTTTTTTTTCCTTTTAATACCCTAACTGGTCTGAGCTAATACCTTTGTACCAGTCTCATGGGTACAGTTTCCAAGGTTCCTATAAGGGACATGCACATTTATAAGAGTCTCTACATTCAAAGAAGCTAAAACCTGTGGCCTTACACCAGCTATATAATTCATTCAGAATCTTCCCATCCAGATGCAATTTGTCAATCAGGTTTGATTTTTACCATAAGCAATGTTTCCTGGTGTTTGTTAATCCTTTTCCCATAGTTGATAAAGTTAATTTGGGAGAAGGAAGAGAGAGTGACATATTTGGCTACCTTCAGGGAACAAAATCTAACAGCACAGATGGTAGTAGAGGAGATACCAATTACATATTAAGGAGCTAGAGTTGATGATGGTATGACTCAGCCCTCTGAGATTAAATTCTACTTACTAGGGCTATGAATGGAGATAAGTAGGTATCCCACCTTTTATTAGAAGGTTCCTTAAAATAAATATGGGACTCTGGTCAGAGAGTAGGACCATTAATTTGCTCCTGGTTTTTACCTGGCATCCACCCACCAGTACCTAGGCATCTCGTGAACAAAATCATAGGATTGTTATGGGCTCAATTAAAAAAAAAAAAAAAAGATTAGCCAGGCTTGGTGGCATGCGCCTGTAGTCCCAGCTACTTGGAGGTTGACATGAGAGGATCGCCTTAGCCAAAAAAAATTTTGTTTAAATAAAAATTAATTAAAATGGCCACCTATTTTGGAGGTCAGTTAAAAGGATGAGAATATCTGGAAAACTGCCTCTGTTATGTAGTCACTAAGGTTGGGAATAGGAGGAAAGCAGAGAGGTAGGGCAATTCTGATCCCTTTAGCCAATAAGTTTATAAGGTATCATAGCTACCTTATTTTTAAAGGAGTTTGAAACCCTAGGATGAGAGACTGACGTCATCAGGAATATATCTTTGCAGTCTTAGAACTCAAATATGTCAACTCAGAGAATAGTAACAGTAGCAGAAAACACAGACTATAAATTCAGCTTGCTTTCTCTGTCACTCTTAAATGCTAATGCTGCTTTATTTGTACTTATGACACTAAACATAATCTAGCTTCCCTGACTTCTGAGGCTCTGGGAGAATTCTACTGATGCTGAGAACCCATCTGACAGGGCTTGGATGGGAACGAGGGCTCTAAAAAAGAAGTCAGAAGCCTTCCAGTATTTAGGGGAGGAGCCAGAAGGCAATTAATATTCAAAGTACCTATATGAGTTCACTAAGGATTTATCCTAGGAATTCAAGGTTAGTTTAACCACATTAATAAAGGAAAAAAATTATATAGTCAATTCAACAGATGCAGAAAGGAACATTTGACAAAATTCAATGCCAAGTTTCTTAGCAAAGTTTCAATAGAAGAGAATTTATTTATTTTGATAAAGGACATTCATGAACAGCTACAGCTAACATCATATTTAATGGTGAAACATTGAATACTTTTCCCCTAAGATTGGGAACAAGGCAAGGATGTTTGCTCTTACCATTCAACATTATATTTGAAGTTCTACCAAACTCACAGGATATAAGATCAATATAGAAAAATCTACTGTATTTTTATATATGAACAACAAACATTTGGAAAATGAAATTTAAAAAATTTCATTTACAGTAGAGGTAAATAAAAAACAGACTAAGAAATAAATTTGACATAAGATGTGAAAAACCTCTGACTAAAAAGTATAATACATTACTGAAAGTAATTAAAGAAGACCTTAATAAATGGAGAGATAACCTGTGTTCATAGATTAGAAGATACAGTATTGTTAAGATATCATTTTTCCTCAAATCAATCTGTAAATCCAACTCAATGCCAGTCATAATCCTAGCAGGTGTTTTTTAAAAATAAAGAAATTCAAAAGTGATTCTAAAGTATATTTGGGGATGCAAAGTAACCAAAAGAATATTGAGAAAGAACTGAATTATAATAGTAATGCTACCTGACATGAAAATTTACTATAAAGCTGTAGTAATCAAGATAGTGTCAAATTGGCATAGGATAAATAGATCAACAGAACAAAACAAAGTCCTGAAATATACCCAAGCTTGGCCAATTAATTTCAACAAAGTTGTCAGCATAATCCAGTGGGGGAAAAGGTCTTTTCAATAAATGATGCTGAACAACTGGATGTTTGTATGGAAAAAATGAACCTCAACCCCCACCTCTCCACATACATTAATTCAGTGTGTTCATTATAATTAATAGCAAACATTAATTCAAGATAGATCATAGACCTAAATACAAAACTGTAAAATGATGAAGCTTCTGAAAAAAAGCAAAACAAAAACCTAGAAACCTGTGTTTCTGACCTCATGGTAGGCAGAGGGTTTTAACAGATGACACAGAAAGCAATAACCAGGAAGGAAAAATTTGATAGATTAAACTTAGTCAAAATTTAAAACTTACACTAATCAAAATAGATTATTTAAAAAGCTAGGCATAGTGGCACGCACCTATAGTCCTAGCTACTGGGAGGCTGAGGTGGGAAGATAGCTTGAGCTCAGGAGTTCAAGTCCATCCTCGGTAACATAGTGAGATCCTGTCTCTTAGGAAAAAAGAAGACCATTAAGAAAATGTACGAGCAAGTCATAGATTAGAAGAAAATAGTCACAAAGCATATATCTGTCACAGATCTTGTTTCCAGAACAGATTTTTATAAAAATGCCTTACAGCTAAATAATAAAAAAGACATGTGACCTTATTTTTTTAAAATGGACAAAGATTTGGACATATGGTTCACAAAGATCTATCACTAGCCAAATGGCACATCAAAAATCCATCACTTTTAATCAGGGAGATGCAAATTAAAATCACAGAGAGATACAACTCTATATCTACTAGAATGGTTAAAATTTAAAAGATTGGCACTACTAAATGTTGGCAAGGCTGTGGACCAACAAACTCTCATCCATTGTTGGTAGAATGTATAATGGTACCATCACATAATGAGTGTCTTTTTTTTTTTTTTTTTTTTCTTGAGACAGTCTCACTCTGTCACCCAGGCTGGAGTGCAGTAGCATGATTTCAGCTCACTGCAACCTCCACCTCCCAGGTTCAAGCGGTTCTTCTGCCTCAGCCTCTTGAGTAGCTGGGACTGCAGGTGTCCACCACCATGCCCAGCTAATTTTTTTTTGTATTTTTATTAGAGATGGGGTTTCACCATGTTGGCCAGTCTGGCCTCGAACTCCTGATCTCAAGTGATCCTCCCACCTTGGCCTCCCAAAGTGCTGGGATTACAGGTGTGAGCCACCATGCCCGGCACTTAGCAAGTTTCTTACAACACTGAACATACACCTACCCTCTGACCCATTTATTTACCCCAAATAAATGAAAATATATGTCTCCAAAAAGATTTGCACAAAGATATTCATAGCAATTTATTCGTAATAGTCCCAAACTGGAAATAGCTCAGGCATACATCAACAGAAGAATGGCTAAACCGTAGTATGTTCATGAATGGAATACTACTCAGCAATAAAAATGAACTATTGATATGCCCTACAACATAGATGTACCTCAAAACCATTATGCTTAGTGAAAGAGGCTTTACATAAAAGATACACTATATGATTTCACTTATGTGATGTTTTTAGAAAAGGCAAAACTATTTTAATAAACATTAAAATAGTTATAGCCTGTGGGACTGGGGATTGACTGAAAAGAGGCAAGAGAGAACTTTGGAAGATGTTGCAGATGTTACGCAGCTTGGGTCACATGGGTGTATATGTTTGTCAAAATTCATTAAATTATACAGTCTAAGATTTGTGCCTTTATGTGTATGTGTAAGTAAAATACTGGAAAGTAGCATGTAAAAATTATAGTAAATATATTAGGTTTGTAAGAAAATGAATGATTTCTAACTTTCTGATTTATTGATCTACTGTGTGGTATAGCTGGTCTCCTGACTGTGTCCTAATGAATTAATACCTCCCAATATTCATGCTCTTTTATAATCTCCTCCTTTGCAGCTTGGCTGGCCTGGTAAATCACTTTACCCAATATAATAAAATGGAAGTGACTATGTAACTTCCAAAACTAAGTTGGAAGCTGCCTTTTAGCTTCTGCTTGGTCCTCTCATAATGCATGCTCTAGGAAAAACCAGCTGTCATGTAAAAAGTTCATGTGCCCTGAGACTGCATTGCTGAGAGGAACCCCAAACTAGCCATGTGGACAGGCCACTTGGAGAGAGAGAGAGATGCTGGGCCATCTGCGAGTTGTTCTAGCCTTTTCAGCCAAGATCAAACGTGAGTAAAGCCATTTTGGACATCCAGCCCTGTCAAGCTTTCAGATGACTTCAGCCCACTGCCATCTAACTACATTGAACTACCCAGCTAGGTCCAGTCAACCCACAGAACTTTGAGAGATAATAATTTGTTGTTTTAAGTCACCAAATTTTGAAGTGGTGGCTTAAAATATAATATTTCTATAGATAAATGAAACATTATAGATACATGCATACATGCATAGACATAGAGATAGATACATAGATAAAACAGTGTATCTATAATGTAAAAATAAAGAATATTTTATATCCTCCTGCCTTTATAAGATGATGCAAAGTATTATGACTCATTCGGTTCATTCATTCATTCATTTACAACGTACATTAAGTACTAGCTATGGGCTTAAAATTGCTAGTTGTTAGAAATACAAGACGAACATGACATAGTAGCACAGCTGTTGAATTCTATTTTTAATATATTAAGTGTGTGAGGGGACTATCTATGGTCATTAGAGTAGAAGTGCCCACTAGGTAGTTGGAAATTCAAGTCTGGCACTCAGTATGTATTTGAGAATTATCTTAATTTATGTGTTTGTAGTTAAGCCAAGAGAATAGATGAATTCTTTCAAAAAAGAACAGATTTAGGGGAAAAATGGGACCTATGATGGGATCCTAGGCAGAGGGAAGAGTAATTATTATTAAAACAGACTGAGACAGAACTCTCTGTCCGAGATAGGAGGAGAATCAGGAGATGCTAGTATCCTAAAAGAGGCAATCACATATTTATGGGTTTAAGCCTGTGGAGAAAGTGACATCTTTTTTACCTTGATCTCTGCCAGAAAGTTGAAGAGTTACTATTTTAGACCATCTTAAAATAAGACATACCTGAATCTCGTTATAATTTAGAGAATAACGAAGGTACTGCAAGATTTGCAGGTATATTCTAGCCTACAGGAAGTTTTTTTTTCTTTTTACTACAGACTTTCTTAAAAGGAAAAAGCCACCTACTCGTCACTTGTCGTGCTGCCATCCCCATCCCCACCTTTTTTGTTCAATGTGATAATCTCTGGTGGTCAATTTCGATCTTCTTTTGCCTTCCTTACTGTAAGGAAGAATCTCAAATTATTTGACCCTTTGCTTTGATTGCCTGCCCCTGATTTAGTTTCTCTTCTTATTCTCATCAATGTGAAGCAGGTCCATAACTGACATACAGTTACAGGAAATATATGGGTTTATTGCTCAATTTGTATAGTAGTAGGGGAGAAATATAACATTATTAGCATTTTCCAAACGTTTTCAATTTTCTGTGAAACAAGACTTTATAAAGTAATAAAGTATTATATAAATATATTGGGTTGGGTAGTACTTTTGGTCAGGGTAGCATGTAACTGAAAAAACTTCCCATTAAAAAAATTCCAGGAATAAATTTTTGTTATAAATTTTCTTTTAAGTTAATTTTTTCCGATTGTAAAAGTAAAACATTGTAGAAAATTGGAAGAAACAGACAAGTACTTTTTTTAGAAGGAGAAATACATAACAAAATTATATATTTTAGGGTTTTGACCCACATAGCAACTGCCAATTGAAGTATTTGCATGGGAAGTTTCACCAACTGTCTAAAACTAATAGCCCAGTCTCAGTTGCTATCCACAGTCATCCAACACGCAAACATAGCACTTATCTTAGATTTCTTGCCTATCCTGCATGCCAAATTAATCATCAAATCTTCTTAATTTATTCTTCAATTAACAAGTATTTATTGAGTGCCTTCCCTCATGGAGTGGTGATGCTTTGTCTTGCTTCCTATCCTTTCTTCCCAAACGCTGCCACCATGTTGCTGCTGGAATGTAGTTTCTGAAATATGCTAGATTCCCATAACTCTCAGAATAAAGTTCAAATTCTTTAGTTTGATCACAACAACCTTCATGATAGGACAGCTGCCAGCCCCATCTAATTCCATTTCCTATCGCTGGCATCTTAAACTCCAATTTGCAGTTCTTCAAGTGTGTCATGTTCTCTTTGCCTCCCTTTGTCCTCATCCATATCCTCTTTTATTTTAATAATCATAATGTCTACTTGTCTTGTGTTAGCTCAAATGTAGATAAAAATCCAGAAAGCCCTCCTAACCTCTGAGTTATACATCTCTCTTTCAGTTAGTTTCCCGTAGCCTACAGTGCTATCTCAATGATAATGTTTATCATACAGTACATATTACTTTACTTGCCTATCTGTCCCACTAAAATATAAAGCCATGAGAGCAGGTACTAGCACAGGCATGTAATAGGTACTTGATAAATGCTTATTAAATAGATAAGTGGTTTTTTTTGGACATTGCTTTTTTATGATTTGTGCTAACATTTATTTGCAAACCAAATAAGGGAAGCATTGGTATAGAAATCAAAATTACCTTTTCACTCTGTTAATGTAAATGAAAGTTGTAGAAGCAGAAGTTCTAGGAGTGAAGTAGGGATTTACTTAAGCTAAGGATAAATGGTGGAAACTACTAGGACAGTTTGTCATTAGTGAAGAGAATGTAAAGAAGAAATTACTTTGAATTAGTTAATGAAGAAATGGCCGTAAGTGATTTTAGATGTCACCAAAAGCATGATGATGAGGAAGACATACTCTAAGCATTTGGAAAAATAATTCAGTCATGTAATAGAGTCATCTTGATAGTATTTTTTAAAATGCCGACATTATACCTAAAATTCTGTGGAACAATATTAATGTTTTGAAGGTAAAGACTAACTCTAATACTTCTTCTATATTCCCTGCGGTGCTCAAATATAACATGTTTAATAAATGATTGATTTCTTCTCTCATTAAGATTACTTTTAGGAACATAAGATAATTAAAACGTCTTAGCTATATAAAGAAAAGTGCAAATACTTGAGCACTGTGTAAACATTTTTTGACCTATTAATTGCACATATAGGAATATAGGACTAATAAATAATACTAAGATACATGATAAAATGTGGATAATAATACTTCTTTGGTTATTGATGAGAATTAGCTGATTGTGGATGCAAAGCCTTTCCTACTGCTTCATAATTAACTGCTATTATTTCTTTTTATATTTTATATTTTCATAGTTATTCATATTTTATGTTTACAAAGTTATTCCTGTGGGGCAAATAAATAATACTAATATACATGATAAAATGTGAATAATAATTCTTTTTTGATTATTTATGAGAATTAACTGATAATGGATGCAAAGCCTTTCCCACTGCTTAGTAATTGTTAGCTGCTGTTGTTAATATTTCTTTTTATATGTTCAAAGTTATTAATATTTTTAAAGTTAAAAATAAATCATTTGTAAATTTTGAAAAATGCCCAACTAGTAAAGAATGAAAAAAAAATCAGTCATGAGACTGGTAATCACTTAACAGTGATCCTACACTCCATTATATTTTTCCTAAAAATTACAAAATTACAGTGACTGCAAGAGGCAGGTAAATTATCTAATTTATGAATTAATTCTACCTACTGAGAAATTAGCTAGGTTACCTTGAGTCAGAGTACGATTTAAAACTATTGGCAAAACAAGATGGAAGAAGAAACTTTGTAAGTCTGACTATTTAGCTCCTACTGTTCAAATTGGGATTAAAAAGTTCAATTGGTATTAATTGCGTTTACTTTCTGTTTTCTATGGTTTACTTTGACTATCTCAAGCAATTTTGGTTATGCAAAATATATTTACTCATTTAGAAAAGGGAAGTTGATAAGCTTATCAACTTTTCATATATATTTTGCTGAAAGATCTATAACATACCTCTGACAGCCTAGTATTTTCATACCTGCATTCCTTGGAGATATTGTGAGTTTGGTTCCAGACCACCACAATAAAACAAATATTGCAGTAAAGCAAGTCACACACATTTTTTGATTTCCCAGTATATATAAAAGTTATGTTTACACTATACTGTAGTCTGTTAAGTGTGCAATACCATTATGTCACGGCATCTTCACCAGGAGTTGGTTCCATGTCAAGAAGCTACTTTCTTTGTTCATCCAGAGAAGCAACTCCTCATCCTTTCAGGTTTTATCATGAGATTGCAGCAATTCAGTGATATCTTTAGGCTCCACTTCTAGTGCTGGTTCTCTTGCTATTTCCACCACATCTGTGGTTACTTCCTCCACTGAAGTCTTGAACGTCTCAGAGTCAACCATGAAGATCAGAATCAGCCTCTTCCTTCTTCCAAACTCCTGTTGATATTGATATTTTGACCTCCTCCCATGAATCACAAAATTCTTAATCGTATCTAGAACAGTGAATCCTTTCCAAGAGGTTTTCAATTGACTGCCCAGATCATTAGAGGAATCACTACCTATGAGAGCTATATCTTACAAAATGTATTTCTTAAATAATAAGACTTGAAAATCAAAATTACTCCTTGAACTGTGTGCTGCAGAAACAACACTAATCACCTGTACATCTCCATCACAGCTCTTGGGCGACCTGGTGCATTGTCAGTGAGCAGTGATGTTACTTTTTTAGGGAGCATGCTAAAAAGGAATGAGTAGTAATATTTTGGAAGGCGTCTTTTTTTCTGCACAGCAGGTCTCAACAATGGGCTTAAAATATTCAGTAAGCCATGCTGTAAAAAGATATGCTGTCATCCAGGCTTTGTTGTTGCCTTTATACAGCACAGGCACAGTACATTTAGCATCATTTTTAAGGGCCCTAGGATTTTCTGGAATGGTAAATGAGCATCTACTTCAACTTGAAGTCACATTCTTCAGTATCAACACAAGTTGAAGCTACATTAGCTTCAGACTTCTTCTGCAGCTTCCTCACCTCTCTCAGCCTTCACAGAATTGAGTAGAGTTAGGGCCTTGCTCTGGGTTAGGATTTGGCTTAAGGGAATGCTATGGTTGGTTTGATGTTCTATCCAGGCCATTAAAGCTTTCTCTGCATCAGCAATAAGGCTTTATGCATTTTTTAAAAGTTTCATGTGTTCACTGGGTTAGAACTTTTAATTTCCTTCAAGAATTTTTTCTTTGCATTCATAACTTGTCTAACTGTTTAGCACAAGAGGCCTAGCATTCAGACTGTCTTTGGTTTAGACATGACTTCCTCACAAAACTTAATCATTTCTAGCTTTTCATTTAAAGGGAGAGACATACAACTCTTCCTTTCATTTGAACACTTAGTGGCCTTTGCAGGGTTTAACTGGCCTAGTTTCAATATTGTTGTGTCTGAGAAAATAAGGAGGTCTGGGGAGTGGTAGATGGGGGAACAACCGGGTGGAGCAGTCAGAATGCACACATTATTGATGAAGTTTGCCATCTTAAATGGGTGTGGTGCATTGCAGCCCAGAACAATTTAAGTAGTAACAGCAAAGATCACTCATCACAAATCACCTAACAGATATAATGAAAAGGTTTAGAATATGGTGATGATGGCAGCGGTGGGCCGTCTGGAGTGGTGGCTGTCGTCATGCCTGCTACAGCAGGGAGGCGTGGCTGAGGCCACACACTCCAAGCAGCTGGCGGGAACTGGGGACAAGCAGGAGCCCCGCCCCTTCTGAGTTGGGGCTGGAGCTCCCTGGGTGCTACTAAATCTGCCCAAGCCGTGCTGCAGACCCAGGTACCCCTCTATTCTTGGACCCTGGAGCAGGTGGGAGCCCTGCCCTCCTGGGTGCAGCTTCAGCTGCCCAAGTTGTGGCTGTGGACCTGGGCCTCCCACTGCAGGGAGCAGGCAGGAGCCGTAACCCCCCAGCACAGCTTGCCCAAACGGCGGCTGCAGACCCAGACATCCCTGCATTCTTGTGGGCCTGGGAAGGCTTCCCCTGCCCTCTCAGCCTCAGAAGTGCCTGCTTCTGCTGTCTGGCTTCTCCCTGCTATTGGCACCTGCTCCAATCTTGGAACAAAGTTGGAGCTGAGCTCGGGTGCTGTCACAGCCCGGCCAGGTGTGCACATGCTCAGGGCAGTGCTGACACACCAGCCCCCTGCCACCTCGGCAGCAGACCCCTTCTGGATTTTGGGCACCGATGAGCATAGGAGGGGAGCTGATGGGTGGCTGAGGGCAGCTCCATGCTGGCCTGCAGGCACCCATTGGCACCTACACCCTAGGCACCATGAATGGCAGCAGGAGGTAGGTTCCTGGGTAGAAGGAGGAAGGTCTCTGGTGAGGCCCCACCTTCAGGCCAGGGAGGGCCTGAAGGCTGGGGGCCAGGCTGCCAGTTCCACAGACCAGAGTGGGAGGTTGTGGTGCTTTTTCCAGGCCGCCCATGAACCAATCAGCATGCAATTCCTCTTCTCTGAGGCCCATGAAAGCC
Source organism: Homo sapiens (assembly GCF_000001405.40). NCBI lineage: Eukaryota > Metazoa > Chordata > Mammalia > Primates > Hominidae > Homo > Homo sapiens. The sequence continues at coordinate 62,855,631 of NC_000002.12, forward strand.
CTGGGCTCTGTCAGAGCTGAGCAGATATCAGGACAATCAGCTGCAGAGAGAAGCAACCAATTCCAGGGCCTCTTCTCTTCTCAGAGCTGGGAAGTTGATGGGACTACTTGCCTGCAGAGAGAAGCAACCCACTCCAGGACCTCTACTCTGCTGAGAGCTTGGAAGACACTGAGACAAACAGTTGCAAAGAGGAGCAACCCGTTCCAGGGCCTCCTGTCTGCTGAGAGCTAGAAAGACAATGGGTCGACCTGCCTGTAAAGAGGAGCAAGCCACTCCACGGTCTCTCTGCTGAGAGCTGCAGAGTTGACAGGATTACCTACCTGCAGAGAAGAGCTTCCCACTCCAGGGTCTCCTCCCTGCTAGGAGCTGAACACTCTTCAGGACACCCTGCTTGTGGAAAGGAGCTACCCACTGCGAGTCTCCTCTGAGCTGTTCTGTTGCTCAGTAAAGCTCCTCTTTATCTTGCTCACCCTCCACTTGCCTGTGTACCTCATTCTTCCTGGTTGTAGGACAAGAACTCAGCTCTTTTAGCCCCATTGAATGGCAGGGTTAGGAGAACTGTAACACAAACAGGGCTGAAACATGCCCCTTGCTCACCACATTGCAGGTGAAGAGGAGAGAAGAGCTGCTGCCCATCAGGGAGCACATATCTGGGAGCTCCCCATGCCAGGGCTGTGACTCCCGCTTTGGGGCCCTGTGGTTCCTGGCATCTCCAAGCTTCCAGGTGCCACCACGTTCCCAGTGCCAGATGTGGAAACTGCAGTGCACCTGGTCTACCTGCAGCCTTGCAGAGAGCTGGTGCCTATGCCACACATGGAGCTTCCCACTCTGCTGCAGCAGCTGGTGTGTCTGACTGCACAGTGGCTAGACCCCACACTCACTCACACTACCCTCATCACTCCATGCCTGACTCGCCCTTGGTAGGCATGGGATCCAGGTCAGTAGCGTGAGCCAAGTGCAGCATGCCAGGCCAAGTGGGTGGAATGAGTCCAGCAGGCCTGAGCAAAAAACTCAGGCAAAGGCACCACTGGCCACAGAGGTTTCCAGCCAGAAAAGCTACATCCCAAGGATCCTGTAACAATATGAATTACCAAAATATGACACACACATTAAGTGAGCACATCCTGTTGGAAGAATGGTGCTGATAGACTTGCTAATCTTAGAGTTGTCACAAACCTTCAATTCATAAGGTGGCAGATGGAATTAAGGTTGTTTATAAGCTGACCGTGACATAGTGGAAAGTATGCTAGGTTATCCGTGTGACTCAATATAATTACCAGGGTGGTTAAATGGTAGAGAGTGGCAGAAGAGAAAGTCATCACATGTGATGTGAGAACAACTTGGCCCACTGTTGCTGGCTTTGAAGATGGAGGAAGGGGGTCACAAGTTAAGGAGTGGCTTGTAGACTTCTAGACAAGGTTGGCTTCTAGAAGCTGGAAAAGGGAGGGAAGCAAATTCTTCCCTATAGGCTCCAGAAAGGAATGCAGCCTATCGAACTTCCTAATTTTAGCCCAGCAAGTCTTCTGATCCCCACAACAGTTGGATAATAATTTTTTTTGTTGCTTTAAGCAAAAAAAACCTCTTTACTTAATAGAAAATGCAATATCTGGGAAGTGCAATAAAATGTGGTATGCCTGTAGGTATTTGTTAAGTCTGTTTCCATGTTAATTTGTGTCTCTATAGATCGTAAATTCCACAAGGACAATACCATGTTTGTTTTTGTGTCCGAAGAATAGGTCTTGGCACAGACTGATAAATAAATATTTGTTCAATACATGAATAGTTGCAGGCAGCCATATTATAAATGCATATTAAATGATTTAGTTCAAATAAAATTTACCATGTGCCCTTAGGTTTACAATGTTAAAGAACAGTACTTTTAATGTCAAATTTACAACTGTGTTCTACTTCCAATCGTTTTATTTCTTTCCTACTGAATAATCTGGATCTATTTGCTGTATCGTTATACCTAAGCTATTCCTAGGTTGTAACTTTGGAAATATCAGGAATTACCCCGTAGTATCCTAAAAGGTTCTTATTTGAGTAGTCTAATTTTCACCCAATGAGTGATAATTTCACATATTCAGAGTTGTTCAAAATATAGATGACTCATGTAAAAAATTGTATCTTAAATTTGTTTCTCTGTCCTTTTTAGTTCTCTTTTATTGTTTTTATTATAAGATTTTTCTAAAGCATATACTCTAAAGTTGCCTTAAAAGAACAGATCCTATTAAAAAAAAAACAGTAGTAGAAAATAGTAACTGTTGCTTTTTTCTTGTTTTAGTGCCGATTTTTAAAATGCAACATGAATACATACTTATTATGTATATAATCCATGCATTTATATTCTTAAAACTTTTTGTTTAAATTTAGAATATAAAACAAATGACAAATATTTTCTGTAGTATCAGAGTATATATATTTTGTTCTGTTTTTAATATATGTGTTTAAAGCACAGCTCTATTTTGTAAATGTGAAATGTGAAAACCAGTGTCAACTTCTCGGGTTATTATCTCGTTTTGTGTTTATTAACATAGTTTTTATGTTACTAGTATACATTTTAACAATAAAATGCTTTCTATTTTAAAATATGAGTACAGCATAACATTCAGTTAAGCATATCTGTTATGGGTTCATCAAAATAACATCCACCGAATGTATTCTGTTGATTAACCAAACATCTCCTCTTTGTCTTTTTGGGTAACAGCATGCTCCTACTTCTCTTTAATTAAATGACCTTACCTTATATTTGTCTTGACTGGCTTCTGTTTACAGAAATTGTAAACCAGTTGAATGCTCTGAGCAGCTTAGATGAAGATCAAGATGACTGCATAAAGCAAGCAAATATGCGTTCAGCTAAATCAGCCAGTTCCTCTGAAGGTCTAAGAGCTTTCCTCCTTTCTTTCTGCTTCTGATTGCCTGTATTTACTGTGACCTGCTACCTCTTGACTTCTGTCTGTATTTATCTGTCAGTTTTGTCTTTGTGCTTTTCCTTGAATGTTTTCTTTGGTAATTTGTAGTGCACCAACAGGCAACAAGATAACAGTACTTATCTTTAGCAAAGTCATGTCAGGATCCTTGATAGACAGTGGTTTTAAAACATTTTCTAAGATAATACTTGGTCATACAACATGCTACTTCTTCAGTGTGTTTATATATTATAAATATATTGTTTTTAGAATATTTGCTTATCATAAGCCCATTTCAGTTATTCCTGTTTGGGAGTGAAGAATGTTCTTTCTAAAAGTCTATGTCAACACTTTTTTTATTGGCTCAAATTAAATTGACATGGAAGTTTCTTTAGTACAGTTCATTATCTGACATAATTTTCAATTAATACTCAAATGTTTGTTTTGTTTTGTTTGAAAATGTTGGTATGCTACAAAATACTTGAATGGCATTCTGTCATTGGTAAAATGCTATATACTATTATTTGCAGGTATTATTCGTGTGAACTTTTACCATTTGAAATATTTCACGAATGTTCAATACTTACACTTAACCATAATAGGGAACTAACCCATATGTTTATTTTCAGAGCTTATCAACAAACTTAACTTTTTGGATGAAGCAGAAAAGGACTTGGCCACCGTGAATTCAAATCCATTTGATGATCCTGATGCTGCAGAATTAAATCCATTTGGAGATCCTGACTCAGAAGGTAGCAAGTTTTTCTGTAATTTTAAAGTCTTTGTATAGTCAAGTTGACTTGAACTGTAAGGGCAGGAAAATATTTTCTTCAGAGACTAACACACAAAAAATTATTGTTTATAATGATATTATTATTGTGTTCAATACCACTTGGAGTTGATCAGCAATTCTGGGTCACTTCTATGGAATGGCTTTTAAAGAAAAAAGAAAGCCTTACGTAAACATTTACATGGGGCTTTACAAGTCTCATTCGTTTGGTCTACCAAGTAAGGTCAGAATGTGGGATATACTGATTTTGGGATGGTGGAGGTAGCTTCTCTATATGGATCATTTTCCCTGACACTCAGTCTGTTGAGCCCTTCTGCCCCAACTCTATGTCTCTCTAGCCGAGATTCTCTAGCAGAGAATTAGTAGTGAGAGTGAGTTATGCATGTGAAAACATGGAGCAGAGAGTAGGTTAAGAACCGCTGCTATTATATATATATATACAGCATACTTGTGAGGTATAAAACCAGGGATTTTTTTTCCTGAGTCACTTTTCTTATTAAGTAGTTTTGAACTCATAAAGCCTGGCTAAGGGCTGTTACAGAAGTGAGACTTCTGTTTAATTGAACTCTGTATGCTTAACATAAATGCAAGAATGATTAACTACTGTTTACATCTTTTTTTGACTGTGTCTGAGAAATCTTCATGAATTTTAAAGAATTTTGCTACTGCCTGTCATGGTGAAAATGAGGTTTTAGCTTCAGGATTCACTCTGTTATAGCAATATAATTTCATAATTCTTTCTCTGTCTCCTCTTCCTTTACCTTCTCCCTTCTTACCAGACTCTAAATTATTAATAGTAAGTGTGTATTCATGAGTTTTTTATTTTGTTTGAGGGCTATATATTATGAACATATTTTAAATCTTAAAAAGGTTACAATAGCTGGGCACGGTGGCTCACGCCTGTAATCTCAGCGCTTTGGGAGGCCAGGGCTGGCGGATCACCTGAGGTCACAAGTTTGCGCCCAGCCTGACCAACATAGAGAAACCCCGTCTCTACTAAAAATATAAAAAGTTAGCTGAGCATGGTGGTGCATGCATGTAATCCCAGCTACTCGAGAGGCTGAGGCAGGAGAATTGCTTGAACCTGGGAGGCGGAGGTTGCAGTGACCAAGATCGCGCCATTGCACTCCAGCCTGGGCAACAAGAGCGAAACTCCATCTCAAAAAAAGAAAAAAAAAATTACAATAAATCATAGAGGCAGTCAACTACCTCTTTTCATAGATTAGGAAGCTGAGACTGAGAGAAGTTAAATTATTTGACTTTAGGTTAGATGGAGGTGGAGTTGGAACTAAGATTCTTAATCAGGTATCCTTTTGACCACACAACTTCTTGATTTTATACTACATACAATTAAGTATACTGAGTTCAAAAATATTTACAAAATGTCTTGAGACATTCAGTATTTGAACTTTCTATTTTAAAATCAAGTAAGTTTTCTAAATGTAAGTCTGTTATCAGAGGTATAAAAGAGAGTGGCAGACAACACATAAGATCATATTTCTATGAAGAAGAAGTAAGCCAGCCTGATTCAGAATCTTTAATTATACCTGTAGAGCCAAACAAGTATGTGTCAACCACTGATCTTTTTAAATATATGCCTATTAGAGTCTTTAGAGTAAGTATTTTTTATTATTAAAATATTTTTATAGAAATAATTTATCTTTATTGATTAAAAACTTGCAGCCTCAAAACAGAAGTATTTGGGGAAGAAAAAAATGTGTTGCAATTGTTCAGATTATTCTTTTTTTGCTTTTACAGGTTCAGTTCTCCTCTTATATTTATGTGCTTGAGTGGCTTTTTTTTTTTTTTTTTTTTTTTGAGACAGAGTCTCGCCCTGTCGCCCAGGCTGGAGTGCAGTGGCACATTCTCGGCTCACTGCAACGTCCAACTCTCGGGTTCAAGCGTTTCTCCTGCCTCAGCCTCCCGAGTAGCCTGGATTACAGGCGCGTGCCACCATGCCCAGTTAATTTTTGTATTTTTAGTAGAGATGAGGTTTCGCCATGTCGGCCAGGATGGTCTCGATTTCCTGACCTTGTAATCGGCCCACCTTGGCCTCCCAAAGTGCTGGGATTACAGGCGTGAGCCACCGCGCCCAGCCCTTGAGTGGCTTTTTTAGAAAGCTACTAAATGTCGGCCGGGCGCGGTGGTTCACGCCTGTAATCCTAGAACTTTGGGAGGCCAAGGCAGGTGGATCGCTTGAGACCAGGAGTTTGAGATGAGCCTGGCCAACATGGTGAAACCCGTCTCTACTTAACATACAAAAGTTAGCCCAGTGTGGGGCACACACCTATAATCCCAGCTGTTTGGGAGGCTGAGGCAGGAGAATCACTTGAACTCAGGAGACAAAGGTTGCAGTGAGCCAAGATCGTGCCACTGCACCCCAGCCTGGGCGACAGAGTGAGTGAAACTCCAGCTCAGGAAAAAAAAAAAAAGAAAGAAAGTCTTCTCTTAAACCCTCCTTTGTTGCCTATTCTAGCATCTTCAAATCTTGCTCTATAGTTTGTATACTTTCTTGCTTTTGGTGTTGTAACTGATGAATTTGCTTGGATTAATTTTTGCAATCCTCTTCCTGAAAGAAAAAAATAAAAATCTTATTTTTATTGACCCATTTTGTCAGTTTCTTAAGCATTTGAGCCCTGATATTTGTTAATACAAAATTGGATAGGAAAAACTTTACAGTCTCTCTTCCCTTATGGAGAAAAGAAAATGCTTAATTTACATGATTATAAAGATTCTAGTGGTGTTAAGTTTGAATATTATCATGGTATTACAAAAGATACTATTACTGAGTCTCTTTAGGCTATGTTTAAATTCATTTCAGTATTGATTTATTATGATTTTATGACTTCTCTTTCACACTTACTTGCTTCTCCATGGTGTACAGACTTTCAGCTCAGAATTTTTCATTTTATGTTCTTTTCAACATAAAGACAAAATAAATTTTCTGGGCTAACATGTACAGTATACGTGGTTTGACTTTAAAATATAAAAGTCATTGGCCGGGCATGGTGGCTCACACCTGTAATCCCAGCCCTTTGGGAGGCTGAGGCGGGCAGATCACCTGAGGTCAGGAGTTCAAGACCAGCCTGGCCAACAGGGTGAAACCTCATCTCTACTAAAAATACAAAAAATTAGCCAGGCGTGATGGCGGGCGCCTGTAATCCCAGCTCCTCAGGAGGTTGAGGCAGGAGAATAGCTTGACACCGGGAGAGGTCACTGCAGAGGTTGCAGTGAGCCGAGATTGCACCATTGCACTCCAGCCTGGGCAACAAGAGCGAAACTCCATCTCAAAAAAATAAAAGTAATTAATAAATGTCAGTCATAAAATTTTTGTAATAATCAGATTAAGTTGTTTGAAATGTCACTTAGGAAACAATTTTTCTTGAGAATTTCAATAATCAATTTCCTGCCTTCCTCTCACAGAATATTTTGTTAGCATTGCATAGCATAATTAAAATTACTTTTAATGCACTATGACTTTTGGCTCACTGAAATTTTCCTACAATTTGAGAAAATATTTTTATCAGCAAATCTTAGACAGTTTTATTACAAATTCTTGTTTTGTTTTAAAATACTAACAAACATAAAAAAAAAAGCCTCGTGCTAAGTACTACTACTACTATAGTGGTTTTGTATTTTGAGTCAGAGTTTTATTTTAAAAGTACCACTGAGGCCGGGCACAGTGGCTCACGCCTGTAATCCCAGCACTTTGGGAGGCTGAGGCAGGTGGATCACTTGAGGTCAGGAGTCCGAGACCAGCCTGACCAACATGGTGAAACCCTGTCTCTACTAAAAATACAAAAATTAGCCAGGCGTGGTGGCGCATGCCTATAATCCCAGCTACTCAGGAGGCTGAGGTGGGAGAAATTCGCTTGAACTGGGGAGGCGGAGGTTGCAGTGAGCCGAGATTGCACCACTGCACTCCAGCCTGGGCAACAGAGTGAGACTCCGTCACACACACACACACACACGTACCATTGTTGTCCAGGCATGGTGGCTCACACCTGTAATCCCAGCACTTTGGGAGGCCGAGGCAGGTGGATCATTGAGGTCAGAAGTTCAAGACCGTGCCGCTGCACTACAGCCTGGGCAACAGAGTGAAACTGTGTCTCAAAAAAAAATAAAAATGAAAGCACCATTGTTTTCAAATTAAAATTTGAAATAATAAAAGCTAGAAAAACTTGATATATCTATCAGCTTACCAGTATTATTATAGTGCTTTCACCTTGAAGATTCTTATGTTATTATTGATTGAAGTTACATTGAAAAAATAATCTCATTAAAAGCTCTAAAGATTTAAAGTCTTGTAGCATACAGAAACCTCCTCTTTGAAAACTTTGAGAAAACAAGTTCAGTGGCCTGTGAGTATATATACGACACAGGACAGAATGAATTATCAGATCCCTGAGTGGTCTGTGCTTACGTAAATATCAAAGAACATTTCAAAAGTGAATCAATTTCCTGTTCTTTTTATTTTATTTTATTTTTTTAAATTTTATTTTTCTGTGTTGTTTTTTTTTTTTTTTTTTTTTTTTTAAACAGAGTCTCGCTCTGTTGCCCAGACTATAGTTCAGTGGCGCAGTCTCAGCTCACTGTAATCTCTGCCTCCTGGATTCAGGCGATTCTCCTGCCTCAGCCTCCTGAGTAGCTGGGATTGCAGGCCCCCGCCACCCCACCCGGCTAGTTTTTGTGTATTAAGTAGAGACAGGGTTTCACCATGTTGGCCAGGCTGGTCTTGAACTCCTTGACCTCAAGTGATCTACCCACCTCGGCCTCCCAAAGAGTTGGGATTACAGGTGCAAGAGACTATGCCCAGCCTTAAATTTTATTTTTGAATTGAGGTCATGCTCTGTCACCCAGGCTGGAGTGCAGTGGTACAATCATGGCTCACTGCAGCCTTGAACTCTTGGGTTCCAGCCATCCTTCCACTGCAACGTCCCTGGGAACTGGCACTACAGGTGTGCACCACCATAACCAGCCCATTTCATGTTCTTTTAAAAACAGAAATTTATTATGTATCGGTTTGTAATGGCAAGCTGGTAGACTACAATAAAAGAATATAATTTTGCACATCTAAGAAAACATTTTCAAAATTGGCATATCATAATGTTAATACTGTTAGATACTGCAGAGGATCTCAAGAAACAGTAATGATCCAAAAATGCCATTTTTGGGAGTACCATTCCTGGAGAAATTGACAGAGATTTTAGATATCACATCTTCTGAACATTAAGACTACTTAGCCCCTCTAAAATATATTATTGTTTTATTATTGCTTTGCTCTTTCTCAGCCCCATAGAGCTTATTAATTCAATAATGCATATATTTGAGAACACTAAACAATATTAGAAAATATCATATGGTATTCATGTGATTTAATTCATCTGCTATTATTTTATAGAACCTATCACTGAAACAGCTTCACCTAGAAAAACAGAAGACTCTTTTTATAATAACAGCTATAATCCCTTTAAAGAGGTGCAGACTCCACAGTATTTGAACCCATTCGATGAGCCAGAAGCATTTGTGACCATAAAGGATTCTCCTCCCCAGTCTACAAAAAGAAAAAATATAAGACCTGTGGATATGAGCAAGTACCTCTATGCTGATAGTTCTAAAACTGAAGAAGAAGAATTGGATGAGTAAGTACATTTCATTTTGCTGTCATCACAAGTTAGTCTCTATGTTACCTAAAGAGATCCTTTTGTAATGTACCTTTAGATGGGTACAAATCATTAATGTACACTTTATAAGTCAGTATCTAACTCGTCCACTATCTGAGTGTTTATAGTCTTAAACCTTATTCTCCCACCCTCTTCCAGGTATGTGTGTGTGTACCCTAAACTAACAAGTGAGGAAGATATATTCCTAGAATCTCTGGTTGGAATTCCAATTGTGTCTTCTCACAGAAACTATATTATAAATGGTATTTAGGTTTTTGGTTTTTTTTTCCATCAAACTCTGTAGACATTAAACTTCAGTTATCTTATAGGTCTGTTGGGGAGGAGAACAAAATAATCATTTGTGGTATTGATTTGATAAGAAGACTTGTTTAGATACCAAACAGTGAAATAATAATATTTCTAAATTAGGGATTATCACAAGCTCAGTATGAATAGACTGTGTAATTAGGGCTGCCATTTGCCCAAATCTGGAGTGGGGATAAAAAGGGGATGTGTTCATACTGTAATCTGGAGTTATACAGTTCATAGCCCATGTGGCTACAGACCATGACATTAAGTGTGTTTTAAAAGCAGCAGCAAAACCTCCACTTCCAGTCATGATGGGATAACACAGACTGGATTTAGCCTCTTAAACAACTAAAAAATGGAATAAAATTATTATATGAAACAATAGGATTCAGACATTGGACACAAACAGCACAGGATAATGATCCCTGAGAGAACAGAAACAAGACGAGCCCTACAATTATGTAACTTATTTGTGGGAGAGAGTTTCTAAATGCAGTTCAGAGAGAAAAAAACTCAGATCCCAGTAATCACCCTGAATTAAGGAGATAGAGTTTGGACTTGGGAGTACTGAGGTGACCAGAATTTGTAGAAGAGAAGAGGTACGGAATTTATACCTGTATGAGGAGCACTACTCTGTGAGATCTGTTTCAGAGATCTGTAGAAAGCCCCTCCTGAGTCTTTAGCTGAGTGTGGATCAGAGCTTGCGTGTGAGGAAATCACGAAGGACAAAGAAACAAACAGAATGATCCCTGGAGTTTGCCCCAGACCAAGAATAATTTGTGTTCCCACCAGCCAGAAAGAAAAGACTTCCTAACACATGGGACATTCAGTAGAGGCCTCAGAGAGGTATTGCATCAGTTGTGGGGCCAAATTGGCCCTAAACTGAAAGCTGTTCTAGGCCTACCTAACAAAGCTTAAAGGCAAGGCTCAAAAGAATCAAACTTATCTCAAGTAATTTAACTGCATCACACATGAAGCTCAAAACAGTTTTAATCAATACCAAAAACTCCAGCACACAAAACATGAAATTCATACTGTATGACAGCCAATCAAACATTTATCAGGCATGTAAAGAAACAAGAAAATCTGACCTGACCCATAATGAGGAGAAAACATAATCATTAGTATAGATGCAGAAATGGGACAGATGATGGAATTAAAAGATCAACCTGGTAAAATAACTTTTATAAATATATTCCAGATATCCAAGAAGGTAGAAGAAGACAGCATAGATGATATTAGAAAATTGAAATTGAATTTATAGAGATGAGATTTTTCATCTCATACAAAGTCAGGTGAAAAATAGACTGGATGAGGTTAACCCCTTGTTAAATACTGCAAAAGGAAATACTAGTTAACCTAAAGACATAGCAATAGAATCCATCCAGATTAAAAGAGAGAAAGAAGAAAATAACAAAGGATCAGTGAACTGTGGAACAACTTCAGTGGCCTAACGTGTGTAAAGAAGTGAAGAGAAGGTAAGAGGACAGAAAAAGTATTTGAAGAAGTAAACACCAAAAGTTTTAGAAATAAAAAAATTTAAAAATATAAACAAACCTACAGGTCAAAGAAGCCAAATGAAACTCAAGCACAAGAAAAATGAAGAAAGTCATAGCAAAGCTTGTTAACAAAAACAACTCAAGCCAGAAGACAATGAGGTGATATTCTTAAAGGACTGAAGGAAAAGTATAACAACAAAAACCTGTCAACATAATTTTCTATTCCCAGCACTCCAAAAAAGCAAAATGATACTACTTGAAAATTTGGATTTACACGAAGGAAAAAAGCACATGAAATGACAAATATATTAGTATATATAAAATACTTGTCTTATTTTTAAAAATCTCTCTGGTAGATAATTGTTTAAGGCTTCAATAATGTATTCTGGGTTTTATAACATATAGAAGTAAAACGTTATGATGGTTGTGTAAAGGCTGAGTAGCAGAATGAAAGGATACTGTTTTAAGCTTCTTATACATAATGTTACTTGAAGACACTTTTTTCAGAGTTGACAATTGTTTATATAGAAAAGCATAAGGAATCTTTAAAATGGGTACTAAAACTAAAAAGTAAATTTAGCAAGGTTACAGGCTACAATATTAATATATAAATTCAATTGTGTTTCTCTGTAGTCACAATGAACAATCAGAAATCAATATTGAAAAAAATACCATTTATAGAAGCATCCAAAACAAAAAACTCAGGGATAAATTTGAACAAAGATGTGCAATATGTATATACCGAAAACAACAGAACGTTGCTGAGAGAAATTAAAGAGTGAAATCAATGGGAAAAAATACAATGGCCATGGATTCAAAGATATAAGTTATTTTCAGTCAATTTATAAATTCAGTGCCATCCCAATCAAAATTTTAGCATGCTTTTTAAAAAAATAATTTGTCAGCTGTTTATAAAATGTATGTGGAAATGAAAGGGACTTAGAATAATCAAAACAACTTTGAAAAAGAGCAAAATTTGAGGATTTATACTATCTGATTTTAAAACTCATTAACCAAGACAGTGTGGTATTAGTTTACTAATAGACTGTAGGTGACTGGAAGAGAGCCTGGAATTAGATTCATACATATATTGCCAATTTATTTTTGACAAAGCTAGCAAAGAAAATCAATTAGGAAATGATAATCTTTTCAAGAAATGATGCTAGAACAATTAAATGTCCATATGCCCCTCCTCAACAAAAAAAAAGCTACAATTCTTACCTTCCACTGTATAAAACATTTATCTAAAAATAGATCACACAACTAAAAGTAAGAATAAAAACTGAAGATTCAGCCAGGCACAGTGGCTCACACCTGTAATCACAGCACTTTGGGAGGCCGAGGCGGGCGGATCACTTTAGGTCAGGAGTTCAAGACCAGCGTGGCCAACATGGTGAAACCCTGTCTCTACTAAAAAAAATACAAAAACTTAGCTAGGCATGGTTTCAGTCACCTGTAATCCAAGCTACTTGGGAGGCTGAGGCAGGAGAATTGCTTGAACCCGAGAAGTGGAGGTTACAGTGAGCCAAGATCACACCATTGTACTGCAGCCTGGGCAACAACAGCAAAACTCCACCTTAAAAAACAAAAAACTGAAGATTCTAGAAGAGGACATAGGAAAAAGTCTTAGTGACTTTGTATTTGGGAGATTTCTTAAGTAGAATGCAACAAAACACAAAGGATAAAACAAAAAATGGTTAATTTGTACTTCATCAATATTAAAACGTTTTTCTCTTTATAAAACTCTTACAAAAATGAAAAAGCAAGCCACAGTTTGGCAGAAATGATTTGCAATACCTGCATCTGGCAAAAGACGTATCCAGAATATGTAAAGAACTCTTTTAACTCAGTAATAAGAAAGGGGAGGCCAGGTGCAGTGGTTCATGCCTGTAATCTCAGCTACTCAGGAGGCTGTGGTTGGAGGATCTCTTGAGCCCAGAAGTTGGAGACCAACCTGAGCAGCATAACAAGAGTCTATCTCTTAAAAAAAAAATTTTTTTTTAATTAGCTGGGTGTGATAGTGCACACCTGTGGTCCCAGCTACTCAGGAGGCTGATATGGGCTGATCACTTGAGCCCAGGGTTTCAAGGCTGCAGTGAGCTATGATCACTCCATTGCACTCCAGCCTGGGCAACGCTGTGAGACCTCGTCTCTAAAAAATAATAAATTTAAAAATTTATTAAAAGAAAGGGGGAAATATTCCAACAGACATTTCACAAATGAAAATATTGTATAGGAATGGAGAGATGCTCAGCTTCATTAGTCATCAAGAAAATGCAAATTGATACCACAATAAGATATCACTACACACCTACCCAAATGACTAAAATTTACAAGACTGACTATACCAAGTATTGTCAAGGATGTGGGGCCACCGGAACTCCACAGAACTCTCAGAGTACTTCTGAATGGTTCAACCATTTTAGAAAAAAGTTTGGCAGTCTCTGAAAAAGTTAAACATACATGTATCACTTGACCCAGACATTCCATTTCTACGTTTCAAGAGAAGTGAAAGCATATGTCCACAAAGACTTCTACATAAATATTTTAACAACTTTATTGATTATAATAACAAAATGGGAACAATTCAAATATCTATCAACAGACAAATGGATAAACAAACTGTGGCATATCCATACAATGCAGTACTACTCAGTAATAAAGAGGAACAAACTGTTGGTAAATTGCAAGATCATTATACTGAGTGAAAGAAGACAGACCAGAAAATACTATACTGTGTGATACCATTTATTTTAAACTCTAGAATATGCAAACAATCTATAGTGAGAAAAAACAGATCAGTAGTTGTTTACAATCAGAGCTGGAGGGAGGAAGAGATTAAAAAGGGGCATGCAGGAAACTTTTGGAGGGACTGGAAATGTTTGGAAATGTTTGTTATCTTGATTTGTGCTGATGGTTTCACACTTGCATGCATGCATAAAAAATACTCATTAAATATTTTCAAATGTAAGCCATGTATTGTTTATCATTTATACCTAAATAAAGCTGTTTTAAAAAGAACAGCAATCTTTAACTTTAATAGCAGAAATATTATATCACGTGAGTGATATCCAGCTTGGAATTCTTGGGCCTTTAGGTCTATTTGATGTAAATAACTGGTGTGTGACGGGAGAGATCTTTAAAATATTTAATAATAAGTAATATAATTATATGATCACTTGTGAGACTATATGAGTCTTTGCTTTCTTTGGAAATACATAAACTTTTGTGTATTAACATTATTTAGAACTTGGGAAAAATAGTTATTTCTTTAAAAATGCAGGTTGAAAGGAAAATATTTCAAAACACTCTATATGTGGGTTGAGAGGGGAATAATAATAAGGCTCCTTTGATTCATGAAAGTTTGGGGTAATAGCTTTGTGCAAAAGGAGAAATGTTATCTCTCTATTGTGCATTGGTTAGCTCTTATTTTAAGCACTATTTGACTACTAGTTGTTGTATTTTATAAGGGGCATTGGTGATTCAGAATGTTAACAAAGTAGAGAAAAAGAGTCATTAAAGTGTCCAGAACCACATCAAATGAACAATAATTCAGAGCACAGGGACTGTTTGATTTTAAAAATAGATGATTTAAGGGAACTTTAATAACCAACTTCAAATATTTTGAGACTAGCCAGGTGTGGTGGCTCACACCTGTAATCCCAACACTTTGGGAGGCCAAGGCAGGTGGATCACCTGAGGTCAGGAGTTTGAGACCAGCCTGACCAACATGGTGAGACCCCCCCCATCTACTAAAAATACAAAATTAGCTGGGTGTAGTGGCAGGTGCCTGTAATCCCAGCTACTCAGGAGGCTGAGGTGGGAGAATCGCTTGAATCTGGGAGGTGGAGGTTGCAGTGAGCCCAGATCATGCCACTGTACTCCAGCCTGGGCAACAGAGCGAGACTGCATCTCAAAAAAAAAAAAAAAAAAAATACATATATATATATGTATTTAAAATATATATATGTATATTTTTGAGACTTTTATTTGAAAGAGTGAGAAAATTGACTTGTTTTCTATTGCTGTGGAGTTGTGTTTCTCATCTTTTCCACATTTTATAGCATGTGCTGCATGCTTCCTGGGTATGGCTAGGTTTTGATAAAACCTAAAAAAGTTCTAATCTCCAAAAATCTCAGAGTTACATCATAATAATCATCTGATTCTAAACCCAAACCCAGGTTGACATCTTATTTCTAATTAATAACTATATGGGGGGTTGAAAAGTTGGCCGAACACTTGGTAAAGTTATTGTGTTTGTTTTCTTTGAAATAGCTAACATGTGATTGAAATAAAATTTCTCATGGGTGGTGTAGGTGCTGAGTAATAGCCACACACCTAGAATATTTGAATGTAAATGCAAACTTTAAGTACAGGCATTCAGGTATTCCAAGATACATGAGTATTACACAACACACTCACACCTGCTCTCTTATTAACAAATTAAAGAGACATCTAATGTTTGCTTAAACTTTTTAAATGCCTTAATAAAAACTAAAATCAGAATCATTGGGTGTTTCCTTTTGGCCATTCTTTTTCCACATGAAAGTCACAGTCTTTACAAGTTTCTCGTGAATAAAGAGTGTTCTAACTTGCTCAATCATCTGGGGTTACCAGAGGGAGCCTGTAAATACTCTAGCTTCTTTATTTTGTAGAAATATACACACAAGTTCTAAAGATTGCGCATAAGCTAATGTGCAAGTCCAGAAAGAACTCTGTTTGTATTAATTACTTGTTTAGTATTTATCATCTTTTCTCTACAAAAGTTTATAGGTTCAATGTCAGTAGCAGAAATCTTCCAAAATTTGTTCTTACTTCAATAATAAACTTATGACCTTTCATCAAGCAAAAAGCCTATGTGACTCACCTTCCATTACCAAACTTCCTGTATACTCTGACATTAAACTATCACAAATAAATAGTACTGAATCCTTTGATGTGTGGAACTACCTTTAGTGCCCCAGCATATCCATAAGCACAAAGAGAAAGTATTCACCCTTCCTTGCCTTTTAGGACGTGTCCTTTACACTTAGCAACTGCATGGGTTTCTCAGTTACTTATGTTTGGGGGATAATTCAACTCTTCTAGTTTATGTAGTAAAAATGAAAACCAATAAGCCAATATTATTTTTTCAGAACTTTTATGAAGTGACTTTTGAGGCCCAGCATGCAGTCATTTCTCGTATGGTTTTGTGTCAGTTTGCCAAGGAAACCTTTCATTGAATTTTATTCAGGGAAGCTACATGCCCATTTTAATAACTTTGAATTTGTTTTTCCAAAGAAACATAGATATCAAGGTGAGAGGAAGAGACTATTCCTTAGCTTCATTTTGTATTATTTTTCCAGTATGTTTAAATTAATCCTGAACCAACTTTGGTTTTTCTCTCTATAATTCATTTTTCTTGATGAATTATTTTCTAAGCAATAAATAATGTCATTTAAAATTATTCTGTCCAATTTTCTCCTAATATAACCGATGAATTTTCAACTTACTGAGTTAGTGATATAACTAATTTATTACTCAAATATACAATACCAAGATAAAAATAATTGTCTTTTAGAGTGATGCATAAAGTTCTGAAATAGATTTTTCAAATCATAGATGATCAACAGAATGTGAAAATAGTCTCAATTCTGTAAATATTTTTTATTTGCTTACATTTATTTATATTTAAAATATATTAATCAGCAAGTATGTAACTTGTCATTGTAGAGAAAGGGATAAGTGTTCACACAATACTATCTCTGTACAGCCACTATTCCTGTTCATTTTTTATAGCACTTAAAAAAATTGATATATGCTTCACATAACATGAAATTATACACTTTAAAATTTACATGTCAGTGATTTTTAGTATGTTCACTATATTGTTCTACCATTACCACTATCTAATACCAGGATGTTTTCATTACCACAAAAAGAAACCTCATACCTATTAACATTTAGTCCCAATTCCCCCACTTCCTTCATTCTCTGGCTACAACTAATCTACTTTCTGTTTCTGTGAATTTGACTATTCTGGACATTTCACCTAAATGGAAACATTTCCTGTTCATTCTTGAAAAGTAGGGAATTGAATTTAAGTTAGGGATCTCTGATCTAGAAGGGAAAAGGACCATTCAAAACTTTTATAAGTAGAGGCTTCTTGTCCTTATTCTGATTTAGTGCCTAACCAGTAGTGGTGCCAGCACACTGTTGTCTCAGAGGTGAATTACAAGTGTGTGGAGATATTAATTTTCTTAGTCCTAAAGTACTTGGCAAATGCAAGTGTTAAACGCTCTGAAGAGAGGCACTCTTAACTTAGACTACACAGGAATTCCTCAGGTGAAACCCTGAACTCACAATATAGAATTACAAAACACACAAGGAAACAGTTTACTAAGAGAAAGAGTCAGGAGACAAAAGAAATAGGATTATACATGCAAGAACTTCAAATACTAGATTTGACAGATAGAGACTATAAAATAAGTATGTTTAAATGATTAGTAACTCAAATCTTTGTAACTGAGGTACCATACACACAGATATATGAAGAAATGTACTTATTAAAATTAAAAATTCCTGGAGAATTAAATATTAGACACAAAGAAAAAATGAACTGGATCAGAGATGTGAGAGAGTTATCTAGAATATAGCACAAGAAGAATAAAGATTTATAAAAATGGAAAGGCTAGGAAACCTGACAGGAAGTTGTTCAACATATATCTAATAAGATATTTCAAAGAGAATAGAGAAAATACAGAAGAGGCTATCAAAGAGATAAAGGCAGATAATTTTTCAGAACCGATAAAACACATGACTCTTCAGACTCAGGAAATACAAGGAGTCTGAAACAGAATAAATCCACACCTAGACATGTCATGGGTGTCAAAATTGCTCAAACTAGAAATAAAGAGAAGATCTTAACAACTACATAGAAAAGATGACTTACAAAGGAGCAATATTAGGCTGACAGTGGATTAATATCTTCAAACCCTGAAACAGAATAACTGACAACTAGAATTCTCTACCCAGCTAAACTATCACTTAAATGTAAGGCTGAAATAAAGACATTTTCAAAGCCTAGGAGAATTTACTATAAGCAGAATCTTGCTGAATGAACTGCTAAAACATGTTCCGTAATGAGGGAAGAATTTAACATAGAAGAAAAGATGAAATACAAGAAAACGTAACAGAGCTCGAGCTTAAAAAAGAAATCAAATTGACATTTTTTACATCTTACTTCCTTTTCCTTGGATATGGAAAATATACACGATTTACTATTGTTAATATTTAACATTTTTCTAAGCTTCTATATATAATAGTTTGAGCTGAATGTGACCTTGTATTAAATATTTTAAGTACTTTTTAAAACCAAATTAAAAAATAAATCTGGATAGAAATGGACCAAAAGATTAATAGTCATTATTTCCAAATTCCAGGTTATCACTGGTTTGGGTTTTATTTGAAAAAAGAAATTTTAGTTTTCAGTGCATGTTTTATTATTTTACTTGTAAATGAACTATTTTTTGAGAGACATCTAACAATAATTCTTCTTTCACTTAGATCAAATCCTTTTTATGAACCTAAATCAACTCCTCCTCCAAATAATTTGGTAAATCCTGTTCAAGAACTAGAAACTGAAAGGCGAGTGAAAAGAAAGGCCCCGGCTCCACCAGTCCTCTCACCAAAAACAGGAGTATTAAATGAAAACACAGTTTCTGCAGGAAAAGATCTCTCTACTTCTCCTAAGGTAGGATTTTATTCATAGTAAAACATGTATTAATATTTGCTGTTTTCTCCCCGTGCCATTTAATTTAAATTAAGAAAAGTAATTTTTGGCTATTTTTGATGATTTAAAAATAATATCCAAGACAATCTATTGTACTGCAACACTGCATTTATGTTTGTGAGCCCATAAGTTTACAGTACAGTATGGATTGGATGGCTTGGGTTAAGATTGTTTTTAAAATGCTATTTTGAAATGAGAGGAAGAAAGGTCTTATAATTGTAAGATTGGTGCTTTAAAGAAAGGATACTCTATAACTATAGGAGAGCTTCAGCAGACAGGCCCCTGCTGATGGACACCCACCCACCGCCTCCCCACACCACTTTGATGGCATGCATGTGCACACAGACCTCACCACCCTGTTGTCATTGATGGGCTTGTGCACAGACCTCATGACTACCACCCTGACCCTACCCTGCCCCCTCCAGTGCACACATGTGTGCACCCTGCCACCCCGCCATTGCTGGTGTAAGCATATGCACACAGACCCTGCCACCCTGCCCCTGCCAGCATGTAGGCACTGCTGCCCCATCCCTGCTGGTGTATGTGCACCCCACCTCATTGCCGCCACCAGTGCAAGTGCACATGCACAGTCCCCACTGCCCCATCAGTATGGGCATGAACCTCACTGCTGCCACCCCGATGAAATGCTTTTGCCAGCACCCCACATCAGAGTGATCTTGCCAGCAGACTGGGAACATCTCAGGCCCTCGAGCACAGCAGGTGCTTAAATTTGAGGTCCCAGATAACAAAGCCGTGGGTCTGGTACCAGGCCCTGTGGGTTAGAGCATGCAGCCCACGAGTGCTGAGAGAGCCTTGGCCCCCTGAAATAATCCAAAAACAAAGCCAGTCATCTGAACACAACTTATACCATAGTCAAACCTTCAATGGCATCAAATAATGTAAAAGTAAAAAACTGCATCCAAAGGACAGCAGCTTCAAAGATTAAAGGAACATCAGCCCACACAGATGAGAAAAAGCCAGTGCAAGAACAATGGCAACTCAAAAACCCAGTGTCTTCTTACCTCAAAACAATCACACTGGCTCCCCAGCAATGATACTTAACCAGGCCAAAATGGCTAAAATGACAGACATAGAATTCAGAATCTGGATAGCCATAGAGATCATCAAGATTCAGGAGAAAGTTGAAATGTAATCCAAGGAATCCAGTAAAATGAGACAAGAGCTGAAAAATGAAATAGTCATTTTATGAAAGAACCAAAATTATCTGATAGAGCTGAAAAACTCACTAGAAGGATTTCATAATACAATGGGAAGTATTAACAGCAGAATAGACCAAGCTGAGGAAAGAATCTCAGAGCTTGGAGACCAATTCTTCTAAACAGCTCAGTCAGACAAAAATACAGAAAAAAAAAGAATGAACTAACAAATCCCCTAAGACATATGAGATTATATAAAGAAACCAAACCTACTACTCATTGGCATCCCTGAAACAGAGGGAGAGAGAGCAAGCAACTTGGAAAACATATTCAAGGATATTGTCCATGAAAATTTCCCCATCCTTGCTAGAGAGGTCAACATTCAAATGCAGGAAATTCAAAGAACCCCTGTGAGATTCCATATAAGATGACCATCCCTAAGTCATATGGTCATCAGATTCTCCCAGATCAAAGTGAAAGAAAAAATAGTAAAGGCAGAGAGAAAGGGCATGTCACCTTTACAGGAACTCCACCAGGCTAACCACAGACCTTTCAACAGAAACCCTACAAGCCAGAAGAGATTGGGAGCCTATATTCAGCATTCATAAAGAAAAGAAATTCCAACCAAGAATTTTTGTATCCAGCCAAACTAAACTTCGTAAGATAAGAAGAAATAAATTTCTTTTCAGAAAAGCAAATGCTAAGGGAATTTGTTATCACCAGACCTGCCTTACAGGAGGTCCTTAAGGGAGTGCTAAACATAGAAACCAAAGATAATTATTGGCCACCACAAAAACACAGTTAAATACATAGACCATTGTATTAGTCTGTTCTCACATTGCTATAAAGAACTACTCAAGACTGGGTAATTTATTTTAAAAGGAGGTTAAATTGACTCACAGTTCTGCAGGCTGTATAGGAGACATGGCTAGGGAGGCCTCGGGAAACTTAAAATCATGGCAGAAGGCAAAGGGAAAGCCAGCACATCTTACATGGTGGGAGCAGAAGGAATACACAAATTCAAACAACCAGATCTCATGAGAACTCACTCAGTATCATAAGAACAGCAAGGGGGAAACCTGCCCCATGATCCAGTCACATCTCACCAGGTCCCTCCTCCAACATTGGGAATTACGATTCGACATAAGATTTGGGTGGAGATACAGAGACAAACCATATCAACCATGGACACTATAAAGCATCTACACAATCAAATCTATATAACAATTAGCTTAACAACACAATGATAGAACCAAATCCACATATGACAATATTAACCTTGAATGTAAATTATCCAACTTGCCATTGTGTGCCCCACTTAAAAGGCACAGAAGAGCAGGTTGGATAAAGAAGTCCCAACTGTATGCTGTCTTCAAGAGACCCATCTCACATGCATTGACACCCATAGGCCCAAAGTAAAGGGATAGAGAAAAATCTACCAAGCAAACAGAAAACAAAAAAGAGGAGGGGTTGCTATTCTAATGCTAGACAAAACAGACTTTAAGCCAACAAAGATCAGAAAACACAAAGAAGGGCATTACATAATGGTAAGGGGTTCAATTCAATAAGAAGGCTTAGCTATCCTAAATAATATGCACCCAACACTGGAGCACCCAGATTCATAAAACAAGTTCTTAGGGACCTACAAAGAGATAACTATGCAATAATAATTGGAGCCTTCAACACCCCACTGACAATATTAGACAGATCATCCAGGCAGAAAACTAATAAAGATATTCAGAACCTAAACTTGTCACTTGACTAAATGGACCTAACAGACATCTACAGAACACTGTGACCAACAACAGAATGTACATTATTTTCATCTGCACATGGTACATACTCCAAAATCAACCACATGCTCAGTCATAACACAATTCTCAAAAAATTCAATATAACTGAAATCATACTAACTATACCTTCAGACCACAGCACAATAAAAACAGAAATCAATACTAAGACCATCTCTCAAAACCATGTTGGAAATTAACCTGCTCCTGAATGACTTTTGGGTAAACAAATAAGGCAGAAATCAAGAAATTCTTTGAAACAAATGAAAACAAAAATACAACATACCAGAATCTCTGGGACACAGCTAAAGCAGTATTAAGAGGACAGCTTGTAACACCAAGTGCCCACATTAAAAAGTTAGAAAGGTCTCAAATTAACAACGTTATACCACACCTAGAGGAACTAGGGAATCAAGAACAAACCAACCGAAAGCTAGCAGAAGATGACAAATCTTCAGCCAAAATCAGAGCTGAAGTCTATGAAATCGAGGCTTGAAAAACAGTACAAAAAAATTAATGAACCCAAAAGTTGGTTTTTTGAAAGAATAAATAAGATTGACAGACTGCTCGTTAGGCTAGTAAAAGAGAAGATTCAAATAAATACCAGAAATGACAAAGGAGACATTACCACCAACCCCATAGAAATAGGAAAAACATTCAGAGACTATTACAAATCCCTCTATGCACAGAAAACCTACAAGATATGAGTAAATTACTGGAAACACAACCTCCCAAGACTGAACCAGGAAGAAATTGAAACCCTGAACAGACCAATAATAAGGTCTGAAATTGAATCAGTAATAAAAAGCCTACCAAACAGAAAAAGCCTTGGACTAGACAGATTCATGGCTGAATTCTACCAGACATATAAAGAAGAGCTGATAACCAATCCTACTGAAACTTTCCAAAAAAAATAAGATGAGGGACTCCTCTCTAACGCATTCTGTGAGACCAACATCCTTCTGATACCAAAACTTGGCAAAGACACAACAAAAAAGGAAAACTTCAGGTCAGTATCCTCTGATGAATGTAGATGCAAAAATCTTTAACAAAATACTAGAAAACTAAACCCAGCAGCACATCAAAATGCTAACCCACCATGATCAAGGAGGTTTCATTCCTGGGATGTAAGGTTGGTTCAAAATATGTAAATCAGTAAATGTGATCCATCACATAAACAGAACTAAAGACAAAAACTACATGTTTATGGCTGGGCACAGTGGCTCATACCTGTAATCCTAGCACTTTGGGAGGCTGAGGTGGGTGGATCACCTGAGGTCAGGAGTTTGAGACAAGCCTGGCCAAAATGGAGAAATTGAAATTTCACCGTCTCTACTAAAAATGCAAAAATTAGCCAGGTGTGGTGGTGGGCGCCTGTAGTCCCAGCTACTTGGGAGGCTGAGGCAAGAGAATCACTTGAACCCAGAAGGTGGAGGTTGCAGTCACCCAAGATTGTGCCACTGCACTCCAGCCTGGGTGACAGTGTGAGACGCTGTCTCAAAAAAAAAAAAAACAAAAAACTACATGTTTATCTGAGTAAATGCAGAAAAAGCTATCAATAAAATTTAACATCCCTTCATGTTAAAAACCCTTAACAAACTAGGTATTAAAGGAACATACCTCAAAATAATAAGAGCCGTCTATGACAGTTCTGCAGTTAACACCATACTGAATGGGCAAAAGCTGGAAGTATTCCCCTTGAGGACCAGAACAAAACAAGGATGCCCACTGTCACCACTCCTATTCAACATAGTACTGGAAGTCCTAGCCAGAGCATTCACACAAGAGAAAGAAATAGAAACAATCCAAATAGGAAGAGAAGTCAATCACTTTTCCTAAATGACATGATCTTGTATTGAGAAAACCTCATAGTTGCTGCTCCAAAGCTCCTAGATCCAATAAAAAGCTTCAGTAAGGTTTCAGGATACAAAATTTCTGTACAAAAATCCATAACATTTCTATACAACTACAAGTCTATATAACATTCAAGCTGAAAGCCAAATTAAGAACACAGTCCTATTCACAATAACACACACACACACACACACACACACACACACACACACACACACAGAGACAGAGAGAGAGAGAGAGGGAGAGAGGGAGAGAGAGCCTATGAATACAGCTAACTGGGGAGGAGAAAGATCTCTATAATGAGAATTACAAAACACTGTTGAAAGAAATCAGAGATGACACAAACAAGTAGAAAAACATTATATGCTCATGGATCGGAAAAATCAATATTAAAATGGCCTTATTGCCTAAAGCAATTTGCAGATTCAATGCTATTTCTATCAAAATTACCAATGAATTTTTCACAAAATTAGAAAAAAAAAACTATTCCAAAATTCATATGGAAAAACAACAACAACAACAAATAGCCTGGATAGCCAATGCAATCCTAAGCAAAGAGAACAAAGCTTGAGGCATCACACTATCTGACTTTAGACTATACTAGAAGGGTACAGTAATCAAAACAGCATGGTACTGGTAGACGCACAGACCAATGGAACAGTTAAGAGAACTCAGAAATAAAGCCACACAACTACGACCATCTGATCTTTGAGAAAGTTGACAAAAACAAGCAATGGGGAAAGGATTCATTATTCAACAAGTGGTGCCAGGTTAACTGGATAGCCATGTAAAGAAGATTGAAACTGGACCCCTTCCTTTCACCACATACAAAAATTAACTCAAGATGCATTAAAGACTTAAATGTAAAACCTAAAACTATAAAATTATAACCCTAGAAGAAAGCCTAGGAAATACCATTATGTGATATTGGCCCTGATGAAGATTTCATGACAAAAACTCCAGTAGCAATTGTGAAAAAAAAAAAAAAGAAAATTGATAAATGAGACCTAATCAAACTAAGAGCTTCTGCACAGCAAAAAAGAAAGAAACAAAAAACAAAAAACAAAAACTCTTGCCAGAGTAAACAGACAATCTACAGAATTGGAGAAAATATTTTCCAACTACATATCTGAGAAAGGTCTAATATCCAAAATCCATAGGTAACTTAAATTAACAAGCAAAAAACAACCGACCAACCCCATTAAACAATGAGCAAAGAACATGAAAAGACACTTCTCAAAAGAATACATACATGTGGCCATCGAGTATATGAGAAAAAATGCTCAACATCAGTAATCTTTTGAGAGATGCACATCAAAACCACAATGAGATACTGTCTCATACCAGGCAGAATGGCTATCATTAAAAAGTCAAAAAATAACAGTTGCTGGTGAGGTTGCAGAGAAAAGGGAATACTTATACACTGCTGGTGGGAATGTAAAATAGTTCAGCCACTATGGAAAACAGTTTGGAGATTGTTCCCAAAGAATTTAAAACAGATCTACCATTGCATCCAGCAATCCCATTACTAGGTATATACCAAGTATATACCCAAACATACTAGGTATGTTTATCACAGCACTATTCACAATAGAAAACACACTTGATCAACCTACATTGCCCATCAGCAGTAGACCAAATAATGAAAATGTGGTATATATATATACACCATGGAATACTACGCAGCCATAAAAAAGAACAAAATCATGTTCTTTGCAGCACATGGATGGAGCTGGAGGCCATTATCCTAAACAAGTTAACTCAGGAACGGAAAACCAAATACTGCATGTTGTCACTTATAAGTAGGAGCTAAACATTAAGTACACATGGACACAAAGAAGGGAACAATAGACACTGGGGCCTACTTGTGGGTGGAGGGTGGGAGGAGGGTGAGGATCAAAAAAATCTACTTACTGGATACTGTGTTTTTTACTTGGGTGATGAAATAATCTATACACCAGTCCCCCATGACACACAATTTACTCATGTAACAAACCCACACATGTACGTCCTGAACCTGTAATACAAGTTGGAAAGGAAAAACGGAAAAAAAAAAAAAAAAAAAAAGAAGGAAAGGAAAGGGAAAGGAAGGGGAAGGAGAAGGGGAAGGGGAAGGAAAAAGGAAGGAAAGGAAACTCTAAAGCAGCTAGGCATAAGAGACAGCTTTATACAAATATAAAGGAAGAAATCTAAATCATCCTTTGACAAATGAACTGGCAAGATTAAGTCTCAGTCCAGTTAAATGTTTTGTTGGAGAATTTCAATTTTGTCACTTTGATTTATGTCAAGGTATAATTTTGGCTTGTCACTCTTTTTTAGAAATTTTAATACGTGATGACTACATGGAAAGGTAAAACACCTTTGGAATAAAACCTAAAGCTATTAAACGATTCCATTGTAAATAATATGGTGTCTTCTGTGTGTTGGTCTTAGCAAATTTTTTTAGGTAAATAACTTTTGCCTATCTAGTCATGGGTGTGCTTTTACCGCTATATTAGGTTATTTAATTCTCATAGCTGGTAATGTTAAAAATGAGATTAACTTGATCTCAGAGGGATAAAGGAAAGATTACAAGTCCCCCACCTCCTGCCAGTAGAGAAAGGATTGGAACCTAGCATTTTCATTAATTGTATGATTTTGGAACCATACTCTACTCGGGTACCTGGGCTTCTATTTTTCTCAAGGACATTGAAGTTCAGTAGTTTCTTTTGAGTAGACAAGTTTTAATTTCATTCTGTGGCTTTTGTTAAATGCCAGACTTCTGAAATAGTTCATTTTATTTGTTTGCCTGTATTTTTATTGTTTTAGAGGGAGAGTTTGTTCACTGAGTTCCTCATTCAGCCATTCCATAAGTCAATCTCCAAGTGTTTGTTTTTATATCACGTGTTTTTTTCCCCCAATGACTTAAATTCTGTCTTGCTGGGTTGTGCTAGAGAAAGAGGGAAAAATGCTAAATGGAAAGAGCAGATGGTAGAAATATAAGGCAAAAGGAGATGGCCAATTCCAATATCCATAAGAGTAAAAATAAACAGTGACTGGGACACTAGCCAGAATCAAGAAACTTTAGGTCCCTTATCCATTCTGACCATAAAGAATACCTAAACCTATCACTTGTTTCTCTGATTCTCTAGTCCCTCATTGCCTACTTCCTATACCATTCCTCTTTATTCCATCAGGAGTTTGGAGCTAATTAAGAATTCCTAATTTCTCTGTAGAGGAAAGGAAATGGGCCGGGTGCGGTGGCTCACGCCTGTAATCCCAGCACTTTGGGAGGCCGAGGCAGGCAGATCACCTGAGGTCAGGAGTTTGAGACCAGCCTGACCAACATGGAGAAACCTCGTCTCTACTAAAAATACAAAATTAGCCAGGTGTGGTGGCGCATGCCTGTAATCCCAGCTACTCAGGAGGCTGAGACAGGAGAATTGCTTGAACCCAGGAGGCAGAGTTTGCAGTGAGCCGAGATGGCGCCATTGCACTCCAGCCTGGGCAACAAGAGTGAAACTCCCTCTCAAAAAAAAAAAAAAGAAAGGAAACAAACTTAACAGTGCCTACTGTATGCCGGGCAATATTTTGTTACCTCACTTGATCCATAGAGCAACTGAGGATACACACACACAGATGCACACACACACTATACATATACACACACACATATACATACACACACACATATATATGTACTGTCTATACCATTATCTCTGTTTTACATATGAGAAACTGAACCTTGGATAAGTAATTTGCTAAAAATGATAAAGCAAGTAGTGACACTGCCAGGATTAAAATTCAGGTTCATTGTGTGCAAAACCCATGCTTTTCTCACTGTGTCATGCTATCTCTAGAGAGAGGTATTTCTGGTTCCAGGTTGGAACTCTAAATACGTTTTTCCATAGAACTTATATGGTGATTAAGTTTTCTTGTAGCTTGAAAGTATGTGATAGCTATGTGAATAGCTATTTTTACATTATTTTGAAGGTAATGTTTCATTGCAGATACATTGTGGAATAAATGATGTTTATGGGAAAGACTGAGAAGTTTAGCACCATGCTTCTCTTGGAAAATGCCTCATTATGCTCAGACATAGACATTAGAGACACAGTCATATCCACAGTAACCTTTTGCTGATCTGGAAGTTAGTTTGGATAAGACACCTGGTAGTTTGGATAAGATACCTGGTGAAACCCAACTGAAAAATTAATGCTAAAAAAGACTAGCCGTCTATAGTCCCAGCTACTCATATTGAGGCTGGAAGATTGCTTGAGCCCAGAGATTGAGATCCCATCTCTTAAAATAATAGTATTAATAGACTGCTAGCCAGGCACAGTGGCTGATGCCTGTCATACCAGCAGTTTGGGAGGCCGAGGCAGGAGGATTGCTTGAGCCTAGGAATTAGAGACCAGCTTGGGCAATATAGTGAGACCCTGTCTCTACAAAAAAATTAAAATAAAAACGTTAGCTGCGCATCATGGCTCACGCCTGTATTCCCAGTTACTTGGGAGGTTAAGGTGGGAGGATCACTTGAGCCTGGGAGGTAGAGGCTGAAGTGAGCCGTGATGCGTCACTGCACTCCAGCCGGTATGGCAGAGTGAAACACTGTCACCTAATAACAAAAAATATTAATAATAGACTGCTGATACATTATTAAGTAAAAAAAGTGCATAACAGAATATAGTGTGTATTAAAAATGTTATTCATTTCTGTGTGTATAAAAAATGTTATTCACATGTATATGCCTATGCACATAGACATATGGTCACATACATTTCCAAAGGAATCACAAGTAATAGTGATTACATCTGAGAAGAAAGGTCTTGGTAAGATGGAGGTATGCCGAACATTGAGGAAGGCATTTCTTTTCATGTTTTAACTTCCTATATTGTTTGAATTTTCAAACCTTATACATGTACTTTTGTTTTTGTTTGTTATGCTAATAGAGGTGAGTAATGAGATCACTTATCTGTTTTTTGTTGCCTTCTGTATATGATATGTACAAGATAACATTTTCTTAAAATTTACCCTCAGAGGAAGTCACTCTTAGGCTTGACCAGTGTTATCAAATTGTGTGGGCCCCGTGGGGTTTTATCAGGTGGCTTAGTGTTCTGCACTGGGGACCAGGTATGGACGCTTGGCAGGAAGGCTCCGGACCCCCTTTTCCATTTCTACTGTGCAAATCCATGCTCATTCATTTTATATATTTGAGTTCATTTAAGATTTCATTTGAAAAAATGTAGACTATTGCCAAACCAAAAGGAAGGAAATCACCAACTACACAATTATGTGTGAGATAAGGCAGTAGATTATCATCAGTGATATGCTGACAATAATTAAAAAATGATAAATGGAAGCCAAGAATGCAGTTGGAAAGTAGTACAGGACTTACTCATCACAGGAATATGCCTGTATATCTAAGTAGTTCCTGAAGACTTTGCAGCATCAAAGCTTGGTAAAATAATTGACATTTTGATATGAAAGGGTCTTACTACATTTAGTATACGATATTCTATTTAAGGAAGCAGGAAAATGTGTTTTACATCAAAACATTTCTGTTAAAATTATTAAAGAGTTTTTGATGCTTAAAAAGATCAGCATCTGGGCCAATTGGTTTTATTATTTGTAAATTGAAAAGGACAAAATAATTTAATTAAACCTTTTGGATAAAAAACGGCTCAAATTATAGTTGAATAATAAAAAATTACACAACAATTATTTGTATATCAAAATGCTGAACTACACTCAATGACAACTGACTGCGGAGGTGGCAAAGTGTTCACTGTCATAAAATGACAACTCAGCCAGATGATTGATTTCTCCACCTATTGCCTGAAACTTATTTTTAAGAAAATTCATGAAAAAGCACCAAGACTAGAATTTAAACAAAGTGATAATAAATGTATACTTATGTTGCAAAATAAAATTCAAACTGCCCCACAGGCAGCTGTGAGCCCCTCAGTATCATAAATCCACATAAACTCTACACTTCAGACCATTGATTTCCATGTTTGTAAAATAAGAAAACCACAATATTTTTAAAAAAACAGCTTAAGAAAAAAGATCAATGTTTAGAGAAGTAAACTGACATTAAACATGTAACCATCCAGTAAAATAAGTTAGTTCCAATGATGGCTGACCACCTTTTACTGACTATGAATATAAATTAATGAATATGCAAACTACTAGATAAAATTCATGCACTTAATACAACATGCAATTTAAGTTATTAGAAAAAATTCAGGAATATAAATGAAATTGTTCCCAGATACATCTGCTAAAGTATGTTATTAAATACTATATGACCTAGTTCCATAAAAATCATAATATAAACAGCCAATTACTGACAATAAAAAATTAAAATAAATTAAACTTACAGTTCTCTGATTGCATAGAAAAGAGCCCCACCGTACATTCCATGATGAAATGAGTCTGGTCAAGTAGAGAAGGGCCCCCTCAAAGATCTTGATTGGCAGAGCTCCAGTGATTGACAGCAATGCTACTGTCTACTTACTCCCTCTCTGAAAATGGAAACCCTATCTGTATCTTATGGCTCAGCTAAATAACTGAAGTCTTCACTCATATTGTTGCTTCTTTCTAGAAAGTTCTAAGCAAGACTGAGGGTTTTCACTTGGATGTTTTCAGACTTGAGTAGACTACAGAAACTGTGGAAAGCTCAGGGTAAACTCAAAGTAACTCACAGCAGTCTTACTTATTGCTCCTAGGAGCAAATTCAAACCACAAAGCAAGCACCCTTTTCAGCTTTTCACCTTATATAATGGCTTCCTTCCAGAAAGTTCTTTACCTCAATTTCTGTCTGTGTAAAACTGTGCAGAATGGTGTCTCAGGGCCATTCCTGCTGAAAAACAGTAAACACACAATCAATGTGTTAATTTCCTATCATATGTAAATTGAAAATGTCAAACCTTTCAAGGAAAATTATAAAAAGGATGAGAATCAAATGTAATTTAGTAAAATAATAAACACACAGTTTTTAAAAGAAAATTTAAAATGCCAAGGTTCAATGACAGCTAGGAAATACAAAAGGTAATCTTACTTTACCTGTAAATTTTTTACTTACTGTCATACCCTGTTCCTCAATACTACTGAATAAATGGTATGCTCCTATATATATTAGCTGTTCTATTGGTTAGTATTTTTTTTTTGTAATGAGTAATAGAAACAAGACATGTATTTGAATTTTCTTGCTTAAACAGAAAGGATAAAGTTACAAAGACTTAAAGATATTTTGCCAAACCCTAGGCAAAGAATACAAGCTTGGCTTCAGGAACAACTGGGAATCAGCCTCAGTGTATCTGCTTCTCTCTCTGGAATACCTTCAATCTGCTTTTACCTTTTTAATGATGATTTAGTTAGGCAAAACAGTTTATGTTCTGGAATTTCCTACCTCCCCTGTACAAAGCTACCCTTCCTTCAGTGTGTCTGACTTTAGCTAATGGCTAAGAACAAATTACACTGACTCAACTACCTTTTTAAAATATATATATGTTGACCCTATCACAATTGTTAATTTAAAAAATATTTTTAATAAAATGAGTCTCTGTTTAATGGAATTTTAGTTGGAATTAGGATTTTCTGTGGGCAATAGAAAGCCTCACATGTCAGCTTAGATTAAAAGATAAATTTATTTCTGTCTTTAAAAATATTGAAGGTCCAGTGCTGATACAGTAGTCTCACAGTCATCAGGGATCCTATTATAGTAATATAATAGTAATCTATAATAGATCTATAATAGATTACTATTCTACCATTTTCAGCCTAGGCTTATACTTCATGGCCCAACATTGTCCCCATTCTAGTCAACAAGAAGGAAGGGACAAAAATAGCCACGCCAACCTCCACCTAGGGAGGCTAGAAAATGTATCATTTTTCTGGGCAGTTGTGTTACAGCTGAAAATCAAGAGTTCTATTACTAAAGAAGGGTAGAATGGATATTAGGGGTCAGTTAGCAGGCTGTGCCCTAATACTTATTTAAAATGTGAATGTAAATGTAAATGAGCCTAAATCTTGGTGTCTCTCTTATGAGAAAACCTGATTACTTGCAAGAGTCTTTTTAAAATAACATTTAAACCAATTAAGCCAAGCACGGTGGCTCATTCCTGTGATCCCAGCACTCTAAGAGGCTGAGGTGGGAGATTCGCTTGAGCCCAGGAGTTCAAGACCAGCCTGGGCAATATAGTGAGATAGGTCTCCACAAAAAAAAAAAAAAAAAATAGCCAGTCTGGGTGCCACACACCTGTAGTCCCAGCTACTCAGGAGACTAAGGTGGGAGGATTGCTTGAGCCCAGGAGCGGAGGTCGTGGTGAGCCACTGCACTCCGGCCTTAGAGATGCAGCAAGATCCCATCAAATAATTGATAGATTGATACCTAGCTAGCTAGCTAGATAGATGATAGCAAATTTTGAGGGAAGATCAGAATATTTTACAATTGACCATAAAGAAGTTTAGGTACATTACAATGCAAAAACACAAAAAAACCCAGGCTGTCGAAGTTGAATAGTTTTTTTCTTCAAGGTCATTGCTCTACATTCATATTATGATGTCTGGAAAGACATGTTAATTTTCAGAACATAGAATTACTGGTGAGGAAGTTGAAAAACATTCCTTTTTTCCCTCCTATAGCACATATGGTATCATTTCTAAAACATATTTGGATGTGTGCACTTCATGGCCTGGACTAGGGTGAGGCAAGAGAAATTTATAAGACACAAAATTTAAGGAGGCACATTGTCTTAGGTTGGAACAAGTGTGAGCTCTGCATCTGCACCACCCTAAAAGTGAATGGCTCCTGAAATCTTGCACTCTGTGCATCCCCTTGACTCACACTAGTCCCAGCCATGGTGCACAGATGGGGCAAATCTGACAGAGAAATGTGCAGCAGCAGTAACTCACTTACAGGCCCTTGTAAACTCAAAGAACCAGTAACGCTAGCATCAAGAATACCCCTAAAAGTTTGCCTCTTGATTTTTCTCACTGTGTTCAATGGGAAAGATAAAAATGCTAAATTTTTCTTTTTAACCCTGATTAGAATGCTTGCCTTTTAAAACAAAATTTGTAAAGTTTGATTTAGAAAGTTTGCTCATTTATATCAGTATATCGTGAAGTAACTGAATTAAAGTGCCTGTCACAGTTTTCTGAGAATTGAATTACCATTTTTCTTTATGAAGACAAAAATGCCTCCACATGGGAAAACAACCTGAATAAAGTAAATAACTTATTTGTGTACTTTAACAATAAAGAATGGCTCACAAATTTGGCTTATTTGCCAAATGCTTTATAAAGACTGAGCAGTTAGTAACAAATGGCAAATGGAGTGCTATTGCTGTATATTGGCAGGGCTACTTTAGGGCATATTACTGATGATAAATGTGAAGGAAGCACTGGTTAGCTCACCTTTACTACATGAAAAAGGAAGGGGATTTTATCTGGAGTATTTGAATAGATTCACACAAACTATGACAGAAGTCTTCCAAACTGTCTGTACTGATAAACTTCACTTTAGGAAAAACAAACAAAAAATGCACAGTGGAGTTAGGACTGTGGTGAGGCAAGAGAGACAATTATGGTGCAAAATTTAAGGAGCCACTAACTCCTGGAGGCATGCAAGTACAAACTTGGCACTTAAACAAACCGAAGAGTGTCTTCATAAATTTTGGCAGTAGGTACCTCTTTTTTTTTTTTTTTTTTTTTTTTTTTTTTTTTTGAGGCAGAGTCTCACTCTGTTGCCCAAGCTGGAGTGCAGTGGGGCAATCTCAGCTCACTGCAACCTCTGCTTCCCAGGTTCAAGCAATTCTCCTGCCTCAGCCTCCCTAGTTAGTAGCCGCTTTGCCCACTTTTTAATGGGGTTGTTTGGTGTTTTTGTGTGTGTGTGTTTTTTTTTTGTAAATTTGTTTAAATTCCTTATAGATGCTGGATATTAGACCTTTGTCAGATGTATAGTTTGCAAAAATTTTCTCCCATTCTGTAAGTTGTCTGTTTACTCTATTGATAGTTTCTTTTGCTGTGCAGAAGCTCTTCAGTTTAATTAAATCCCATTTGTCAATGTTTGCTTTTGTTGCAATTACTTTTGGTGTCTTCATCTTGAAATCTTGGTCCATGCCTATTTCCTGAATGCTATTGCCTAGGTTCTTTTCCAGGGCTTTTGTAGTTTTGGGTTTTACATTTAAGTCTTTAATCTATCTTGAGTTAATTTTTATGTGGTATAAAGAAGGGACCTAGTTTCCATTTTCTGCATATGGCTAGCCAGTTATCACAGCACCATTTATTGAATAGGGAATCCTTTCTCCATTGCTTATTTTTGTCAGCTTTGTCAAAGATCAGATAGTTGTAAGGATGTGGCCTCATTTCTGGGTCCTCTATTTTTGTTCCATTGGTCTATTTTTGTACTTGTTTTTGTATCTATTCTGTGTCTATTTTGTCTGTTTTTTTTATGTCCATTTTTGTACCAGTACCATGCTGTTTTGGTTACTGTAGCCCTGTAGTATAGTTTGAAGTTGGGTAGTATGATGCCTCTAGCTTTGTTCTTTTTGCTTAGGATTGCCTTCGCTATTCAGGATAGGCTCTTTTTTTATTCCATATGAATTTTTTTTTTTTTTTTTTTTGAGATGGAGTCTTACTGTGTCACCCAGGCTGGAGTGCAGTGGCACAGTTTTGGCTCACTGCAACCTCCGCCTCTGGGTTCAAGTGATTCTCCTGCCTCAGCCTCCCGAGTAGCTGGGACTACAGGCACATGCCACCACACCCAGCTAATTTTTGTATTTTTAGTAGAGACTGGGTCTCGATCTCCAGACCTTGTGATCTGCCCACCTCGGCCTCCCAAAGTGCTGGAATTACAAGCATGAGCCACCACGCCTAGCCCCATATGAAATTTAAAATAGTTTTTTCTAGTTCTGTGAAGAATGTCATTGGTAGTTTGATGGGAACAGCATTTTATCTATAAATTGCTTTGGGCAATATGGCCATTTTAACAATATTGATTCTTCCAACCCATGAGCATGGAATGTTTTTCCATTTGTTTGTATCATCTCTGATTTCTTTGAGCAATGTTTTGTATTTCTCCTTGTAGGTATCTTTCACTTCCCTAGTTAGCTTATTTTTAGGTATTTTATTCTTTTTGTAGTGATTGTGAATGGGAGTTGGTTCTTGATTTGGCTGTCAGCTCGACTGTTTTTGGTGTGTAGGAATGCTAGTGATTTTTGCACATTGATTTTGTATCCTGAGATTTAGCTGAAGTTATTTATTAGCTAAAGAAACTTTTGGGCCAAGACTGCGGTGTTCTCTAGATATTGGATTATGTCGTCTGCATACAGGGATAGTATAACTTCCTCTCTCTCACATAGTATTTGAAGTCCTAGTCAGGGCAGTCAGGCAAGAGAAAGAAATAAGGAGCATCCAAATAGGAAGAGAGGAAGTCAAACTAAAGCATGTTTTCAACAAATTTCAGAGGTTGAATTTATGTTGTCTGCCTATAGTGTAATTAATCTATAAGTCAATAACAAAACAGTAATTATAAGAAGCCTGGGCTGGGCACGGCGGCTCACGCCTGTAATCCAGCACTTTGGGAGGCTGAGGCAGGTAGATCACAAGATCAGGAGTCTGACACCAGCCTGGCCAACATGGTGAAACCCCGTCTTTACTAAAAATACAAAAATTTGCTGGGCATGGAGGCACGCACCTGTAATCCCAGCTACTCGGGAGGCTGAGGCAGGAGAATCACTTGACCCGGGAGGCGGAGGTTGCAGTGAGCTGAGATCACGCCATTGCACTCCAGCCTGGGCGACAAAAAAAAAAAAAAAAGTCTCTATATTTAAAATTAATATATATTTCAAGTAACCTATGACTCAAGAAGAAATTATAACAGAATATAAACTGTAAATTCACTGAAAAGTTTTAGTTTTACTACTTGACATGTTGACAAAGAAGATATTACAGTCAACTTGAACTCCTGTAATCATTTCTATGAGGGCTTTATGTTTTACTTAAACTTTTTGTTTGGCACTGTTTTTTGATATAAGTCCCAACTTGAAAGGCTTGAAGAGCAAGCCTTTCGTGTTTGAACTTGGAGAAGAGTCTCAAAAGCAATCATAGCACAATTGAGTTAATGGAGCAACTGGATATTGTAAAATACCTTAATATTCCTTTTACTGTCTGTATCCATGACATTTAAGCAAGAGTTTTGGACATACTTTTATTGTTAATAGATATTCTTTAACTGGCTTATATACAGAGAGTCAGACTACTGTGGGACATGTAAACGCTTCAATACCTAGATTAAAAGTTGTAATCTAAGGATTAATATATATATTATATATTGGCTCCATTAGCGCTATTATCATTAAAGGTGTGTTAGCATCCTCTTCGCAGACTTGCATATAGCGAGGCCGTTTCACTAGGTTTTAAGTTTATGGCTTAGGAAACTTTTAATTTTTTTTTTAAACTTCCAATAATTAGCATTCAGCAGAGTGCTGCAGAAAGAAGACTTTTAAAGCTGGATAAACCTCTCTAATAATGATCTTATTGAAAAGCAAAGCCAGTAATTGAAAATACATTGTGACTAAATTAATAATTCTTTGGGAATGTAAACTTATAAAGTATGTGACTTTAACTGGTAAGTTTTGTAGTATTACTGTATAGTAAAATATGTTTCTAGTGCTAAATTCCAGTTTGGGACCATTCTTATACCTAAAATGCCTTGTGAATTCAAGAGAATTTTTTATGCGCATTTACATCATAATTGTTTATCTGCATTTACATCACAATTTCCAAATTCTTAGAGATTAATAGTGTGACGTAACCATTTGGATAAAGATACTGAAGCTATTTTTCCACCACCACCACGTGTTATTGAAACGAAATTGTTTAGTGTTTTTCTGTGTAACTCTTCTTAAATGCCTTTTTAGATTATACTGTAGCTAGGTGGGTGTTTTTTGGTTTTTAGTTTTTTGTGAAGACCATTCACATATAACTTCTTGTGGTAAATCTTCACAAGGAAGCAAAACAGAAAAGGTTCATTTAATTGATTAGCATAAATAACAGGTTTTCTTTTTTATTTTAATCAAAAAACAATTTATTCTTTAATGTTTTCACAGCTTCAGTTATTAAGTAGAGGTTGTCATTTGGCTTGACTTTAATGAACTAAATATATATGTAATGTGCACTTATGATTTTCATACAGATGTGAAAAAATTTGATCATGTGTTATTCTTATTATATATTTCTTTAAAACTTGCTAATACTTTTAATTCTACGTAGCAAAACTTTACCTTATACAGCAGATGTTATCCTCATTGCAGCCCATGCTATTCTCACAAATTTATAATTGACTAAAAATATTTTAGTATAAAAATTATTTATTTGCTCCCTCCCACCCTCAATAGTGTTTCCAATAGAGCTCCTCTAATTTTTTGGAAAGAAAAAATTACTCCAAAATATTTACTTAATACAATTTAATATATCACATCCAAATCATTACCAATTCCATATTAATTATATTTGAAGCATGAGACTTCAGAGTACACATAAACCAAAGTAATTACTAGTATTCCTTTTAATTTCAAAAATATGAACTCAAACATATGTGTACTTCATTATTTCTATGAGCAACAGCCTTCACTTTGATAAACATTAGCAATAAAAAGATAGTAATGAACATTTCCAAAAGATATTTTTCAAAAGAAATATTATTTTTATCTGAATTTGAAATTAAGCTTTTACTTACTCTGAAGGAGGCATCCAAGTAGTGTTACCCTAATTCCTAAAATGTCAAGAAGAAGGCAAAGATAAATGAACAATATATGGCTTGCCAAATGCTTTTTAAAAAGTTGAGTATACATACACATATTATATAGTTCAAAACAACATTTTCTTTGTGTCATAAGTAAACTTTCTATCATATATCATTAGTAACCTGAGTATTTTTATTATAAAAAATACTCTCATGCGCGATCGTTCTCATAACTTTTTTTTAAACGGTGTGAGATGTTAAAGTGCTGTAAAGTAGAATCTGAAATCTCTTCAAGAGTTAATCTCATTTGGCAGTGGGTTAGTAACACCAGTCAGGTGGAATGCTACACCAGTTCAGTAGTGCTCATTACTACTCTTAACACTGCTTTGAACATCAAGTAAAAATAAATTATTTATCTTACTAAAATAAGATTACTTTAGAATTTGCCAAGACAAGGGGAAATATATTCCTAAGAAATGTTTATTAATGATAATGTTAACTGATTTTGTTTAGGTGAGAAATAAACTAATTCAAAAATGAATGAAGCAGAAAAATATTGATCACTATATAAGTTTTCCTCATCCAAGAAATGTGGCTTTCAGGTTTGGAGGTGGGTATAGGTGGCGAGGTAGTATCCTCTAAACACTTAAGATGTATTAAGGCTGGGCATGGTGACTCACGCCTATAACCCCAGCTCCTTGGAAGGCCAAGACAGGCAGATCACTTGAGCTCAGGAGTTCGAGACCAGCCTGGCCAACATGGTGAAGCCCTGTCTCCACTACAAATACAAAAAATTAGCTGAGTGTGATGGTGCACACCTATAATCCCAGCTAGTAGGGAGACTGAGGCAGGAGAATCACTTGAACATGGGAGGCAGAAGTTGCAGTGAGCCAAAATTGTGCCGCTGCACTCCAGCCTGGGTGACAGAGCGAGACTCCGTCTCAAAAAAAAAAAAAAAACAGCAACAACACAAAGACATCTGGGACATGCCTGACCTCATGTGCTGCTTCATGCATTCAATATTTATGTAGCCCCTACTATGTGTAAGGAACTGTCCTGCAAACTAGGAGTTGAGAGGGACATGACTAAGACAAAGCCTTTGTCTTTAGCAAGCCCAAAAACTACCCAATATGGTAGGCACATAAACAAAAAGTATGGTACATTATAATTAGGGCTATAATAGAGATAAGCTAGTGTGCCATAAGAGCATTAATGAGCATTACTTACACCTCTGCTATCTCTTCTTCTGAATGCACTCCTCATTAGAGGTTAGAAATAGGAATAGGAAGAGGGAGAGAGAGAGAGAGAGTGAATGTGTATGTGTGTAGTGAGTGGGGCAGCAGAGATGACAATTGATCTGAGTGATCAAAGGATAATTGGAGTTCACTACATGAGCAAAGAAAGAAGGGGAAGGGCATTTCAACAGGAACAGGTGGGCAAATGC
Source organism: Homo sapiens (assembly GCF_000001405.40). Lineage (NCBI taxonomy): Eukaryota > Metazoa > Chordata > Mammalia > Primates > Hominidae > Homo > Homo sapiens. The sequence goes on from NC_000002.12 coordinate 62,894,546, forward strand.
ATTGAAGTATGAAAGTGCCCAGTTCAAGAGACCATGAGCACTACTAGTGTGATTGTGGGTGCAGTAGGTGAGTGGAGTACCTGGACATAAAAATGGAATCAAGTTGTGAATATTTTATATATGATTGCTAAGAAATTTGGACTTTATTGTGTAGACAGTAGGAATAGTAGCATTCTATTGAAACCAGGTACTGAATGGCACTATTAAAAGATTGTAGTAAATTAGCTGGGCATGGTGGGCATGGTGCCTGTGGTCCTAGCTACCCAGGAGGTTAAGGTGGGAGGATTGCTTGAACCCAGGAGTTAGAGGTTACAGTAAGCTATGATTGCCCCACTGCACTGTAGTCTGGCTGACAGCAAGACCCTAGCAAAAACAGAAAGAAAGAGAGAGAGAGAGAGAGAGAGAGAGAGAATGCTGCAGGCAAGCAGGCAGGCAGGCAGGGCTGCAGTACCTGATACAGCTATGTATTTGAAAACTGTACGGATGAATCTCAAATGCATTATTCAGAAGGCTACATTTGGTATCATTCTACTTACATGGCATTCCAGAAAAGGCAGAATTATAGGAACAGATAACTAGTGGTTGCCCAGGGGTAGGGAGGGGTACAGAGGAGTTTTGGGAAGTAAAAGAATAGTGCTGTATCCAGTGTGGTGGAGGTTATACAAGTGTATGCATTTGTCAAAACTTGCATAACTGCACACTGAATGGATGCATTTTACTGTATGTAAATTCTATCATCATCATCATCATCATCATCATCATCATCATCATCATCGCTGCAGAAGCAGAGAATATCCTGAGCAACAGAGCCCTCCTATAATAATGCATAGCACTTCCAGAGGAGCTTGTCTTAACATTCCTATCTTCTTTGCCTTATTTCTGTTGCCTTCCCTGTCTTCAGCTTCTGCTGTTACTGATACTTTTGGCATTTTAACCTGGGGCCCCAGTGACTTCCTTTGATAGATCTTGGGTCCACAGTTGTAAAACAGAACTGGAGCTCACTCTGTTGGTTTCCAGGATCAACCTTGTATACCAGTGGATACTATTTGATAAAGGAAAAACACATGATCAGATTTCAATAGAATGAAAACTTTGAAGACAGTATGTGACAGATAGAAACTGAAGAAAATGAAGACAAGGATATAGATGAGTAACATTTATAATATCCCAGGCCAGAAATCATGAGGTTCTGAGCCATTGAGCAATGCAGTGAAGAAAGAGTAAACAAAATTGTTTAGTTAGAAGAGAGAAGACTACAGAATAGGGTCTGAGGGAGGAAAAAAGAAGAATAAGAGTCAAGGATGATTCAGAAGTTTCTAGCTTTGGGGCAGCTGGTTGGATTGCTCATTCCACTTACTCAAATTCAAAAAATATTGAGTACTGAACTGTATGCTTAACAATGGTTAAATTAGTAAATTTAATGTTAGGTGTTTTCTACTACAATTTAAAAAATATTTATTGAGCACTCAGTGTGCCAAGCAATGGAAATAATAGACACTGGATATAATAGACACAGTTTCTAACTTTCTGGAGATACTACAAAGTGAACCCACAAATAATATACATAAAAATCATGGTAAATGCATCGGAGGAAAAGAACAGGGTACTATAAATACAATGATATTAGATCTGTTAAGAGATAATAAGGAGACAACAGTAAGGGAGAAGAATTCCAGGCAACATGTGTGAAGTCCTTGAAGCAAGTAATAACTTGTCGTGTTTAAAGAATCGAAAAAAGGCTATGTAACTGGAAAGGAGTGAGCAAGGGGACAGTGATGTTATACAAGTCAGAGAACGTAGGCACTGCCTGGGATGTAAAGGATCTTACGGACCATTGTAACAATTTTGGCATTAAATCATGCGTGGTGGAAAGCCAGTTAAGTTAGTGTATGTATGTATTTGTTGAGGGAAAGGCAACGTGATTTGTAACTTCATATTCTACCGTACATTTTATTTTAACAAATGAACTGTCCCTACTTTTATCTAAGGACTCACACATCAATTTGTGTATTAAATCCATCTCTGTGGTCTACTCAGGGCTTTGATCCTGATTTTACCTCTCTGCTTCTTGCATCAGTGTCTTATTCTGTACCTGACCACTTCAGTTAGGTTACAGATATAATATAGCCCATCTTTAAAAAAAAAAAAAACAAAAAACCCTGCTAGACTCCAGGAATCCCTTCATCTACTTCCCTGTTTCTCTGCCCCCGCTACTGAAAAAGTTGTCTGTACTCCTCATCTCTAGTTCCTTAAGTCTACTCCAAACAGGCTTTTCTATCTCTGTCCTTTGAAACCTCTCTGGTTAAAGTCACTCACATCTTGCCAAGTCCAGTGCTTAATTTTAGTCTATCTTATTGATCCCTTCAGCAACATTTAATGTAGCTGATTACTTTTTCCTTTATAAATTTTTAGCAGAATTGTTTTAGCTAGATAACATATTAATATGGTTCAAAAATCAAAATAACATAAAAAGATATACATGGGGAAGTCTTGCTTCTACTCCTGTACCATTTACTACATTTCACCCCTTTCCACCCTGCTTCCTAACCATAACCACTACTATTAGCTTCTTGTGTATTCTCCTCGTAGTTTTTACACACATACAAGCAAATCCAAATGTTTATTCGTATTATTCCCTTTCTTGCCCCAAAGGTAACATCCTATAAACACTGGTCTGCCTCCTTAATTTTGCTCTTCTCATTTAACAGTTATCCTAGAAATCTTTTCAATTTGGTATATGGAGAGCTTCCTTATTCTGTGTACATCTCTATTCCAGTATGTGGATGTACTATAATTTATTTAGCCAATTACTCATACATGGTGTTTTCAGTCCTTTGTTGTTATGAGCAATGCTGCAATGAATAACCTTGTACATATATTATTTCATATATGTTGGATAAATTTTCTGAAGTGAGTCAAAGTATAAATGACTGTAATTTTGATAGTCATTGTCAAAAGGCCTTCCAAAGGGGTTGTACCATTTGCAATCAGATCTAATTCTATGACTTAAAAAATACTGTCTCTTTAGTTATGTGTTTCAAATTTGTATCTCTAGTTCCCACTTTTTCCTGAGCTCTGCCTACTCAGCATTTCTCCTGGTGCAAAATTGAACTATATTTTTCTTCCAAACTTCTTCTCAACATTTCTCTTGCTGCAAAATTGAAATGTATTTTCCTTCCAAACTTGCTGTTTCCCCTGTTTTTCCTATCTCCTAGAAAATGGCATTGCCTTTCATGCAGTTGCTCAGGAAGAAAACTTAAGAGCCATTTTTTTCTCCTGTTTCCTATAAACTACCTATCCTAGTTCAAATAGATCTTTATTTGATGGTGGAAATGTTCTGTATCTGCATTAATGTAGTATCCACAAGCTACACGTGACTGTTGATCACCTAAAGCATGGCTAGTTTCTCTAAAGAGCTGAATTTTACAGAGTGAAAAATAAATCTAAAGGCCCTGAGGCTAGAATGACTGAGCATGAGGACCAGAATACTAATGGAACAAAAAAGGCGGTGAGCGGAAAGAAACAAGTTTGGAGAGAGAGGAGATGACCAGGTCACACAGGGCCTCAAAGGTCACGGTAATTTTATTCTGCAGGTTATGGGAAGCCATTGGTGGGTTCTGATTCGCGGGAGTGACATAATCTGATTAATAATATTAAAAATCATTCCAGCAAGACTTCCAGTTCCAAAAGATACTTGGGAGATCTTTCTACTGCAAAACAGTAAGATACTGCATAAAATAAAGATTTTTATTGAATTGTCAGGCACAGTTATTGTTTTCTTTAAATAACAGAAAACCTGAGGGGTGAGCCGTGAGCTCTCCTGAAAGACAGAGTTAACCAAGAGCAGAAAAATTGTTTTGTTTTGTGCATATCTTGATGTATATATTATCTTTCACAGTAAGTAAATAAAAATTTTAAACTTGGCATACCTCTAAAGCAGAGAAACATTATTTCTCCAGTTTTCTAACAACTCAGTCCCTCATTTCATTCAAATCTCTTCTCAAATGCTACCTCCTTAAAGAAGCCTTCCCTGAGTACCCTATATAAACCACCCCTTTTCTCCAATCACTATATCATACCTATGTACTTTGGTCTTCTTTATTTCTATATCCTTAGAGCCTAGCATTGGTGCTTAGTATGCAATAGGTACTCAATAAATAATTGTTGGGTGGATGGATAGACGAAAGGAAAAGAAAGAGGGAGAGAAGGAAGGAAGGAAAAGAGAGAAGGAAGAGGGGAGAAAAGAGGATCGGAGAGGAGACCAAGACAGTCATCCTGGCTCGGCCTTTAATAGAGAAAGAGAATGTAAGGATAATTTTGTGTTTTAAAAAAATGAATTTGGTTTTAGATAGACTAAGTTTTAGCTTCTACTTCCATTGTTTTTCCCCCTCTTCCATGTAGAATATGCACCTACACGCAGATGGCAGAATTAACATGAGATTGGTCTTGCCTGTTTAAGGGGCTGGTGAAGTGTTCATTACATTTTGTGAAATAGGCAATTAATAGGAAAGAAAAATGCAAACTATAAGAAAATGGCCCTTAAACTTTCAAAAATACCTCAGCTCAGAATAATCAGAAGGTGCTGGCTTGTTGAGGTTTAGGAGAAAATTAATTAATTGTGGCCTTCACAGAGAAGATGTTTCATTCATGAACTCAGGAGCTGAAGGGGTCTTCCCTAAATTCAGGACAACATTGAGAACAAGGCCATGGGGGACTGAGCCTTGGAGTAGAACAGTGACATCTGCACATAAGGGATATTGTTAAGGCCCATGTGGAGAAAATAAAGCTGGCTTCAAGTGTCTCAAGGTACAAGACATATTTTAATAGAGAAATGGGCAGTGCACATTTTGTAATGTTTAGTATCTCCTGTGTTCCTTCCTGTCCCTTTATTGAGAATAAGGAATTTTTCCATTCAGTTTTGCAGTTTATAGGCTCTCACTCAGGGATAATATGAAAGCATACACTCTTGCCAGAAATTTTTAGGTGTGGACTTGGAGACTCTGGGTCTGAACCAGGTGACAGCAGTTTACATCAGACTTGGACAAAGAACACCTGGCATTTGTTCTGTCACAGATATATTACATGCATATATGCTGGAGTTCCACACTGAGGCCATCTGAAAGTTTCAACGATGATGGTGGTTCCTAACTGCTAAATCATGAAAATCTTTGACATAGGACATTCTACCTTGATTTATCTGGGTCTCTTTCCATATAAACTCATTACTTCAAAGACGTCTATCTGCTGACCAGTTGGCAGAAGTTCCCTATGCATCATAGCAATTTCTTACATTTATAAGATTCTCCATAGTCTCCACAACACTGAAATATGCACAGTTTATTTTATTGTCTGTACAGAATCGTGAAGTAGATGGAGTGGGTGCTGTTGTCTCCACTTTACAAATAAAGGTTAGACCATTCATTGTATCACATGTAAGTGTGCTACATTTCAGGCAAACACAAATTTTAGAATGGAATTACTGAGTAATAACTTGCAAAAATGAATCTTCTATTTACAAAAATAGGATTTGGAAAACCTCTGTTCAGTAGTAAACTTTGCTAGTACATTTAAGGGTTCTATGGTGCATTAACTACTAGACCCAAGCTTGGAGAAACACAGATATCATGGTCTCATTAGTCACTTCCAATATAAGGAAAATAAAAAAATGAAGACTAAATATTTACTCTAAAATTACATCATTGAGAAAGTGTAATTCAGTGAAGGAAAATGATGTTCACAGGCTTTTTTGAAAAATGGGAGGTTATCTTACTTAAAATGGGGAAATGACCAGGCATAGTAGCTCACATCTTTAATCCCAGGTCTTTGGGAGGCTAAGGCAATGGGGGACACAGGACTGCTTAACCCCAGGATTTCAAGACCAGACTGGGCAACATGGTGAGACCCCATCTTCACAAAACAATTTTAATTAGGTGGGTGTGGTGGTGCATGCCTGTAATCCCAGGTACTCAGGAGGCTCAAGTGGGAGGATCACTTGAGATCAGGAGATCGAGGCTGCAGTGAGCTGTGATCACACTACTGCATTCCAGCCTGGGAGGCAGAGTGAGACCCTGTCTTTAAAAAAAAAAGAAAAAGGTTGGGAGGAAGTGTTTTTTGTTTTTTGTGGGTGTGTGTGTATGTGTATATATATATATATATATTTTCTTTCTCTGAATTTTATCTTAAGTTTTGTCTATCAAGATTTGAGAAATTATAGTAAAATATATTGGTGACATTGATGGCAAATGATGTTATCAGTTTGTTTATATTTATACTCATATTTTGCTGTCAACTTAAACTATGCACTGAAATATCTTCTTGGAAAGTATATCTTATGTATTTGATTATTTTTTATTATGAAGCAGTAGCAAGTTGTTCTTAGCAGTTGTTTGAGTTTATATGGTAAGTAGCCAAGTAATTTCTTTAAAAGTCTTATATTCAGTTTTGCCTTATACTGTGAAGCTCATTTAAAGTCAACAACACTATATTTTATAGAAAGTATTTATTTTCCTTTATTAAGCCATAGGAACAACAGTGGCCTTTTCCTTGATTGCTTGAAACTAATTGAGCTTGGTTCATCTTAAGTTGGCAGGTGTCTTTTTTAACTTGGACATAAGATGTGTGAGTAAGTGTTCCCGTATTTTAGTCATGATGAGTTACGAGCCTATTAAAAATAATTATCTTCACCTCATAAATCTTTCTTTAGTTAAGTTTATTTTAGTTCTTACTTTAATCTTCCTATTAATGTCTGCTAGTTTGGGTCAGATGCATATGAATAGCAACAAATTATAGATTTGAGCTATATTTAGCATAGAGAAAAAGGCCAGTGGCATAGTATATTATAGCTGTAGTTCAGTGTCTGTTCAAAAGAGTTTCAGGCTCAACCCAACCCATCTATTTTGCTGTTTATTGGAATTGGGAACGTTTAAAAAAGTTGAATACGATAATTTAGCTTCATTTGATAGAACTGGATAATTTAAAAAGTTGGAGATGCTATTTTATAGAGGAAACAAAAAAAAGGGAGGCTGCATTTGCCAAAATCTAATGATGATAACAGGGTTAGAATAGATCCTCTGAGTTAATTCTCGCTTGTGAATATGAACATTTAACACTTAGTTTAAAAAAAAAAAAGAAAAAGAAAGGTGAGCACAGTGGCTCACACCTATAATCCCAGCACTTTCCAAAGGCCGAGGTAGACGGATCATTTGAGTCCAGGAGTTCAAGACCAGCTTGGGCAACATGGCAAAACCCTATCTCTACAAAAAATATGGAAATCAGCAGGGCGTGGCAGCGATTCCTGACGTCCCAGCTGCTTGGGAGGCTGAGGTAGGAAGATTTCTTGAGCCCAGGAGGTTGAGGCTGCAGTGAGCCGTGACTGTGCCACTGCACTCCAGCCTGAGTGACAGAGTGAAACGCTGTCTCAAAAAAAAAAAAAGAAAATTCAGCAATGTACTACCAAGTATCAAGAACATTATTATAATTTTTAGCAAATATGGTTATAATATTTATAACACACAACTTCCAGGTTGGAGGCCTACCTGATAAATCAAGTATTTCTGAGACAGTGTGGGCATGTTAGTTACACGTTCTACAAGAGCATTTTTTAAGTCATGTTCAAGAGTGTGCTTTGCCATTGGCTTCTCCATTTGTTGAATTCAGGATGACCTATGCATGAATAAATACGATTAAGGTATGAATTTTTCAACAATGAAAAAAGCAACAGATGTAGCTGACTTTGAACGTGGGAGGATTGTTGATGCACTAGTGCCTAAGGGGAGTGTCTATGAGGGGAGGAAAAAGGAAAGAAAAAAATAACTTTCCAAAATGTCAGAAACATAGGAGGGGAAGAGTAAAAATAGTCCAGAATACCTCTGTAGGTCTTTTGTAATTGTGATGAAATTACCTTGCAGTTTGAAAATCACTATTCTTTAAAATGTTTAACATTTTTCTTTTTGTATTACAAAGATGTTGCTTGAAAAAAATATATACATGCATTTTCAAAAATATGGATGGCTAAAGGGGTATCGTTAGGAAAATAGGAATTACTAGTAAATGATTTTATGAAGGCTGCTTCTTTCTGTCATCTTATTCCATGTTGGGCTGTAATAGTTAAAACTGTGAATATTGCATAAAAATTATTCTGTTAGGTTATAAATGAAAAGTAACAAGTGGCAAGACTCCAAAATAATTATATGTATGATGAGACCATAGTTAATTTCTGACTGGTATATATGAAATATTTTTAAACAGTTATTGCATATAAATCACTTTACTTCATTATATTTTGCTTTGTTTCATGTAAAAATAGTTGGTTTATTTTAAAAGATATTAGTTTGTTATATAGATTCTCCTTTCAGGTGATTTAATTCACAACTAAATCTTATCTTTAGTGTCTATTCCATGCTAAATGTGCATTCTGGAAGAACTGGCATTTTTGACATCAGTGTATTCTAGTTCTTGCTATTATTAGCTCACTTGCTAAGTGAGCTCTTGTAGTATGCGGTAATGAATAATCTTTGAGCTGTGAAAAGAAGCAAAATGCACAGAGAAGCATTTAAAACAAAGGGATAATTTTATGCTTCAACTATTAATAACTGAAAGTTCTTTAGAGGGTTTAGTGGGCAAATTTATGAGGAAAAATAAAGAATGAAATTGTTATGTCTATTCACTTTATTAAAATTACATGCTAAGTCTTAAAGGAACATTCTAGATATAAAATATTTAAACTGCTCCAACTTGGTGTAGCATTTTTACAATAAATTTCTATCAGTGTGAATCTATATGATAGTTAACTCCTATAATGCCTATAGTTCTAATTTTAAAATATGTAAAGGAATGAATCCATGCAAGAAGATTGTAATAAAGGTTTTAATGAGTGATTAAAAATAAATAATTAAAAATTTGGAATAAAGAAGAAAAACCTAAACATACTGAGTCAGGCCAGGTGCAGTGACTCACGCCTGCAATCCCAGCACTTTGGAAGGCCGAGGTGGGAGGATTGCTTGTGCCTAGGATTTTGACTCCACCTTGGGCAACATAGTTAGACCCTGTCTCTACAAATTTCTTTTTAAAAATTAGCTAAGTATGGTGGCTCACTCCTGTAGTTCCAGCTTCTTGGGAGGCTGAGGCTAGAGGATTGCTTGAGCCCAGGAGGTCAGGGCTGCAGTGAACCATGTTTGCACCATTGCACTCCAGCCTGGCCAATAGAGTGAGACCCTGCCTTGAAGAAGGAGAAGGAGAAGGAGGAGAAGGAGAAGGAGAAGGAGAAGAAACATATTGAGTGAAAAGGTCTGCTCCCCAAAAGGAGAAAATTTTCGTCCATAGTTTCTTCATCTAATACAAAATTTTTAAATAGGTCCTCACCTCCTTCTTTGATTTTGCAGTGATCATTTAAAACCTGAGTACATATCTTACTTCCACCACCAGCACCACCAAATCTAAGAAATAATTACTTACCTTTCTATGTTTTGGTTTATTTTTGCTCTTTGGACTACAAGCAATATAAGGCTTGTAAGGGAAATTGTACATTCATAGCAATCAAATAACCATAAAATATGATATAGAGAGTAAATTACCATAAGAAACTGTGGTATATGGAAAGTGGTGTGGAACTTTAGAGAAAGGAAAGGATTCTTGAAGGAAGTGACATTTGAGCCTATGTCTTACTGGTTTGGTAGAACTGAGACAAAGAAATAGTTGAGGGACATCTTGAGCAGGTGAAATACTCCGAGTACTTCCTCACATAAACCCTGTGTAGTGGTCTTTCTCAAATATTTACAGTTCCCTTTACATGCCTTCTCTTCCATTCCTTTATGGCTGCACCTGTAGGCCTTTTATCTAGAATAACACTCATCATAGTTTACAGTGCATCTACTCCACATCTCCATCATAGAGAGGAGGAAACAGACACAAAGGATTTAGGTAGTTTGCCCAAGGTTACCCCATGAGTTAGGTGTCAGCCAGGACTGGAACTTGAGCCCATGTGCTTCACCCCCCCGGCCCATGGGCTGCCCGATGGTGGCAGAACCCCTGAGGATTATCAAGGTCCCTTGGGGAATAAGGACCTCAGTGTGGAACAGGAGCCCTGCCAGGTGTGGGGGTACCCCTGGAGGACTGGGGGATTGGCTGACCTAACTCAAGTTATATCTCACTTGAGATCTAACTCAAGTGACTCTTCCCATGTGAAGATCCCTCCCAGACTGCCAAAGCAAAGACTATTACTCTAACTTTTTGTTTTTGTTTTTTCTTTTTTTGCGGGGGATGGAGTCTCTCTCTGCCACCCTAAATTCATGCTAAAGATTTCTAGTGTCTTACCATATGCTAGGAAATGTGGATAGAGTAGTAAACAAGAGCAAGTCCTGCCCTTGGGGAGTTTATATTCTAGAGAGTTAGAAAGATTACAAAAAGTAAATAATTTCAGATTTGATAAGAAAGCAAAATAAGAGTCTTCAGATATGATCAGAAAGGAAGATAAGAGTGCCAGAAAGATGATATTTTAAGTCATCACCAGATTTCTTTCTATGAAGGTGATGTTTAAGTAGTTTACTAAATGGTGTCAAGGCATGAACTGGATAAAGATATGGGGAAAGAGCTTCCCTAACAGAACAAACAGCAAGTGTAAAGGTCTTGTGATGTACATTTATATTGGGGGTCATAGAAAGCCTGTCTATGGAAGTAACATTTATGCTGAGATCTAAAAGGTGAGAATGGGTTAGCCAGTAGGACAAGGAAGGAGGAAAGAGGGACACTTTATGCTCAGAGGACAGCCATGGTTACCATATTAGAGGAATTTAGCACATTAGAGGAACAAGTGGGCAAGTGTGGCTGCAGCAGCATCATCAAGGGGAATGAATAGTGCAGGATGAACTGAGAACTAGACAGGGACTAGACCATGCAATGCCTTTGAAGGCCATGTTATTCCAAGGATGCCAGCATCTATTAAAGAGTATTTTAAGCAGGGAAATGATATAATCAGGTACATGCTTGAAACGATCACTCTCGGTTGGGCGCAGCAGCTCATACCTATAATCCCAGCACTTTGGGAGGCCAAGGCAGGTGGATCACTTGAATCCAGGAGTTTGAGACCAGCCTGGGCAACATGGTGAAACCCCATCTCTACAAAAATACAAAAATTAGCCAGGCGTGGTGACACACGCCTGTAATCCCAGCTACTTGGGAGGCTGAGGCATGAGAATCACTTGAACCAGGGAGGCAGAGGTTGAAGTGAGCCGAGATCAAGCCACTGCACTCCAGCCTGGGCGACAGGGTGAGACTCCATCTCAAAAAAAAAATTAGTCACTTTTGTAAAAATGGCAGGAGGAAGCAGGAGTAAAAGCAGGAGAGAATAGAAACAAATAGTCTGGGCAAAAAACGATGGTAGTTTAGATTACAGTGGTGATAGTAGAGATGGAAAGTAGATAAATATAAGATTTTTAATTCACAAGAGATGCTTTTGACGTTGTATATAAAAAAAAACTTTCACTAAGGATTTTAAGATTTCCTCTTATGTTTTCATTGGATTGTTTATAATTTTAGCTTTCACATTTAGGTCTGTGACCCACTTGGAGTTAAATTGTGTTATGTTCAAGGTTAGATTGAAGTTATTTTGTCTTTTTTTTTTTTTTTAGCGTATTTATACCCAGTCATTCCAGCACTGCATGTTGAACAGACTGTTCTTTCTCTTCTAAGTTGCCTTTTTCACTTCTGTTGAAAGGTAATTTACTGTATACGTGTCCGTCTATTTTCAGACTCTGTCCCAGTGATCTGTTTGTCTATCTTTACACAGTATCACACTATCTTCATTCCTGTTGCTATATCATAAGTCTTAAGGTTAGAGAGTGTAAGTTCGTCATCTTGCTCTTTTTCAAAGTTATCTTGGCTATTTTAGATCCTTTGCATTTCCATATGAACTTTAGCATCAGCTTCTCAATTTCAGCTGGGATGCATTGGATGTATAGTATACAAGTATTACACACCTTTTATCCAGCTTATTCCTAAGTATTGCATTTTTGCAAATGGTAATATTGAAATTAAACTTTTAATTTTGAGTTAATTCTAGATTTACATATATTTTAAGAAATAATACAAAGAGATCCCATGTGTACTTTATCCAGTTTTTCCCAATAGAAACATCTTGCCAAGCTCTAGTACAATATCACAACCAGGATATTGACATCGTTACAGTCCAGATACAAAACATTTCTTTCACCACAAGGATACCTGGAGTTGCCCATTTACAGCCAAAACCACTAATCCACTTCTATAGTTTTGTCATTTCAAGAATGTAATATAAATGGAACCATATAGTATTATTTCAGGAATTTATACTTCAAGAATGTAATATAAATTGAATCATATAACCTTTTGGAATGGACTTTTTTTCACTTAGCATAATTATTTGGAGATTCATCTGGGTTTCGCATGTATCAATAGCTCATTCCTTCTTATTACTAAGTAGTATTTCACGATATGGTTATACCACAGTTTAACCACTCACCTGTTGAAGGACATCTGATTGTTTCCTGTTTGGGGCTCTTATGGATAAAATGCTGCAAACATTTGTGTACCAATTTTTGTGTGATTAAAAGTTTTCTTTTCTCTGGCATTAAATGCCAGGAAGCATGGGGTTGTATAGTTAGTTGCCTGTTTAGTGTTCTAAGAAACTGCCAAATGATTTTCTTAGAGTGGATGTGACTTTTTATATTCCCACCAGCAATTTATGATTGATCCAGATTCACTACATCCTCCCCAGCATTTAGTGTTGTCATTATTTTTTATTTTAGCTATTCTGATAGGTGTGTGGTGATATCTCACTGTTGCTTTAGTATGTTTTTCCCTAAAGGCTAATGATTTTGAACTCTCTCTTAATCATCTTAGGCTGCTATAACACAATACCATAAACTGGTTGGCTTAAACAGCAGTCACAGTTTTGGAGACTGGAAAGTCCAAGTCACCAGCAGATTTGGTGTCTGGTGAGGGTCTGCTTCATGGTTTAGAGATGGCAGTCTTCTCACAGTGTCCTCACCTGCTTGAGAAAGGAAGCCAGCATTCTCTGGACTCTTACAAGGACACTAATCCATTAATAAGGAGTCTAGCCTCATGACCTCATCTAAGCCTAATTACTTTCCAAAAACTATCTCCTAGTACCATCTCATTAAGGGTTAGGGTTTCAACTTACGAATTTTAGGGGGACACAAGCATCCAGTTCATAACAAATATCTTTTCTTGAGTGTATTTGATATCTGTCTGTCCTCTTTGGTGAAATGTCTGTCAGTGCCTTTTGCCCATTTTCTAATTAAGTTATTTGCTATTGCATTATTATTGATTTCCTACAAGTTAACTTTAATCTCTCTAGTTTTGGTTCCTGACTGAAGTTTATTTTGTCCTGGAGGAGGAACATTTGGCAATGTCTATATATGCCTTCAGTTGTCACACGAGAAGAAAGGAAATGTTACTGGCATCTAGTGGAATTATTTGTGTAGACTGGGTTCATTTCTTCTTTAAATGTTTGGGAGAATTTAACCAATGAAGCCATGTGGACCTGGAGTTTCCTTTGGGGTAAAGTTTTCAGCTACTAGTTAAATTTCTATAATAGCGGTATTTAGGTAATTTTTGTGTGTGTGAAAGAACTTTGGTAGTTTAAATCTTCCAAAGAGTTTGTCCATTTCATCTTAGCTGTCAAATTAATTGGCATAAAGTTCATAATTTTCTTTTATTTAAATCTTGTTGATATCTGTAGAATCTGTAGTGATATTACCTCTCTCATTTCTGATATTAGTAATTTGTGTTTTCACTTTCTTTTTTACCCCTAATCAGTCTGGCTCAAGATTTATCCACTTTACTCATCCTTTCAAGACCTAGCTGTTCGTTCCATTGATTTTTTTTCTCTATTTTTTTCTTTCTGCTTCATTGACTTCTACTCTGATCTTTATTACTTCCTTCTTAGTTTCTTAAGGTGGAGGCTGAAATAACTGATTTAAGACCTTTATTCTTTTTTAATATAGGTGTTCAGTATTATATATATCCTGGTAAGACTTATTTTAGCTCCACAGGTTTTGATATATTGTGTTTTTATTTACATCCAGGTCAAAATACTTCCTAATTTTTTTTATTTGTTTTGAGTCTTGGCTTATTTAGAAGTATCATTTAGTCTCGAGTACTTGTAAGTTTTCAAAATGTCTTTCTCTTCTTGATTTCTAACTTAATTCCATTGTGGTTAGAAAATTTATCTCATGATTTAAACTCTCTTAAATTTGCTTTATGGCCCAGAATATGATTGTCTTGGTAAATGTTTTATGTGCATCTGAAAAAAATCTGTATTCTCTAGTCAGGTTTGTTTTGCTTCACCTCATATATCACTGATATATCTCCCAGTGCCTAGAACCAGTGGTTGGCACTTAGTAATGTCTTAATACATTTTTGTGGAATGCTTACATGTATGTGCTAAATCAAATATTTAACTCAAAAGAGTTGAACTCAGTGCTGTGGGCCTAGATCAGAGGAAATCATGTGTGAATAAATTCCTTAAAAATATGTTTTCCCATAGATTTAGGCGTGCAAGTACCGTTTTGTTACATGAATATATTGTGTAGTGGGAAGTCTGGGCTTTTAGTGTAATCAATAAATTCTTGTGAACAGAGCCTTCCCCCCACCCCGAGACAAGGTCTCACGCTGTCACCTAGGCTGGAGTGCAGTGGCACAATCTTGGCTCAATGCAACCTCCACCTCCCAGGCTCTCAAGCGAGATCTTCCCACCTCAGCCTCCCGAGTAGCTGGGACTACAGTTGCATGCCACCACGCCTGGTTAATTTTTGTATTTTTAGAAGAGATCAGGTTTCGCCATATCATGCAGGCTGGTCTCGAACTTCTAGACTGAAGTGATCCACCCGCCTTGGCCTTCCAAAGTGCTGGGATTCAGGTGTGAGCCACCATGCTCTGCTAAGCAGAGTCTTTATGAGAAAACTGTGTCAGAATATGCTGAAAGACTTAAGACCAGAAAGTGAGCAGAAGTTTTACACCAAAACAGAATTGCCTCTGTGGGTTCTAAAAGGAAAATATGTTTGGAATCAGAAGGTGGAAATGTCAGCTGGCAAAAATGAACTGTGACCTGGTTCCCCAGCTGTATCAGAATTACTTGGGGTCTACTTTTTACCTCTGAATGACAGTTTTCAAGGGTAGAATCTCAGAATATGTTTTTCATTTTTTTATTTTTGTTTGTTTGTTCATTTATTTTTGAGACAGAGTCTTGCTCTGTCACCCAGGCTGGAGTGCAGTGGCGCAATATTGGCTCACTGCAACCTCCACCTCTCGGGTTCAAGTGATTCTCCTGCCTCAGCCTCCTAAGTAGCTGGGACTACAGGCGCATGTCACCACACCCAGCAAATTTTTTTAACTTTTAGTAGAGACGGGGCTTCACCATGTTGGCCAGGTCTTGAACTCCTGATCTCAGGTGATCCACCTGCCTTGGCCTCCCAAAGAGCTAGGATTACAGGTGTGAGCAAGTGTGCCTGGCCAGAATGTGTTTTTAATCGAAGTTCAATCCAAGTATCCCCTACTCTAGGTGATTTGATGGCCAGCATATTTGGGAAGTACTAATTTGGAAAGTGACTGCTTGTTTATTGGAAGAGGAATGAAATTGGAGGTGCTTGAAGGATCTCCAACCTTAAACCAATGCGAGTTAGTGAATAATATGTTATCGTATACTTGTAACTCAGTTTATATAGTTTGTACCATACTATAGTAAAAGTGGTTAAGTACTTCAATTTTAATCCCACTGAGTTTGACTTTAAAGAATCATCTCTCAAAAGTAGCCTTGGAAAGTTGTTGGATAAAGCTTCTATGGAAATCTGGTTGAGGGGAGAAAAAATCAGTTTTAAATGGTGGTTTTATGACTTAAACCATCGTGTTAAATTTTTTAATAAAATATTTAACCACTTACTGAGTTCTTCCTTTCTGGCAGGTGTTGTAAACTCTATAAGAAAGTGACTTATTTTGCCTACCATTATATTGCCAATCCTAACATGTAATGGATGTTTGGTAAATTTTTGTTGAATGAAAAAAAAAAATGCACTGAATTGCTACTCGTGGCAGCTTTGGTAAAATTAAGGTTTTTGCCCAGCTTTACCTTAAATTTCCTTTTTGGACAAGTCATTGAACCTCTTTGGTTTAATCTCATTTCCTTCACCCTTAAAAAGCATGCCAGGTTTTCAGATATAAGCTAAAATAGCTGCAAGGTCCTGCCCTAATATTTTGATGGGGAATATAAACTTTAGATGAGTTAAAACAGATCCTCAGTAATGCATATTACCTTCCACTTAATAGGTGCACTTTAATTGAATAAATGAATCTTAATCCAGCTCTTCTTTTGTTTGTTTTACGAACGTTTAAATCAAAACTCAGAAAGAATGTGTCATTAGGCTAATAATGCTTTTTGATCTGTAGGACCTCCTGTACTAGAATTCAGGTCCCGGCTTTCATACGATGTTCTTTCTGGGTAAAATTTCAGTTCTGAGTCATCTGCAGAGAGAATTATTTTTCTGGTTCCTGATTTGTATTTAAAATACGTGCTAATCTGACTTTGTACCACAAAGTGAGTTGCATATTCTGCCTAGAATCACACTACCAAGCCCACAGATGATACCTGTTAACTAGAGCAACTTATTTAACCTCTCTCTCCCTCAGTGTGCTCATCTATAAAATAGGAATAATAATAGTGCTTATCTTATAGGACTGTAGTGAGGATTAAACACATTAATATACATAAAGTACTTGGAAAAGTTCTGTAAGTGACAGATGCTACTGCTATTATTATTGTTGTTCTTGTTGTTACTTATTTGTTTTAGATTCTGACCAAAATAAGGCATTAGAATGTTTTCTTGGTTATTTTTTTAACTTTCCTGTCCTGTTTAGGAACTTTTATTTCATTTTATCTTATTTTTGAGATGGAGTCTCACTCTATCGCCCAGGCTGGAGTGCAGTGGCACAATTTTGGCTCACTGCAACCTCTCCCTCCTGGGTTCAAGTGATTCTCCTGCCTCAGCCTCTCAAGTAGCTGGGATTACAGGCGCCCATCACCACGGCCAGCTAATTTTTGTATTTTTCATAGAGACAGGGTTTCTTCATGTTGGTCAGGCTGGTCTCGAACTCCTGACTTCAGGTGATCTGCCCACCTTGGCCTCCCAAAGTGCTGAGATTACAGACGTGAGCCACGGCACCCAGCCTAGCAACTTTTAAATCCTTAAGGTAGGCTGTGGAGTGTTAGTGAGGATTGGAAAAGAAGAAAACTTCATGATGTTTGCCATGGATAGATTTGTCTGTGTAATGTATTGGTAAAGAGAAGTAACATTCTCCCAAAATTTATGGAGATTTTTCAATGAGAATACTTTAAACGAATCTCCTAAAATTTTATGTGTGAAATATATATAAATGTATTTTCTGGAGAAAGATACTAGGGTTTTAAAAATCATTTTATTCTGCATGGCACCTAGATTCTTTAATAGTATACTTGTTGAGATGGAAGCTGCAAATGGTTGAAAACTACTAGATAGATTATGTATGTTAAAGGAGTTGGAGGAACAAAAAAACCATCTCTATGAGTGATATGATATTAGATTAGCTTTTCAAGATAGTCATCAGAGAGTCACATTAAATCCTATGTTGTTGTGATTTTTTTCCTATGATATTCAATAGAATTTTTCAGTCATATAAAAAGATAAAGGAATTATTTAAAACCAGTACTTGTGGCTCACACCTGTAATCCCAGCACTTTGGAAGGCTGAGGCGGGCAGATCACTTGAGGTAAGGAGTTTGAGACCAGCATGACCAACATGGTAAAACCCCCTCTCTACTAAAAATACAAAAATTAGCCAGGCATGGTAGTGCATGCCTGTAGTCCCAGCTACTTGGGAGGCTGAGGTAGGGGAATGGCTTGAATCCGGGAGTCAGAAGTTGCAGTGAGCCAAAATTGTGTCGCTGCACTCCAGCCTGAGCAACAGAGCAAGACTCTGTCTCAAAAAATATTTTTTAATGCAAAAATAAAAATAAAACCAATACTTGTATGCCCATCTTTCAAGTTGAGATACAACAAGTATAGTTGAATCTTCCTGTGTATCTACAGTTAAATGTTAAAGTGTATTTAAATATAATTTCATTTTAAATTTGAAGCACCGGTATGGTCTGAGTTTATTATTCATCTGCTTTTTGAACAGTTTTCACTGATTGATATCTCTCAGGAAAAATATAGACTTCGGAATCACACAAAAAACAAGCTTATATATTCCATGGTATATTCTACTTCCTATTTCTGCCTCCAACAAGTAGAAGAATAGGGTATGCATATGATACCTGGTGGGAGTAGTATTCCACCTGTGTTTATGGTCGGTAGTAAAAATTAACCCACTTCTTTTCTATCAGTAAGAGATGCCAAGTGTGGATAATCACAAAGCCTCAAGCTGTACACTCTCTGATGAGGAGGGAAGAGTGGCTGGATGCTGTCCTACTTCAAATGGCAAACGATGTCTGCATTCTCCCCTCTGGAAACTCACCAGCTGTATTTCCATATTGACACTTTTCCCTAATCACACCTTCCCACTTATTTTTGGCTACATGTATTATGATAAGGATGATAGAAAACATTTATGTTTTAAGATTACTTTTTTAAAGCATTTATGTTTTGAGATCACTTTTTTAAGACAAATAACCAAATAATCAGTATATTCAATTATAATGTTAAGAGATTAGCCAAATGATCTTTTAAAGGCCCTTCCCACTAGTAGATCTATGAAAATGATAAAGCATTATATCTCATATTGAAGTTTTGCTGATTTTTCACTGAGGACAACAAAAATTCTTTGGAGTTATTTAGGAGTTTTAAAAGTATAAATTAGAGACCACAAAAAAGGGACTGCTGCTTAATGTTTTACATCCCCCAAAATGTGGTTAACACCCCACTCAGGGCATGCTTAGCTTGGTTGGTAATTACAATTGAGCTGTAAAATATTTTGACAGTTTCCAACTGTTGTGTACTTGTTAGTCATTTGGTGGCAAATGCAATTTGGTGAGGTTTTTTTGGTGGGGCATGTTTAATTAAGAATCTTTCAATTAAGTGGTATGTCACAGTAAGCATTGATACAAAGTTTTGCATCTATGAGCTACTTTTACATTTTATCCAAAGTGGAAAAATGTATTTCTTTAAAAACACTTTTATATGTAGAAGGTTTTAAAGTAGAAACATTAAAAGTGGAGGCTTTTATGCCTCTTCTTTTCATGATAAGCTTTTACTTGTCGTCTAGTAAAGCATAACTCCTCAATACTTAATTTGTAGCCTGAACATTGTATATGATTTTCCTGGGTAAATGAATTCAATGGCAAATCAATCAAATTGCTCATGATAATTACAGAACAGAAAAGAGGGGTTGGATAGATTTTTGTTACATGTTTTTATCCTTTGTTTATAACACCAAAGCTAATAATGAGGTAATTTGGGTCATATGACAATTCCTAGAAAGAGAGTGTCAAACCTTTTCAATCAGGCAGGTTGACTGTTTAGACAGAATAGTGTAACCACAGCATTTTAAAAAAAATCTCTGTTAAGCATACAGCTATTAGATAAATCATTATTTCTGAAATTATAGAGCTAAATGAGAGTGGGAGGAACTTATGCCCTGGTCAGTGTATCCAAGGGTAAAACAGTAAAAAACTCATCCTCATTCACTTGAAAAACTATTATTTAAAAGTTGCAGTTGTCTCTAGGGAAATCTTCAAACATCTTACTCTATTTTGTTTATATGAATTTTGCTTATGACACTACCAATATATGTAAAGATTCTTGGGGGGAGAAAAACAGGAATTCTGTGAAGCCAGTTCATTAGTTCTTTAATGTTTCTAATTTTTTCTTCAAAAATACGTGAATATAAATATTAAAATCAAATGTTAAACTGAATTGACTTGTACTATATTAGTTTAGGTTTTATTTTGAAATGTATAATCTCCCCAGTCAATGTTAGGAAATTCCTTGGACAAACCATCTATATTTGCTGTTATAATCTGTATATTTAGTGAGCAAAAGGACTGAAATGAGGTCAGGGAAAGGATTGGGAGTAAGCTTGTAATTATTGGCTCTACTTAGAGAACTGAGTAAGGTAATTAAAAATATTAAGTTGGTTCCATGACTGTATGCATTTGTATAAACTATATACTTTAACAGGGTGAATGTTGCTATAAATTATACTTCAATAAATGAGCCCTTAAAAATCTAAATAAAAATAAACTTAGGTTGAAAAGGAATGCCCAAGTCACATCCCAATATCATAAAATCTGTTATATCACTAACTTAGCCAAAATTGCATTCATAATTGAATTTGATTTAGCCTTGTCCAATAAAGGCCAAAATTTGCAGAAAAGTTGGATAAAATGGCCTAAGTATTGCCCTTAGATATTACATTTATATGTGCTATTATAGTCTATTATTAATATATATGTAAAATGTTTCTCTTGGAAATATCTAAAAATGTGCCTTCCCCATAGTTGGCATTCCTAGATCGGCATTTCCCTTTCATTAATGTTTTTATATGGTCTATGTATACGTATGGATCTTTTAAAAATTCACATTGGTATTACCGTAAAAAAGAATTTCTTTGTAAAGATTCTTTTTGCTATCATAGTACCTAATTTTATATACAAACTGTGATTGCATAGTTTTTAAAATGAATTTTTGAAATGCAGGTTATATTTTAAATGTATACCAGAAGAAGAATTCCATAATTATTTCATAAAAGTGAAGAGCTACCATTTAACTTTACTAATTTATAAATCGGTAGTATATCTCACTTAAATTACATTCAATAATAGGGCTATAGGAAAAATAGACTTAATCTGAACAGTAAATAACATGCATCCCATTTTATATGGATTTTAATTTTCTCTTTTTTATTTTAGTAATTGTAAAAGAAAAAGATATGCTGAATAAGACAGCACGCTATTTGAGCCCTTTTGGGCATGTCACATGTATAATTTTACTTAGATGGGAATACTAAATATTGTGAAAGCATCCCTCTTTCCTAGATACTTTATAGATTTGATATAACCATAATCAAAATACAAACAGGATTTTTGAGGGGATGGTATCAAAATGATTAAAAATTTATTTGGAAAATAAATGTTTAAGGATTTAAAAAAAATTTTTTTTAAAATAATTGTTAATGGGGTTTGATTAGGCATACAGGATACTAAAGCAGTATATACGATAACAACGTACTGGTAAAAACAGTAGGTAGATAACTGAAGCAAAACATCTACCCCAGAAACAAACACAATCTCATTCAGACACCATACACAACACATTTGCATAATCATTTAATATACAATAACAGGAGTATCACAGAACAATGAAATACTATTTGGGAAGTGATGTTGGATAATAACATAGAACTTTAATTCACACCATTCACTAAAATGTATTCTAGGTAGATGAAAGCATTACAGCATTAAATTTAAAATGAGCTAGGTGTGGTAGTGCACATGTGTAGTCCCAGATACTTGGGAGGCTGAAGTGGGAGGATGACTTGAGCCCAGGAGTTTGAGTCCAGCCTGGGCAACATAGTGAGATCTTGTCTCTAAAATAATAGAACTTTTAATTAATGAAATATATTTTAAAAGAAAAAGAAAATATAATAATATTACTGGATCTCTGGAGGGAAAATAACTTTCTGAACCAGAAGAAGCAAAAGATAGACAAGATAGGCAAATTGGACTCTATAAAAATTAAAATGGGCCAGGTGCAGTGGCTCACACCTGTAATCCCAGCACTTTGGGAGGCCAAGGCGGGTAGATCACTTGAGGCCAGGAGTTCAAGACCAGCCTGGCCAATATGGTGAAACTCCAGCTCTACTAAAAAATGCAAAAATTAAACAGGCATGGTGGTGCACGCCTGTAATCCCAGCTACTCGAGTGGATGAGGCTTGAGAATCACTTGAACCCTGGAGGTGGAATTTGCAGTGAGCCAAGATTGCACCACTGCACACCACCTTGGGCAACAGAGCGAGACTCTGTCTCAAAAAAAAAAAAAATTTAAAATGACAAGTTAAAAAGTGATAGGTAAGGATGATATATTTCCATATTTCCAAGATTAGAAAAAGAACTAATAGCTATTTTTCCATATATATTTATATATAAATAATTTTATAATGTGTGTATTATATATCATCAAAATATATTTTATAATATTGTGTATGTTATTGTATATATTATCTTTTATATATAAACATAAAATTTACATACACAAATTTTATTAAAATATAAATATATTCATTGTGTATATAAAATATAGCTATTATATACAGTATACAATTTAATAGCTATTACAATATGCAATATTACATATACTGTACAATTTATATTGTATATATGTATAAATAAAAGACATACACATATATATATATCATGTGTTACTTAATGATTGGGATACATTCTGAGAAATGTGCCATTAGGCAGTTTTGTCATTATATGAACATCTTAGAGCACATTTACACAAAGCTAGATGGTGTAGTGTACTACACGACTAGGTTATATGATATGGCCTATTGCTGTTAGGCTACAAACTTTTACAGCATGTTACTGTACTGAATACCACAGGCAATTGTAACACAATAGTATTTGTGTATCTAAACATGAAATAGGAGGGAGGTCAAGGTTGCAGTGAGCTGTGATCATACCACTGCATTCCAGCCTGAGCAGCAGAGTGAGACCCTGTCTCAAAAATGAATGAATAAATGAATGAATGAATGAAAAGATACAGTAAAAATACAGTATTGCAATCTTATGGTACCACCATCATATATGTAATCTGTCATTGACTGAAACATTATGCAGTACGTGACTATGTATATTAATATAAACAGATGCGCACGTGTGCACACAGATGCACATGTGTGTGCGCACACACACATTTTAAGGAAAACATTAAGTAGTAACAGAGTTAGGATTCAAACCTAGATCTAATTGACTCTATAGTTCAGGTATGTTCTTAATCCCAATGCTGAGTCCTTTTCTTATGCTTTATACTGTGAACATAACTTCTCCCTCATGG